>NC_000006.12:32484242-32787272 GCF_000001405.40 Homo sapiens
CTTTGAGGACCCGGCCAGCGGCAAGGCCGCTCTCCCGCCCTGCCAAGGGCGCCCAGTTCCTGCGCCTCAGGAAGAGGCTCTGCTTGAGGCCGTCCAGGGTTTTGTCCCCGCGGGTGGCCACCCAGCCTGATGCTCCTGACAGCCAGGCCCGGGCTGGGATCTGTTCCCCAAGGTGCCTCCCCCGCCCCATCCAGGCGAGAAGGAGCCCCGGGCACCCTGAGTGCTAGCAGAATAACTTGCAGAGACATCACCCTTGCCCCACATGCTGGCCTGCGCCCAGCGAGGGGAGCTGCCCACCCCAGGCTGCCAGAAGGTGTGACAGGGGATACCTGCAGGCTCCACGGAATGGGTTGGAAACCCCACCCTCCCGGCCCTCCCCGCAGGCAACAGGATCCAGGCCTCTCTACACTCCACTCCCTCAAGGCTGAGAAGGCCCTCCTGTCCATGCAGCCTTGGGGGTGTCTGTTCCCACTTTCTGGCCTCTCCCTTGGCCTCACTCGGGTCCCAGGTGCCCACTCTGATCTCAGAGTGGAGTTGGGGCAAAGCCCCAGTGCTGTCACAGACTGGCTGGGTGTGTGCACGCTCAGGGCAGTGTTGACACACCAGCCTTTTGCCACCTCAGTCACAGGGAAGCCAAGGGAAGATGGGCATGTAATATTTGAAGTAAGTTTCTTATAGGGAGCATGTCGAAGAGTCATTGCTTTTCACTCTGGCATTTGTCTTTTTACACACTTTACATGTAATGCAGTTATTAATATGTGAGCTCTTATGACTGCCATCTGTTTTTTGTTTTCTTTTTTGTTTCCTTTGGTTTTTTCTTCTCTGGTTTCTTTTCCTATTTTCCAATGTGTTCCTTAAGCAATTTTTAGAATTCCATTTTTGAATCAATCTTTTTTTGGTGTATCTCATTGTATAGTTTTCGTGATTTATCTGTCTGTTAACATAACTTATCATAGTCTACTGGTGCTGACATTTTACCAATTTGACTAAAGTGTGGAAACTTTACCTCCTTTATATCCCTTTCCACTTCTGCATGTGTAATATATATGTTTTATTTTCTCTACTTGCATCAAAACCACATCTATCAATGTTGTAATTTTTGCCTCAACCATCAAGTTAATTTACAAAACTGAAGAAGTCTGTTGTATCTAACCATATTTTTACTCATTTGTTGTTTACTTTTTTCCCAATTGTCCAAGATTTCTTCCATTATCATTTCTATTCCAGTTAAAGCACTTCCTTTAGCCCTTGTTTTAACATAAGTCTCCTAGCATGAAATTCTCTTGATTTTCCTTCCTTTAAGTATGTCATGGCCAGGCGCAGTGGCTCACGCCTGTAATCCCAGCACTTTGAAAGGCCAAGGCAGGCGGATCCCATGAGCTCAGGAATTCGAGACAAGCCTGGGCAACATGGCAAAACCCTGTCTCTGCCAAAAATACAAAAAATTAGCCAGGCGTGGTGGTGTGTGTCTGTAATTCCATCTACTCAGGAGGCTGAGGTGTGAGGATCACATGAGCCTGGGACGCAAAGGCTGCAGTTAGCCGTGGTCGCGCCACTGCCCTCCAGCCTGGGTTTTTTTTTTTTAGATGGATCAAAACTCCATCTAAAAAACAAAAAACAAACAAAAAAAAAAAAGTAAAAGAAAAAAAAAAGTCATGATAGAACATTTTATAATAATGTTTTTACTGGATATACATTCTAGGTTAACATTCCTTTCAGCCATTAAAATATCTTGTGCCACTTCTGTCTGGTCTGCATGATTTCTAATGAGCAATACACTGTCATTTAATTTATTTTCTCCTGTGCATGAGAGTCCTTTCTCTCTTGTTGCTTTCGAGATTTTTTTTGGCATAAATTTCTTTGGATTTATTTTCATTTGGGTTTGCACAGATTCTTGAATTTTTACATTTAAGCCTTTGTCCAAATTTGGAAAGTAGTCAGTCTTCCTTCAAGCACTCTTTGGGCATCACCCATTTGTCATTTCTAAGACTCCAGTAACACAAATTTCATACCTTTTGTTATAATCTTACAGATTTATCAGCATGAAATCATACTAAATATTATGAAAAACTTTACAAAATAAATATGCATGTAATAAATAATTCAAAATGTACTGTGCATGTAATGAATAAATTATTCAAAATGTACAATGTACTGAAGCTGACAAATAACATAAAATAGGAAGAGTTCCACATCTCATAGAGAAAGTAAGTCCATTCTATAAAGCTTTCCCAAGACAAAACCCCAGGCTCATCTAGCTTCAGTAACTATTTTAAAATATTTAAGGAACAAACAACACTAACTTTACACAAACTTCAAACATATTTGAAAAAAGGAAAAGCACTTGCAGTTACGTTTGATGAGATCTGTGTAAACTTTACATCAAGACCTGAAGGGAACTCTACAACAAATAGGAATTAAGAGACCAATAACTCTTATGAGGTAAATTCTTAAGAAAATTTAGCCAAGTGAATTCAGTGATATAAAAGATGGCTACTATATCATGACCAAGTGGAGGTTATTCCAGAAATGTAAGGTTGTTTGAGCATTTGAGAATCAATCAGTGTGATTCACTACATTAACTGAAGGAAGGAGAATACACATGCAACCACCTGGATAGAGTCATGAAATACGATTTGACAGAATTTAGCACTTGGCCTTAATTTTTAAAAAACCTGTTTTCAAACTTGTATTAAAAAGATATTTCTGCAATCTGAGAAATGACAGCTACCCAATTGCACACATTAGTCTCAGCAGTGAAATATTTAAAACTGTCTCCTTCATATCTGGAGTACTAGAGGAGTTAGGCAATGATAATGGCAAGAAAAATATATCAAAGAGATAATAATTGCATCCAGGTAAAATGGTCATTATTTACTGTTGACATAATCAGATACTTACAAAATAAAAACAATAGACAAGCTCATAGATTTAATAAGTAAATTTAAATAATGTTGCTGATTACAAAGTCAGCATACATTAAACCAATTATGTTATTGATATAGTTTGGATGCTTGTCCCCTCCAGATCTCATGTTAAAATGTAACCTCCATTGTTGGAGGTAAGGCCGGGTGAGAGGTATTTTGGTCGAGGGGCAAATCAGAACTGTGAGTCAATTAAACCTTTTTCCTTTATAGATTACCCAGTCCCACGTATTTTCTTATGGCAATGTAAGAACAGACTATTACAGGTGGCAAGGAAAAGTAATTCTTTATGAATAACACACTGAAATAGGGTTAACGGGAGCACTTTCAAAACTTGTTCCCATCATTTTATTATCACCACAAAATGTTTCTGGAATATACCGCATAGGATTCTTTCTGTATTGTAGAATTTTCCAAACATTCTATGGGGACATTCTGCATGTACTTATTGCTTCAAGTTTCTTCAAATAACGATTTTTTCTGAATATACTATACCATTTTGATGGTTCTTTGGTGAATTTTCTGGTGTTTGAGCTGGTTATTTGCAGTGAGGGGAGCAGGAGATTTTATGTGATCGCTTCATCCTGAATTGTCTGAATCAAATGTATCATATAAGGTCTGTTATCGTTAGAGAAGTCAGATGGTCAGAAATGAGCAGGCAAGGGAGTCCCTGGGAAAAGAAGTCTTGGAGTCACTGCCCTTTGATAATCAGCACTGCGCACTAATAGCAAAAAGGGCAATGGCTACACTGGCTACATCTGGCCTTGTGGTTGGTCCCTCCACCCCTGGAGGGAACTTTTCAGGCCCTAGCCTAAAACAGCCATGGCAGGGACCTTCTCCACTGATGAAATTGTGCACTCCTCCAAGACCTTCCTGTAGAATAATCTTTTGCTCGTTATAATAATAAAAAACACACCTCTGGGTGGAGATTTTAAATACTGAGACATGCAACATGTGTAGTAACATGTGCAACCACAGAGCATGTGCACCCAAAGAGTCCTCCTGAAATATGTTTGCAAGTGACACCCCCTCAGGCCCCTTCATGAATAATCATGTGAGATTCTCATAGAGTCCTTCAGCACTGGCTGCTGCTGGCTCCTTCTTTTGAGCAGCCCACTCTGTCTCCTCTTTCAGAGCGTACTGTCTCTTTAAATAAACACTGCTACTACTATTTTTCCAGCTGGAACAGCCCAGAACTGTTTTCCACTCCTCCCTAGGAATGTACTTTATTTTCCTTCAATAATCTGTGATACTTAACCCTTGCTATGCATCTCTTGGCTGAATTCTTTCTTCCAGGTTAGACAAGAATGGAAGATTCCTATACTTCTTAGTAACAGAATTAAACAGAAATATCCAGGCTCATTGGGTTGGTCTCTTTCTGATCATGTGCAAGCAGTTCTGTTGCTGTGTTCTCATCCTCTGGAGGAAAAAGCTAAAGCAGGGTTTTTTGTTTGTTTGTTTGTTTGTTTGTTTGTTTTGTTAAGAGATCTCTACTGGGCAATGGGCTCAGAATCAGTTTTTGGTTCTTGAGCCTGCAAGTCAATGACATGCCTGTAGCTTCAGTAGACTAAATCTGAAACCCTAGGGTTTGGCCTCTGAGAATGGGTGAAACAGATGGAGAGGAGGAGACACGGGGTAGACTGGGGAGTAGAATGAGAGGAAGACCCACAAATATTACAAGATTTACATATCAGCATTGCTCATTCCAAACTTAATGAGGACTGAGATCAGACACTGAATATTGACATTGCCTGTTCTTTAAGAAAAAGCCTTGGATGCCTGTTTTAGTACTAGGAGAACAGTCTGACTTATTATTTAAACCATCATATATTTGTACATGTGTATTCGGATGGAAAAACTGAGTAACGAGAGCAGGGGCAGGATACAGCATTAAGATGAAAAGAAAATATTAGAAACACAGTGAGCTCTTGCTAATTTGTCTGTAAAAGTATGACAGTATTTATTTCTGAAACGGTTATGAGAACCTACCACAAACCATAAAGATGAGTTATCCATGACAGTGTGATAGACTACAAATAAATATTGAGTTAGATTTGGATTGCATCTGGACTGTATAATTTACAAGCTATGTTTTCACTGGTATCTTGCCTACATTACCCTTGGATTCCTCATAAAAATACTGATAGTAGTTTTCACTGCATTGAATTATTATCAGAATTAAAGGGAAAATGTAAGCAAAGTAATTAGGTACCATGTTTGGTGATAAAATATTGCAAAAACCATACATTTTTTTCTCAAAATTTCTACACCCTGATTATAAAAGATAAAAAAGCACACCCCAAGCCAGCATGACTTTGTAAGACTTACTAATAAATAACAAATTTCTGTACCTATGGTTTACAGAATCCAAGCAGAATTTCTAGAATATTACAGATAGAATAGGCGTGTTTTGTAACATATCTACAATTTTAATATAAAATAAGTAAGTGAGTAACAGAGAATGCCGTCAAATGCAGACAAATATGGAATAAAAAAGCAAAAATAAGTCCATATCATTTTATGTAAGGAGAACATTTTTTAAAGCAGTTTTAAGTGTACAGAAAAATTGCAGAGAAAGTTCAGGGAGTTGCCACACCCCTTCTTCCCTAAAACAGCCCTCTGTTCAGTTTCTCCTATTACTAACATCCTGCATCATTGTGGTACACTTGTTACAACTGATGAACCAATACTGATACTTACTGTTAACTGAGGTCCATAGTTAAATTAGGGTTCATTCTTATTATACAGCTCTATGGGTTCTGATAAATACATAATGCCATATAACCACCGTTAAAGTGAAATGGTGGATAAAGTGAACCCAAGAGTCCCTTAGACAGTTTTTGTTTAAATAAACATACAAATGGACACTTTGGGTCTTAAAGCTTGAAACTTATATTTGTTTTATCTGAGTTTCTTTCCAAATAAAGATCTCCCAGACCTCTCAAAAAGTATCAAAGAACTGGAACTCACCAGATCATCTCATCCAGACAATGAGACTCCCTGTTCCTCATTCATCATGATTGTTCCCTTACCCCTCCCTAGTTCTTGTTTTCCCATACCTAGCTACATTTCTTCCCTGATATGTAAACTCCTAATTTTAGTCAGTCACAGAGATGGATTTGACACTGGACTCCCGTATCCTCAGCTGCAGCACCTGATTAAAGATTAAAGCCTTCTTCTTTGGCAATACTCATTGTCATCTCAGTGATTGGCTTTCTGTGTGGTGAGCAGCAAGACCCAGACTGAAGCCCTTGTGTGCAAGACCTAGACTGAACCTGGTGTTTTAGTAACAAAAGTATCCTATGAAGTAGTTTCACTGACCTAAAATTGTCCTAGACTCCACCTTCTTATCCATTCCTCTTCCTCCTGAACCCCTGGAAACCAGTATTTACTGTCTCTGTATTTTTGCCTTTTCCAGAATGTTATATAGTTGTAATCATATGGGATATAGTTTTTTCAGACTGGCTTCTTTCACATAACAGTATGCATATAGGGGCTGGGCGTGGTGGCTCACACCTGCAATCCTAGCACTTTGGGAGGTCGAGGCAGGCGGATCATGAGGTCAGGAGTTCGAGACCAGCCTGGCGAATATGGTGAAACCCCGTCTCTACTAAAAATGCAAAAATTAGCTGGGCGTGGTGGCACGCGCCTGTAATCCCAGCTACTTGGGAGGCTGAGGCAAGAGAATTGCTGGAACCTGGGAGGCTGAAGTTGCAGTGAACTGAGATCACGCCACTGCACTCCAGCCTGGGCCACAGAGCGATCCTCTGTCTCAAAAAAAAAAAAAAAAAAAAGAGAGAGAGAGAGAGAAGAAACAGTATGCGTTTAGGTTTTCTCCATGTCTGTTCATAGCGTGATGGCTTGTTTCTCTTTAATGTAGAATAATAACCCATGGTATGGATATACCAGAATTTGTTTATCCACTCACTTACTGGAGGATTCCATGGTTGCTTTGAATTTTTGGCAGTTATGAATAAAGCGCTATAAACATTCGTGTACACTTGTTTGTGTGGACAGACGTTTTCCACTGATTTGGGTAAATACTTCAAATTGCAATTGCTGAATCTTATGGTAGAGTATGATTAGCATTATAAGAAACAGCCAGAGTGTCTTCCAGATGAGGCAGGAGAATAGGATCTGGAGGCAGGGAACCTAAGGCGGTTTCACACTGACTTCTGAATAGAATTAAATTCAAAAGAAATCCCTAAATTTCTATGCCTAAGTAACAAAATAACCAGAGACTACTCCCTTTGCAAACCCCCACCTTTTCTGCCTGGCATACGGTAAATGAAAATTACCTCTGATTGCTTGTTTTTTGCAACTAATCAGATGTTTGCATAGGAGTATAATTTTGTAACTTTATTTTGGTCTCTGATTGGTTGCAGAATTGTTTTCCTCAAAATTTCTGCAGCCTACTAATAAAAATCTAAGAAAAGCAAGATAAAACAAGCACAAACCAAGGTGGCATAACCTTGCAAGACTTATGAATAAATTACAAGTTTCTTTATCTATAGTTTAGAGAAAGCTGACTCTTGAGAATGTTGCAATTAAGTTTTTGTTAACATATCTACAATTTTAATATGAAATAAATAGATGAACAATAGAGAATACACTCAAACTCAGACAAGTATAGAATGAAAAGCAAAACTAAATCCATATCCTCCCATGTAACAAGACCATTTCTAAAGCAGTTTTAAGTGTAGAAAAATATTTCAGAGAAAGTTTAGGGAGTTCCCACATACTTCCTTCCCTAAAACAGCTCTCTGTTCAGTTTCTATTATTAACATCCTGCATTAGTGTGGCACACTTGTTACAATTAATGAACCAATACTGATACTTATTGTTAACTGAGGTTCATAGTTACATTAGGGTTCACTCTATTACACAGTTCTATGGGTTCGGATAAATACATAATGTCATGTGTCTACCATTAAAGTGAAACCAACCCAATAGTCCCATAGATAGTTATTTGGGTAAACATAAAAATTGACCCTTCTGCTCTTAAAACTTGAAATTTACATTTTTAAAATCTGAGTTCCTTCCTCAAGAAAGGATCCTAAGGTCTCTCAAAAATTGTCAAAGAGCTGGAACTCAGCAGATCGTCACTTCCAGACCATGAGATGCCAGTCCCCATCATTGATTATGATTGTTTCCTTATTGTCTGGAGTTCTTATTTTCCCATACATAGTAACATTCCTTCTTTGCTACATAAATCCCTAATTTTAGCCAGTCAGGGAGATGGATTTGAGGCTGATCTCCCATCTACTCAGCTGCAGTGCCTGATTAAAAATTAAAGCATTCTTCCTTGGCAATACTTGTCATCTCAGTGATGGCTTTGTGTGAGGCCAGGGTAGGAGCTAGACAAATCCAGGGTATTTCAGTAACAAAAGCATCATACAAAGTAGTTTCCCTAACTATGCCTGAGGCTCAACCTACTCACCCATCCTTCCTCCTCCTGAACCCTTGGCTACTTAACTGTCTGTATTTTTGCCTTTTCCACAGTATCATATAGTTGTAATTATACAGTATAGAGCTTTTTCAGACTGGATCCTTCCACTTAGCAATATGTCCATAGGTTTCCTCCATGTGATTTCATAGCTTGATATCTTATTTCTCTTTACTGTTGGAAAATACTCCACGGTATGGATGTATCACAATTTCTTTATCCACTGACCTTGAGGACACCTTGGGGGCTTCCAATTTTTGGCAATTATGAATAAAACTGCTATAAACATCCATGCACAGGTATGTGTGTACATAAGTTTTCCATTCATTTGGGTAAATACTCAGAGGTGCCATTGCTGGACTGTATTAAAAGTATGGTTAGCTTTGTAAGAAACACCCAGAGTGTCTTGCAAAGTG
Organism: Homo sapiens; assembly: GCF_000001405.40. Lineage (NCBI taxonomy): Eukaryota > Metazoa > Chordata > Mammalia > Primates > Hominidae > Homo > Homo sapiens. The sequence continues at coordinate 32,493,029 of NC_000006.12, forward strand.
GCTGTACTGTTTTGCATTCCCACCAGCAATGAATCAGAGTCCCCGTTGTTCTACATCCTTGTCAGCATTTGGTTTTCTGAGAGTTTTGGATTCAGCCCCAAAAAAATTGCTTTTTTTTTTGAGACAGAGTCTCGCTCTGTCACCCAGGCTGGAGTGCAGTGGCGCGATCTCAGCTCACTGCAAGCTCCGCCTCCTGGGTTCATGCCATTCTCCTGCCTCAGCCTCCCGAGTAGCTGGGACTACAGGCACCCGCCACCACACCCGGCTAATTTTTTTGTATTTTTTTAGTAGAGACGGGGTTTCACCATGTTAGCCAGGATGGTCTCGATCTCCTGACCTCGTGATCCACCTGCCTCAGCCTCCCAAAGTGCTGAGATTACAGGCGTGAGCCATGGCGCCCGGCCGACAAAAAGATGCTTTTTAAAAACTTTTTACTTGGAAATCATTATAGAGTCACAGGAAATTGCAAAGACAGTACAGAGAACATATGCTTACCCTTTTGAGAGGTGAAGCCAGCTGGACTTCTGGGTCGAGTGGGGACTTGGAGAACTTTTCTGTCTAGCTAAAAGGATTGTAAATGCACCAATCAGTACTCTGTAAAAACGCACCAATCAGTGCTCTCAGTCTAGCTAAAGGATTGTAAATGCACCAATCAACACTCTGTAAAAATGCACCAATCAGCACTCTGTGTCTAACTGATTGTAAGTGCACAAATCAGCACTCTGTAAAAATGCACCAATCAGCACTCTGTGTCTAGCTAAAGGATTGTAAATGCACCAATCAACATTCTGTAAAATGGACCAATCAGCACTCTGTAAAATGGACCAATCAGTGCTCTGTAAAACGGACCAATCAGCAGGAAGTGGGCGGGGCCAAATCATGGAATAAAAGCTGGCCACCCGGGCCAGCAGCGGCAACCTGTGGGTCCCCTTCCACGCTGTGGAGCTTTGTTCTTTTACTCTTCACAATAAATCTTGCTGCGGCTAACTCTTTGGGTCTGCACTACCTTTATGAGCTGCAACACTCACCACGAGGGTCCATGGCTTCATTTTTGAAGTCAGTCAGACCAAGAACCCACCAGAAGGAATAAATTCCAGACACATTTTGGCAACCACGAAGGGACTATCACCTATCACCTATCGCCAAGCAGTGAGCACCATCAGGACCCTTTCACTTGCTATTCTATCCTATTTTTCCTTAGAATTCGGGGGCTAAATACCAGGCACCTGTTGGCCAGTTAAAAGCGACTAGCACAGCTGCCAGACTAAAGACACGGATGTCAGGCTTTCTGGGAAAGGGCTCTCTAACAACCTACTGTGTCTGGAATTGGTGGGTTCTTGGTCTCGCTGACTTCAAGAATGAAGCTGTGGACCTTCGTGGTGAGTGTAACGGTTCTTTTTTTTTTTTTTCATACAGAGTCTCCCTCTGTCACCCAGGCTGGAGTGCAGTGGTGCCATCTTAGCTCACTGCAAGCTCCACCTCCCAGGTTCGAGCCATTCTCCTGCCTTAGCCTCCCAAGTAGCTGGGATTACAGGTGCCTGCCACCACGCCCGGCTAATTTTTTGTATTTTTAGTAGAGACAGGGTTTCACTGTAGTCAAGATGGTCTCGATCTCCTGACCTCATGATCTGCCCACCTTGGCCTCCCAAAGTGCTGGGATACAGTTCTTAAAGATGGTGTGTCTGGAGTTTCTTCCTTCTGGTGGGTTTGTGGTCTCGCTGACTTCAGGAGTGAAGCCGCAGACCTTCGCAGTGAGTGTTACAGCTCTTAAAGGCAGCACATCCAGAGTTTTTGTTCCTCCTGGTGGGTTCATGGTCTCGCTGGCTTCAGGAGTGAAGCTGCAGACCTTCGCTGTGAGTGTTACAGTTCCTAAAGGCAGCGCATCCGGAGTTGTTCATTCTCCCGGTGGGTTCATGGTCTCGCTGACTTCAGGAGTGAAGCTGCAGACCTTCGTGGTGAGTGTTACAGCTCATAAAGGCAGAGTGGACGCAAAGAGTGAGCAGCAGCAAGACTTATTGCAAAGAGCGAAAGAACAAAGCTTCCACAGCATGGAAATGGACCCAAGCGGGTTGCCGCTGATGGCTCAGGCAGTCTGCTTTTATTCCCTTATCTGACCCCTCCACACACTGCTCATTGGGCCATTTTACAGAGAGCTGATTGGTCCGTTTTGACAGAGTGCTGATTGGTGCATTTACAAACCTTTAGCTAGACACAGAGGGCTGATTGGTGCGTTTACAATCCTTCAGATAGACAGAAAAGTTCTCCAAGTCCCCATCTGTCCCAGAAGCCCAGCCGGCTTCACCTGTCACCAGCATTCGCTGCAGGACTCTGCAGCACCCAGCCCTGGCACTCCAGCAGCCCAGAGGGAGCTCATCCCTCAATCATGCCCAGCAGACGCCGGCTGGCCGCTCTGAGTGCAAGGCCCGCCAAGCCTGCACCCACCCAGAACACACACCAGCCTGCAAGTGCCATGTGCAGCCCTGGCTCCCACCCATGCCTCTCCCTCCACACCTCCCCACAAGCAGAGGGAGCCAGCTCCAGCCTCGGCCAGCCCCAGAGAGGGGCCCTCATATCGCAGCAGCAGGCTGAAGGGCTTCTCAAGCATGGCCAGAGCAAACGCCAAGGCCGAGGAGGCGCCGCGAGTGAGCAAGGGCTGCTGGCACATTGTCACCTCTCACCCTGACTCTTCGGAGTTGGAAGTATTGGTTTGCCTGGAACCAGCTTCCACTTTTCCTGTACTTCTGGGCTGAGCTGAGGTTCAACAGAGAAGAAGCCATTCAGCTCTGGAGTCTTGACAACAAGTTGGTTGACCCTGTGGCCATGAGTGGAACTCTCAAAGTCATGTCACCCAAGTGAGACTCGCCCATCTATCCTATCTATCCTGACCCTTGCCTCTTGGGTCCTAATGCCTGTCAGACAAACTTCCTCCCACCTCACTTCTCTGAGGCTAGTCCCACTTTTAAAAACCACTCCCTGTCTCTGGTGCTTTTCTAGTTTCTCCTGTAAGAATGATTTCTAGTATAAACCTCAGGACTCTGTTCCCTTCTTTAGGCACTCAGGCTCACCAATCAGAAAGAAATAATTTTTGCCCAAAGCCCCGTCTGCTGGGCGGGACTTTCTGGAATTTTAGGATCCCTCCTGAGACTAACAGGCCTAAGAAAAGCTATTCCTGAAGCTAGGATATGGGGAGCTTCAGAAATGATATCCTTCCTATTCAAGTGAGGACAAAAGGCGTCACTCTTCCAACCCTGGAGATCCCTTCCCACCCTCAGGGTATAGCCCTCAACTTCATTTTTGGGGCATAACATCTTTATAGGACAGGGGTAAAGTCCCAATACTAACAGGAGAATGCTTAGGACTCTAACAGTTTTTTGAGAATGCGTTGGTAAGGGCCACTAAATCTGATTTTTCTTGGTCCTCTTTGTGGTCTAGGAGAACAGGCAAGGGCGCAGGTTTTCGAGAATGTGTCAGTAAGGGCCACTAAATCCGACCTTCCTTGGTCCTCCTTGTGGTCTAGGAGGAAAACTAGTGTTTCTGCTGCTGCGTTGGTGAGTGCAACTATTCCGATCAGCAGGGTCCAGGGACCATTGTGGGTTCTTGTGCAAGAGGTGTTTCTGCTGCTGTGTCGGTGAGTGCAACTATTCCAGTCAGCAAGGTCCAGGGATTGTTGTGGGTTCTTGGGTGGGAGAGAAACAAACAAACCAAAACTGCAGGCGGTTTTGTCTTTCAGGTGGGAAACACTCAGGCATCAACAGGCTCACTCTTGAAATGCATCCTAAGCCATTGGGACCAGTTTGACCCACAAACCCTGAAAAAGTGGTGGCTCATTTTTTTCTACACTATGGCTTGGCTCCAATATTCTCTCTCTGATGGGGAAAAATGGCCACCTGAGGGAAGTATAAATTACAATATCATCTTGCAGCTTGACATTTTCTGAAAGAGGGAAGGCAAATGGAGCAAAATACCTTATGTCCAAGCTTTCTTTTCATTGAAGGAGAATCCACAACTATGCAAAGCTTGCAATTTACATCCCACAAGAGGACCTCTCAGCTTACCCCAATATCCTAGCCTCCCTATAGCTCCCTTTCCTATTAATGATAAGCCTTCTCTAATCTCCCCACCCAGAAGGAAACAAGCAAAGAAATCTCCAAGGGACCACAACCCCCCTGGGCTATCGGTTATGTCCCCTTCAAGCTGTAGGGGAAGGGGAATTTGGCCCACCTGGGTATATGTCCCCTTCTCCCTCTCTGATTTAAAGCAGATCAAGGCAGACCTGAGGAAGCTTTCAGATGATCCTGATAGGTATATAGATGTCCTACAGGGTCTAGGGCAAACCTTTGATCTCACTTGGAGAGATGTCATGCTATTGTTAGATCAAACCCTGGCCTTTAATGAAAAAAAATGTGGCTTTAGCTGTAGCCCGAGAATTTGGAGATACTTGGTATCTTAGTCAAGTAAATGATAGAATGACAGCTGAAGAAAGGGACAAATTCCTTGCTGGTCAGCAAGCAGTCCCCAGTATGGATCCCCACTGCAACCTCAACTCAGATCATTGGGACTGGAGTCGCAAACATCTGTTGACCTGTGTTCTAGAAGGACTAAGGAGAATTAGGAAAAAGCCCATGAATTATTTAATGATGTCCACCATAACTCAGGGAAGGGAAGAAAATCATTCTGCCTTCCTTGAGCTGCTATGGGAGGCCTTAAGAAAATATACTCCCCTGTCTCCCAACTCACTCGAGGGTCAATTGATCCTAAAAGATAAGTTTATTACCCAATTAGCCACAGGAATCAGGAGAAAGCTCCAGAAGTGAGCCCTGGGCCCTGAACAAAATCTGGAGGCATTATTAAACCTGGCAACCTCGGTGTTCTATAATAGGGACCAAGAGGAAAAGGCAGAAAAGGAAAAGTGAGATCAGAGAAAGGCCGCAGCCTTAGTCATGGCCCTCAGACAAACAAACCTTGGTGGTTCAGAGAGGACAGAAAATGGAGCAGGCCAATCACCCAGTAAGGCTTGTTATCAGTGTGGTTTACAAGGACACTTTAAAAAAGATTGTCTAATGAGAAACAAGCCACCCCCTTGCCCATGTCCACTATGTCAAGGCAATCACTGGAGGTGCACTGCCCCAGAGTGCAAAGGTTCTCTGGGCCAGAAGCCCCCAACCAGATGATCCAACAACAGGACTGAGGGTGCCCGGGGCAAGCACCAGCTCCTGTCATTATCCTCACTGAGCCCTGGGTACATTTAACCATCGAGGGCCAGGAAATTGACTTCCTCCTGGACACTGGTGTGGCCTTCTCAGTGTTAATCTCCTGTCCCGGATGACTGTCCTCAAGGTCCATTATCATCTGACGAATCCTGGGGGCGCCTGTAATAACCACCTCCTCAATTATAATTGGGAGACTTTGCTACAGATACTAAGTATCCTTATCTAATCCTACATGCCCATGCTGCAATATGGAAAGAAAGAGAGTTCCTAACCTCTGGGGGAACCCCCATTAAATATCACAAGGAAACCGTGGAGTTATTGCACGCAGTGCAAAAACCCAAGGAGGTGGCAGTCTTACGCTGCCGAAGCCATCAAAAGGGAAGGAGAGGGGAGAACCACAGCATAAACAGCTGGCAGAGGCAGGGAAAGACCGGCAGAAAGGAAAGAGAGAAAGAGACAGAAAGTGTGAGAGAGAGAAAGAGGAAGTGACAGAAACAAAGAGGGAGTCAGAAAGAAAAGAGAGAAGAGAGAAAGGGGGGAAAGACAGAAAGAGAGAGACAGAGGAAGAGACAGAGAGACAGAAAGTCAAAGAGAGAAGGAAAGAGAGGAAGAGACAAAGAAGGAGTCAGAGAGAAAGAGATAGAAGTAGTAAAGAAAAAACAGTGTACCCTATTCCTTTAAAAGCCAGGGTAAATTTAAAACCTATGATTGATAATTGAAGGTCTTCTCCATAACCCTAAAACACTACAATACCATCTTGTTGTCAGTGTAAACAAGGGCATAGCCCGAAAGCACTGAGGCCACTGACAACCTGTAGCTTTTTTATCAAAAATCCTTAACCTGGCCAGGTGCGGTGGCTCATGCCTGTAATCCCAGCACTTTGGGAGGCTGAGGCGGGCAGATGATGAGGTCACGAGATTGAGGCCATCCTGGCTAACACAGTGAAAACCCGTCTCTACTAAAAATACAAAAAAATTAGCTGGGCGTGGTGGTGGGTGCCTGTAGTCCCAGCTACTTGGGAGGCTGAGGCAGGAGAATGGTGTGAACCTGGGAGGTGGAGCTTGCAGTGAGCTGAGATAGCGCCACTGCACTCCAGCCTGGGCAACAGAGCGAGACTCCATCTCAAAACACAAACAAACAAACAAAATCCTTAACCCAGCAGGTTTCCTAACAGGGGATCTAAATCTTAACTAATTAATATACAAAGGTCCAACCAGATCTAGGGGGAACTCCCCTCAGGACAGGACCATAGATGGTTCCTCCCAGGCAATTAAGTATAAAGACACAATGGGTATTCAGTAAGTGATAAGGGAACTCTTGTAGAACCAGAGTTAGGAAAATTGCCTAATAATTGGTCTGCTCAAATGTGAGAGCTATTTGCACTCAGCCAAACCTTAAAGTACTTACAGAATCAGGAAGGAGCCATCTATACCAATTCTAAGTTAATATGGACTCAATGAGGTCTTATTAATAGCAAAGAATAATTGAAATCCCAAACTTACAAAGTTTTCCACAAAAGTAAAGTTTGCTAAAAGTTAACAGTGTAACATATATTATCCTAACTTCTAATCTTGTAGAAATCAGACCCTATCTGTGCCCCTCGAAGCTCAAGTCCATCAGCACAGGGCCATACAACTAATACCTCTACTTATAGGGTTAGGAATGGCTAGTGCTACAGAAACCGGAATAGCAGGTTTATCTACTTCATTATCCTACTACCACACACTCTCAAAGGATTTCTCAGACAGCTTGTGAGAAATAGCAAAATCTATGCTTACTCTACAATCCCAAATGGACTCTTTGGCAGCAGTGACTCTCCAAAACCGATGAGGCCTAGCCCTCCTCACTGCTGAGAAAGGAGGACTCTGCACCTTCTTAGTGGAAGAGTGTTGCTTTTATACTAACCAGTCCAAGATAGTGCGAGATGCCACCTGGCATTTACAGGAAAAGGCTTCTGAAATCAGACAATGCCTTTCAAATTCTTATACCAATCTCTGGAGTTGGGTGATATGGCCTCTCCCCTTTCCATGTCCTGTGACAGCCATCTAACTATTACTCACCTTTGGGTCCTGTATTTTTAACCTCCTTGTCAAATTTGTTTCCTCTAGGATTGAGGCTATCAAGCTACAGATGGTCTTACAAATGGAACCTCAAATGTGCTCAACTAACAACTTCTACTGAGGACCCCTGGACCAACCCACTGGCCCTTTCACTGGCCTAAAGAGTTCCTCTCTGGAGGACACTACAACTGCAGGGCCCCTTCTTTGCCCCTATCCAGCAGGAAGTACCTAGAATGGTCATCACCCAATTCCCAACAGCAGTTGGGGTGTCCTGTTCAGAGGGGGGATTGAGAGGTGAAGCCAGCTGGACTTCTGGGTCGAGTGAGGACTTAGAGAACTTTTCTGTCTGGCTAAAGGATTGTAAATTCACCAATCAGCACTCTGTGTCTAGCTCAAGGATTGTAAACACACCAATCAGCACTCTGTAAAATAGACCAGTCAGCACTCTGTAAAATGGACCAATCAGCAGGACATGGGCAGGGCCAAATAAGGGAATAAAAGCTGGCCACCCGAGCCAGCAGTGGCAACCCACTTGGGTCCCCTTCTGCGCTGTGGAAGCTTTGTTCTTTCGCTCTTCACAATAAATCTTGCTGCTGCTCACTCTTTGGGTCCGCACTACCTTTATGGGCTGTAACACTCACCACAAGGGTCTGCAGCTTCATTCTTGATGTCAGCAAGACCTAGAACCCACCAGAAGGAATAAATTCTGGACACACTTTCACCCAGTTTTTCCAAATGTTTATATCTTAAGTAGCTCTAGCACACTAGCAAAACCAGGAAACTGACTTTGGTATAATATGTGTCCATAGTTCTATGCCTTGTCTTATCATTTTTGCAGATTTATGTAACCACCACGCAATCCAGTGGAGAGCTATTCCATCCCACAGAGATCTCCCCTCATGCTGCCCTTTAGAGTCACAACCCACTCCCTACACATCATCACCCTGACAACTGACAACCACTAATCTCTTCTCCACCAATCTCTATAATAGCGTCATTCTGAAAATGTTACATAAATAGAATCACACAGTATGTGACTTTTGTGACTGGCATTTTCCCCTCAGCATAATGTCCTTGAGATCCATCCAAGATGTTGCGTGTATCAACAATTTGCTCTTTTTTATTGCTAAGGAATACTCTATCAGACGGAGGCACTGCAGTTTAACTATTTCCCTGTTGAGGGACATTTTGGCTGTTTCTATTTTGGGGCTATTACAAATAAAGTTGTTGTGAACACTTGTGTAAGATTTTTGTGTGAACATGTGTTTTTATTTCTCTGATATAAATGTCCCAGAATGTAATTCCTGGCTCATGTGGCAAATATATGTCTAGTTCTTCAAGACACAGCCAAACTATTTTCTAGGACTGTGCCATTTTACATTCTCACCATCAGTGTATGGAAATCCAGTTTTTCTTCATTATCACCAGCGTTTATCATTGTTAGTTTTTAAAAGAATTTTAGCTGTATTAAAAGGTGTGTAGTGCTATAATATCAAGTTCTTAATTTGCATTTCCCGGATGGCTAGTGATTTATTGTGCTTATTTGCCATGTATATATATCTTCTGTGATAAAATGTCTCTTCATACCTTTTGCCAATTTTGTAATTAAATGTTATAGTCTTCAATCTACTATAGATTTTATAGTAGAGCTTTTATAGTTGATTATATATTCTAGATAATGTATTCTTGATAATATATGTGGTTTTAAATATTTTCTTCATATCTCTAGCTTACTTTTCATTTCTTAGCTGGATACCTTACAGAACAAAAGTTTTTACATTTTGATAAAGCTCCATTTATTGATTTTGTTTGTTTTTGTTTTTGTTTTTTACACATAGTGCTTTTGGTGTCATATCTAAGAACTCAGAACTCAAGACAACAAGCCCTAGCTCCTGACGATTTTCTCATATGTTTTCTCATATGTTTTCTTCTAAACGTTTTACATGTAGACATGTAGACATGATTTAATTGGGGTAAGTGTTTTCACAAGATGAGAGAATTTGTTAAGTTTCTTTCTTGCTTCTTTTTCCTTTTGCTTCTTTTTTGCTTTTGTTTCGTTTTGATTTGTCTATGGATTTCCACTTTCTCCTGGATCATTGTTTGAAAAGACTCTAGACTCTATTACCTTCATTGAATTCTTTTGCATCTTTGTCAAAATGAGTTGGCATAGGTATATTTCTGGATTCTCTATACTGCTCCACTAGTCTCTGTCTATCCCTGCACTAATGTCAATCAATATTGATTACTGCAGCTATAAGAATTCTGAAATTTGGTTACAGTTACTTCTCCATGTTTTTTTTCTATGAAATTTGTTTGACCTATACATTTTAGAATAACTTTCTCTACAACTATTATAAATCTTGCTGGAATTTAGAGAGAAATGGTATTAAATCTGGATATCAAATTGGGGAGAGTTGACATCTTTACTATATTTAGGTTTTTAGTTGATTAACACAGTAAATCTCTCCATGTCTTTAAATTTTTTATTTCTTCAGGATTTCAGCATATGGATTGTTCTGTTGGTACACTTATGAGGATTTTTGAGTGAAGAAAATTCATGGTTTTTTTTTTTTGGTTTTTATTTTGTTGTTGTTGTTTCTTTCTTTTTTTTTTTTTTTGAGACGGAGTCTCGCTCTGTCGCCTAGGCTGGAGTGCAGTGGCACGATCTCGGCTCACTGCAAGCTCCGCCTCCCGGGTTCACACCATTCTCCTGCCTCAGCCTCCTGAGTAGCTGGGACTACAGGTGCCCGCCACCACGCCCAGCTAATTTTTTTGTATTTGTAGTAGAGACGGGGTTTCACTGTGTTAGGCAGGATGGTCTTGATCTCCTGACCTCGTTATCTGCCTGCCTTGGCCTCCCAAAGTGCTGGGATTACAGGTGTGAGCCACCAAGCCCAGCCTCATGTTGTATTTTTAATATTTGTTTTGATTTCTTTGTTACTGTATATTCAAATAAAATTGATTTTTTGGTTGATCTTGAATTGTGACTTTTGTGAATTTCCTCATTAGCTGAAGCAGAGGAGGAAAAGCATTCAGTCTTCCACCATTAAGTGTAATTTAGCCACAACATTTTTGTAGAAGTTATTTATAAAATTCAGGAGGTAGTCTTTGATTTCTACTATTTTGAGGGGTTTTTTGTTGTTGCTGTTATCTCAAATGTTGAATTATGTCAAAGGCCTTTTCTACATCAATTGATAGAATCAAGCGATGCTTTGGCCGGGTGCAGTGGCTCATGCCTGTAATCCCAGCACTTTGGGAGGCTGAGGCAGGTGGATCACCTGAGGTCAGGAGTTCGAGACCAGCCTGGCCAGCATGGTGAAACCTCGTCTCTACTAAAAATACAAAAATTAGCAGGGCATGGTGGCGGGTGCCTGTAATCCCAGCTACTCGGGAGGCTGAGGCAAGAGAATAGCTTGAACCTGGGAGGCGGAGGTTGCAGTGAGCCGAGACTGCACCATTGCACTCCAGCCTGGGTGACAGATGCGATGTTTCTTCTTTAGTTTGTTAATATGATGGATGACATTGATTGATTTCAAACATTAAACCAGACTTGCACCCTTGAATAAACGCTACTTGGAATAATTTACATATTTTTTCAGTTTGACTGATTTTTATTTGCTAACATTTTGTTAGGGAGTTTTGCATCTACAGTCATGTGAGTATATTGCTTTTTATTATTCTTTTGCTGTACTATTTTTGTGTGCTTTTGATTTTAGGAAATGCTGTCCTCATAAAATAAGTTGGGGTGTGTTCTGTTCTCTTCTGTTTTCTGGAGGAAATTTTGCAGACTTGCGTTAATTCTACCGAAATGTTTGGTAGATTTCTCCCATGAAACTATTCTGGCCTAGAGATTTCTCCTTCAGCAGTCTTTATGTTATAATTTCTATTTCTTTCATAATTATAGAGCTTTTCAATTTATCTATTTCGTATTGAGTTAGTTGTAATAGTGCATACTTTTTAAGGATTTTTTTCCATTTCACCTAAGTGTTTTTGGTGTATTCTTTTGGTGGACTATTGATGTCGAAGGACCTCTAGTGATATAACATGTTTCAATCCCAATATTGGTGTTTTTTCTCCTTTTTCCCTTCTATTTTGTCCTAGAAATTTGTCAGTTCTATTAATCTTTTCAAAGAACAAACTTTTTCTTTCACTGATTTTCTCTCTCCTTTTTGTTTTTTTTTTGTTTGTTTGTTTGAGACAGAGTTTTGTTCTTGTTGCCAAGGCTGGAGTGCAATGGCACAATCTTGGCTCACCACAACCTTTGCCTCTCAGGTTAAAGTGATTCTCTTGCCTTAGCCTCCCAAGTAGCTGGGATTACAGAAATGTGCCACCACATCCAGCTAATTTTGTATTTTTAGTAGAGAGGGGGTTTCTCCATGTTGGTCAGGCTGGTATCAAACTCCCGACCTCAGGTAATCTGTCCCTTTGGCCTCCCAAAATGCTGGGGTTACAGGCGTGAGTCACCAAGTTCTGCCCTTATATTCATTTTTTTTCTTCTTCTTGCTTTAGGTTATTTTAGACTACTTTTCCAGATTCTTGAGGTGGGAACTGAGATTATTGGTTTCTGACCTTTTCTCTTTTTTAGTGTATACGTTTTGTACTATAAATAGTTTTTCAAAGCACTGCTTTAGCTATGTGCCAAACATTTTCATATGTTGTATTTTCATTTTCACTTAGTTGAATATATTTTTATTTTCCTTAAGACATCTTTTTTGATCCACGGGTAATTTAAAAGTATGTTATTAAGTTTCTATATGTTTGGAGTTGTACCAATTTTCTTCATGTTATTGATTTCTGCTTCAACTCCATTGCTTCCACAGAACTCAGTCTGTATTATTTCAATTCTTTCACATTTTTTAAGGTTCCTTTTATGGTCCAGGGTATGGTCTATGTGTCTATGTTGGTAAATATTCCATGGACAGTTAAAAAAATTATATTCTGTGGTTTGGTGTGGTGGTCTGTAAATGTCTATTAGATCTTATTGGTGGATAGTTTTGTTGGGTTTCATTATCTTGCTGAGTTTCTATATAGTTGTTTTATTAATTTTTCAGAGATGTGAAGTCTCAAAGTTTAACTGTGTATTTACTTGTCCATTTCTCCTTCCAGTTCTGACCATTTTTGCTCTACTTATTTGTAACTTGGTTGTTTGGTGCACACACATTTAGAGTTGCTCTGCCTTCTTTGTGAATTAACACTTTTATCATTATGTAGTGTTTCTGTTTGTCTCTCAGAATATTCATTGCTCGGTGTATTTTATGTTATCTGATATTATAGCCATTTCTGCTTTCTTTGACAAATGTTTGCATGGTTTACTTTTTTCCATTTTTCTATTTCAATCTTCCATTCTTGTAATATTTGCAGTAAGTTTCTTATAGGTAACATATCAATGGGTCATTATTTTTCACTCTGACATTTGTCTTTTTAGACGATTTACATGTAATGCAATTATTAATATGTGAGCTCTTATGACTGCCATCTACTTTTTGTTTTCTTTTTTGTTTCCTTTGGTTTTTGCTTCTCTGTTTTCTTTTCTTGTTTTTCGATGTGTTCCTGAAGCAATATTTAAAATTCCATTTTTTAATCAACCATTTTTTGGTGTATCTCATTGTAGAGTTTTTATGATTTATCTGTCTAGTAACTTATCATAGTCTACTGGTGCTGACAGTTTACCAATTTGACTCAGGTGTAGAAACTTTACCTTCTTTATATCCCTTTCTATTCCTTCATTTATAATGTATATCTTTTATTTTCTCTACCTGCATCAAAAACCACATCTGACAATGTTGTAATATTTGCCTCAACCATCAAATTAACTTACAAAACTGAAGAAGAGAAATCTGTTGTATCTACCCATATTTTTACTCACTCTATTGTTTATTTTTTTCCTGATTGTCCAAGATTTCTTCCATTATCATTTCTATTCCAGTTCAAGGACTTCCTTTAGCCTTTGTTTTAGGATAAGTCTGCTAGCATCAAATTCTCTTGATTTTCCTTCCTCTAAGAATGTCATGGCTGGGCGCTGTGGCTCATGCCTGTAATCCCAGCACTTTGGGAGGCCAAGGAAGGCGATCCTCTCAGCTCAGGAGTTTGAGACCAGCCTGGGCAACATGGGAAAACTCTATCTCTACCAAAAATACAAAAAATTAGCCAGGCATGGTGGTGCAGGTCTGTAATCCCAGCTACTCAGGAGGCTGAGGTGTGAAGATCACATTAGCCTGGGAGGCAGAGGCTGCAGTGAGCTTTGGTTGTGCCACTGCCCTCCACACTCCAGAGTGACAGAGCAAGACTTTATCTAAAAAACAAAAACAACCACCACCACCACAACAACAGAATGTTATGATAGAACCTTCATTTTATGCCAATATTTTTACAGGATATACATTCTAGATTAACATAACATTATTTTCAGCCATTAAAATACCTTGTGCCACTTCTGTCTGGTCTGCATGATTTCTAATGAGCAATCCACTGTCATTTAATTTATTTTCTCCTGGGCATGAAGTGTCATTTCTATCTTGTTGCTTTCAAGATTTTTGGCATAAATTTCTTCGGGTTTATCTTCATTTGGGTTTGCCCAGATTCTTGAATTTTTACGTTTAAGTCTTTGTCCAAATTTGGAAAATAATCAATCTTCCTTCAAACTCTCTTTGGGCTTCACCCATTTGTCATCTCTCTCTAAGATGCCAGTGACACAAATTTCATATCTTTCATTATAGTCTTACAGATTTATCAGCATGAAATAATATTAAATATTATGAAAAACTATACAAAAATTTGCATGTAATGAATGAGTTACTCAAAATGTACAGTATGCTGAAGCTGACAAATAACATAACATATGATGAGTTCCACATCTCATACAGAAAGTAAGCCCATTCTATAAAGCTTTCCCAAGACAAGATCGCAGGTTGATCTAACTTCAGTAATTATTTTAAAATATTTAAGGAACAATCAACACTACCTTTATGCTAATTTCAAACATATTTGAAAAAAGGAAAAACACTTGCAGTTACGTTTGATGAGATGTGTGTAAACTTTAAGATCTGAAAAGAACTCTACAACAAATAGGAATTTATAGACCAATAACTTTTTTTTTTCTTTTTTCTTTTTTTATACTCTAAGTTCTAGGGTACATATGCACAACGTGCAGGTTTGTTACATAGGTATACATGTGCCATGTTGGTTTGCTACACTCATCAACTCGTCATTTACATTAGGTATGTATCCTAATTTTATCCCTCCCCCAAGTCTCCCATATCCCAACAGGCCCTGATGTGTGATATTCCCCCGCCCTGTGTCCAAGTGTTCTCATTGTTCAATTCCCACCTATGAGTGTTTGGTTTTCTGTCCTTGTGATAGTTCGCTGAGAATGATGGTTTCCAGCTTCATCCATGTCCCTGCAAAGAGGAGCTGGTACCATTCCTTCTGAAACTACTCCAATCAATAGAAAAAGAGGGAATCCTCCCTAACTCATTTTATGAGGCCAGCATCATCCTGATTCCAAAGCCTGGTAGAGATACAACAAAAAAAGAAAATTTTAGACCAATATCCCTGATGAACATCGATGCAAAAATCCTCAGTAAAATACTGGCAAACCGCATCCAGCAGCACATCAAAAAGCTTATCTATCAAGATCAAGTCGGCTTCATCCCTGGGATGCAAGGATGGTTCAACATTCATAAGTCAATAAAAGTAATCCATCACATAAACAGAACCAATGACAAAAACCACATGATTATCTCAATAGATGCAGAAAAGGCCTTTGATAAAATTCAACAGTGCTTCATGCTAAAAACTCTCAATAAACTAGGTATTGATGGAAGGTATCTAAAAATAATAAGAACTATTTATGACAAACCCACTGCGAATATCGTACTGAATGGGCAAAAACTGGAAGCATTCCCTTTGAAAACTGGCACAAGACAGGGATGCCCTCTCTCACCACTCCTATTCAACATAGTGTTGGAGGTTTTGGCCAGGGCAATCAGGCAGGAGAAGGAAATAAAGGGTATTCAATTAGGAAAAGAGGGAGTCAAATTGTCCCTGTTTGCAGATGACATGATTGTATATTTAGAAAACCCCATGATCTCACCCCAAAATCTCCTTAAGTTGATAAGTAACTTCATCAAAGTCTCAGGATACAAAATCAATGTGCAAAAATCACAAGCATTCCTATACACCAATAACAGACAAACAGAGAGTCAAATCATGAGTGAACTCCCATTCACAATTGCTACAAAGAGAATAAAATACCTAGGAATCCAACTTACAAGGGACGTGAAGGACCTCTTCAAGGAGAACTACAAAGCACTGCTCAATGAAATAAAAGAGGACACAAACAAATAGAAGAATACTCCATGCTCATGAATAGGAAGAATCAGTATCCTGAAAATGGCCATACTGCCTAAGGTAATTTATAGATTCAATGCCATCGCCCTCAAGCTACCAATGACGTTCTTCACAGAATTGGAAAAAACTACTTTAAAGTTTGTATGGAACTAAAAAAGAGCCCGCATTGCCAAGAATCCTAAGCCAGAAGAACAAAGCTGGAGGCATCATGCTATCTGACTTCAAACTATACTACAAGGCTATAATAACCAAAACAGCATGGTACTGGTACCAAAACAGAAGTATAGACCAATGGAAAGGAACAGAGAGCTCAGAAATAATACCACACATCTACAACCATCTGATCTGTGATAAACCTGACAAAAACAAGAAACAGGGAAAGGATTCCCTATTCAGTAAATGGTGCTGGGAAAACTGGCTAGCCATATGTAGAAAGCTGAAACTGGATCCCTTCATTACACCTTATACAAAAATTAATTCAAGATGGATTAAAGGCTTAAATGTTAGACTTAAAACCATAAAAACCCTAGAAGAAAACATAGGCAATACCATTCAGGACATAGGCATGTGCAAGGACTTCATGACTAAAACACCAAAAGCAATGGCAACGAAAGCCAAAATAGACAAATGGTATCTAATTAAACTAAAGAGCTTCTGCACAGCAAAATAAACTACCATCAGAGTGAAGAGGCAACCTACAGAATGGGAGAAAATTTTTGCAATCTACCCATCTGACAAAGGGCTAATATCCGGAATCTACAATGAACTCAAGCAAATTTACAAGAAAAAAACAAACAACCCCATCAAAAAATGGGCAAAGGATATGAACAGACACTCCTCAAAAGAAGACATCTATGCAGCCAAAAGACACATGAAAAATGCAAATGTACATCATCAGAGAAATGCAAATCAAAACCACAATGAGATACCATCTTGCACCAGTTAGAATGGTGATCATTAAAAAGTCAGGAAACAACAGATGCTGGAGAGGATGTGGAGAAATAGGAACACTTTTACACTGTTGGTAGGAGTGTAAATTAGTTCAACCATTGTGGAAGGCAGTGTGGCGATTCCTCAAGGATCTAGAACTAGAAATACCATTTGACCCAGCGATCCAATTACTGGGTATATGCCCAAAGGATTATAAATCATGCTATTATAAAGGCACATGCACACGTATGTTTATTGCAGCACTATTCACAATAGCAAAGACTTGGAACCAATCCAAATGTCCATCAATGATAGACTGGATTAAGAAAATGTGACATATATACACCATGGAGTACTATGCAGCCATAAAAAAGGATGAGTTTATGTCCTTTGTAGGGACATGGATGAAGCTGGAAACCATCATTCTGAGCAAACTGTCACAAGGACAGAAAACCAAACACCGCATGTTCTCACTCATAGGTGGGAATTGAACAATGAGAACACTAGGACCCAGGGTGGGGAACATCACACACTGGGGCCTGTTGGGGGGTGGGGAGCTAGGGGAGGGATAGCATTAGGAGAAATACCTAATGTAAATGACGAGTTGATGGGTGCAGCAAACCAACATGGCACATGTATACCTATGTATCAAACCAGCACGTTGTGCAAATGTACCCTAGAACTTAAAGTATAATAATAAAAAATAATTATTAATTAATAAAATAAACACTAAAAATGCTGTCTCCTTCATATCTGGAGTAGTAGAGGAGTTAGGCAATGAAAATGGCAAGAAAAATATACAAAAGGGATAATAGTTGCATCCAGGTAAGATGGTCATTATTTACTCTGGGCAAAATCAGGTACTTAGAAAATAAAAATAATACTATAAATGACGAGTTAATGGGTGCAGCCCACCAACATGGCACATGTATACGTATGTAACAAAACTCCACGTTATGCACATGCACCTAAAACTTAAAGTATAATAAAAAAATAATTATTATGTAAAAGAGAAAAATATATAAAAATAATAGACAAGCTCATAGATTTAATAAGTAAATTTAAATAATGTTGCTGGATACAACATCAGTATACATTAAACCAATTATGTTATTGATATAGTTTGGATTTTTGTCCCCTCCAAATCTCATGTTGAAATGTAACCTCCAATGTTGGAGGCGAGGCCTGCTAACAGGTTGTTGGGTCAGGGGGCAGATCCTTCATCATTGGCTTGGTGCCATCCTAGCTGAAATGAGTGAGTTCTGACTCAGTTCACAGGAGATCTGGTTGTTTAAAGGAGTGCAACTCTTCCCCACTTTCTCTGTGCTCCTGCTCTCACCATGTGATACCTGGGCTCCCCTTTCCTTCCGCCATGACTGTTAGCTTCCTGAGGCCCTCACCAGAAGCAATTGCCAGGACCACACCTCCTGTACAGCGTGCAAAACCCTGAGCCAATGAAACCTCTTTTCTTTATGAATTGCCCAGCCTCAGGTGTTTCTTTTTAGCAATGTCAGAATGAACACAATTATGCTCTACCATAAACAAATAGAGAACAAAATCAAGAAAATAGTTTTATCAATTTCCTCACTTCTTTGTTTTTTTCTTCTACTTTTTCAAAGTTAAATTTGCTTTCTTTTGATTCTTAAGTTAAAAGTTTATATATTTGATTTTGACATATTATCCTTTTATAAAATAAGTATTTAAAACTAAATATTTTTCTTTAAGGACTCCTGTGGTTGCATATCAAAAAATTTAAAAATTTCTTTTAGTATTATTTTATTTTAAATTATTTTCTAATTTCCTTCTGATTTCCTCTTTGACAAGCCATAGATTATTTAGAAATGTATTATTTTACTTCCAAAAATTTGGGCAATTTTGTCCATCTTACTAATTTGTAATTTGATAAGACTGTTCCTAGAATATACTCCGTATGATTTTATTCTTGTGAAAATAATTGGGACTAGTTTTATAGTCATAGTAGTTCTATTTCATTGATAATCTTTGTGCAGTGTAAATAAATAAATATTCTGTAGTTGTCAAATGTTGTCAGTCTATATGTCAATTATAAATGCCAACTAAGTCAAGATGGTTGAAAGTATTGCTCCTATCTTGATTTCCTTCCTGATCTTTGTTTGCTCAAAGCTACAGAGATGTTTGTTGTCTTCTATCTACCTCCCTACTTCCCACACCACCAGTATGAAGTCAGAAAAAGTTCTGGAAGGAGAATGAGCTGGTAAGGTAAAATAGACATATATTATTCAGGGGGCCTCCATAGATTGTAATGCATCACACAAGCCCACGGGGCTATTTACAGCTCAGCTGCTTTGTCCTCACTCCCTCACAATCTCCCTTTCTCAGGCAGGCTTAATCTTCCACCCATGTTAAGATTCAGTAGATGGACCAAAGAATAAGAGTGGACACTTGTCCCTGCTCACCTAAGTGGAATTTGGAATTTTTATATTTTTTATCTATGGCTCATTAAAATTTTAAAAATAAGATTATTTTCCAGTTTATCCACTTAGTTTAGTCTATATATTTTTTGTTCTTATAGTAACAGTGACAATTCTTGCAATTTTCTACCTCCTAACTGGCATTATGGTTTATGATTTTTTCCAATCCATGTTGATAGTCCTACATAATTTACTTAAAGCCCCGAACATTATTCCTTTCTATGGCTATCCCACAATTTACCTTTCTTCTATGTAAATGTTGAGATACATTTTTTTCTCTCCTGTTACTTTTTTTATATGTCATCATGGACATACAAGGAAAAATTTACTGAGACTGTAAAAACCTAGAATGGAAATACTGTATTATCCAAACTACTCACAGGTTTACACCAATCTATGCTCACAGTGCCACACACAGCACCAAATGTCATTCTGCAGTGTGCTGTCACTTCACATGTTGCATAGCTTTTATGATGTACACAAGTTTTATAATCAAGACAAATTAATCAGTTTTTCTTTTAGAATTTGGAAATGTTTTTGTTATTCCAAACTGTGGCTCAACAAACAACCAATTTCATGTCTCCTTGGGCTTATGTAGGATTGGTTCTTTAAGACAGATGTTTAGAATGGGATTTTTGTTGTTTTCATCAAGCATGTAACAATTGTAGTTTGAGATTTAATAGATACTACCACACTGCCATCCACTCACAATGCTAATAATATGAGAGAATATATTCCCATTGAATCTTCTAAATCCTTGATTTTAAAACAAACTATTGTATTTGCCAATTTTGTCGGGGGGTGTTGGGAAAAGGACTTGTGGGGTGTCTATATAAACTGGCCATAAAAATATGGGACAATAAGTTGTGGAAAGCCACAAAAGGCCTCTGAGGAGAAAAGCCTCCTAATTGCCATCATGTTCCCATGCTCAGAGCAAGACCCGCTCTCTTATCTGTAAACACTGTATTCAAGGAGAAAGACCCTCCTTTGAAGCATTGGAATGTGGACAGATGTACAGACTCCTAGTTAAGCCTGCTCCTGCTAGCTACTCTCTGATAAGTTAAAGATAAGCTGTTTGAGCACAAAGGAGATTCATTTAAACCGCTATTGCTGTAGATTACGCCTATGACCCACTGCCACCCTTTCACTGTTTCTCCCTGAACATCTGCTTCTTAGATCTAAGTGACTGTACTCAGTAAATAGTGTGGAGACCAGAACTCTGGGCCTTTTGCAGCCTCCAGTTTGCAACTGGCCCCCTGGCTCCCACGTTTATTAACTCTTAACCTGTCTCTTCTCATTCTTCTGTCTTCACTGGACCTCAGGTACTCCACGGGTGGTGTTGAGGCTGGTCCCCAACAGGGGAGAAATAGTTTATTACACTGCTGTTTGAATTTGGATTTTTCAGTTCATTGGTGAGTTTGAGCAAATATTTATATTTACTGACTATTGGAATATTCTCTTCAATACTCAGTCTATATCCTTTGTCCAATTTTCTGTGGCATTTCCATTAATTTATTTATTGATTAGCTAATAATTTTTCTTGAGAAAGTTAGCCCATTGTCTGCTCTATGTGATCAAAATTTTTTCAGAGCTTCATATACTTCTTTTAATTTTGTTATTTTCTTCATGCAAAAAATCAGTAATTTTCTTCAAATATTTTTTCATTTGAGTCTTCTGGATGTTGTTTTCCTTAGAAAGTCTTATTTTTTAAAAAAGAATTATTTTAACAGGTTTACTAAAGCATAATTTACATACTACAAAATTCACTCATTGTATATGTAAAATGTAATGATTTTAGTAAATTAATAGATTTGTGCAATTATCACAATCCAGTTTTATAACATTTCTGTCATGTCCAAAATTTCTCTATTTATAATTAATTCCCACCAATACCCCAAGCCCTAGGCACCCAATGATCTGCTTTTTGTGTCTATAAATTTACCTTTTCTAGGTATTTCAAGTAAATGAAATCATACAACATGTAATCTTTTGTGTTCAGATACCCTCACTTAGTTAACATTATTGAAGTTCACAAGTTTTGTAGAAGGTATCATCATTTTCTTTCTTTTCTTTTCATTTATTTTCTTTTTTCATTTGTGTAAATTTATAAGGTACAAGTGTATTTTTGTTAATATGCGTAGATTGCATAGTGGTGAAGTCAGTGTTTCTACAGTATCCATCACCCAAATCACATGCATTGTACCCATTAAGTAATCTCTCATCATCCGGAGTGCAAGGGTTGAAACTTGCCCTGGGAAAACTGCCCTCATGTTCATGTTCAGGGGAGCCTGTCAGATAAGTCTATTTTTGTTCCCTTTTACTGTTGAATGATATTGCTTTGCATGGATGTAGTTTATCCATTTACTAGTTGCAGGACATTTGGATTGTTTTCAGTTTGGGCCAACTAAGGCAAAGCCTGTTCTGAACACTTGAACACATATCTTTGTGAGGACATATGTTTTTATGTCTCTTACATAGATTCCAAGGAGTGAAATTGGGGGGTCATATGGCGAACATATGTTAAACTTTTTAAGAAACTGCCAAATTTCCAGGTATTTGTAAAATCATACACTCCCACCAGCAACACATAAGGGTTTAGAAAGTCTGTCTTCAAACATAATTATAATGATGATGATAGTATTAGAAATAACATGTCTTGTTAATTTTATATTTTCTTTTTATGTTTCAATTTTTATTCAACCAGGATCCATTCAGTGAAAAAAATGAGTTTGGAATACAGCTTACCAAAAACTGAAACTAAATATCAACTCTTTCTGTTTCTAATTCTAGACTTTGTTTTACTAGCATATTTAATGAAAAAGAGAATCAGTAACAATGCATTTTTAGGCTCACACCTGTAATCCCAGCCCTTTGAGAGGCCGAGGCGGTTGGATCACGAGGTCAAGAGATTGAGACCATCCTGGCCAGCATGGTGAAACCCCGTCTCTACTATAAATACAAAACTTAGCTGGGCGTGGTGGCATGTGCCTGTAGTCCCAGCTACTTGGGAGGCTGAGGCAGGAGAATTGCTTGAACCCGGGAGGCAGAGGTTGCAGTGAGCCGAGATTGTGACACTGCACTCTAGCCTGGGGACAGAGTGAGACTCCGTCTCAAAAAAAAAAAATGCATTTTTAAAAATAAATGTATAGTATGTTTTACCATCTTACAGAGCTAGTCATTCCTTACTCTACTTTTTTTCAAAAATTTCCCTGGAAAATGAATTTACCTCATAAAATAACATGTCAGCATACTTGAATTCTAAAAACAATCCTTTTTGCTTGCTTTTTGGTTTTATTGTAATTGAGTTAACGGCTGACATTTCATACTCTCTCTCTCTATATATATATTTCTATATATATATTCCATATATATTCTATATATATTCCATATATAGATATTCCATGTATATATTCCATATATATAGATATTCCATGTATATATATATTCCATATATAGATATTCCATGTATATATATATTCCATATATAGATATTCCACATATATATATATATATATATTCCGTGTGTGTGTGTGTATGTGTGTGTGTATATATATATATATCTATAAAACGACCCAAAACCCTGAATTGAGGATGCCTATCAGCAATCTATAGGCCTTAATGTGGAATTTAACTACAAATACTAACAACCCAATGGTACCACAGTCTATCATTTCCCTACCCTGAAATCAATCTCTCCTACTCTAGCCACCATTTCTTTACTTTTAAAAATGTATGATTTTGCTCCTTTTCTTCCCATGTGTGTCAGGCCCACTCTACAAATGTTGAATCCAGGCTTGTCTGAGCCCATGTGATCCCACGGTCATTCCAATGTGTGAGAAAGTGGGTACTGGGAACACTCTGGAAACAGTTTAGTTGCTCCTTATAAAGGCACACAGGAGAAAGGAGTATCCTTTTCCTACCTCTGGGAGTTGCTGTGAAAGAATAAGAAACCTAAAGCTGCTGCAGGGGTCCTCCGACCATCGCAGGAAAGCTGACGTGCTGTGTATTAAGAGAGATGAGCGATGAAGTTCAGGATCGCTGGAGGTGCCACTGGCCAGCTGAGTTGAGCAATCCTGGAGACAACCAGCATTGGATCTAACGGCTATGTGAGATCATGGGTTAAAAAAAAATAAAGCCTGCTAGATGGGATTTCCTGCTATTAGCAGCAGAAGGCATTTTCATTGGAATACTCATCTTGGCCGGGCGCGGTGGCTCAAGCCTGTAATCCCAGCATTTTGGGAGGCCAAGGCGGGTGGATCACCTGAGGTCAGGAATTCAAGACCAGCCTGGCCAAAATGGTGAAACCCCATCTCTACTAAAAATACAAAAATTAGCCAGGCTTGGTGGCAGGCGCCTGTAATCCCAGCTACTCGGGAGGCTGAGGCAGGAGAATCGCTTGAACCCGGGAGGTGGAGGTTGCAGTGAGCCGAGATGGCGCCACTGCACTCCAGCCTGGGGGACAAGAGTAAGACTTTGTCTCAAAAAAAAAAAAAAAAGAAAAGAAAAGAAATATTCATCCCACACATTTTCGTTCTTCTTTATAATTCCACACCACAAGTCTCATATAAAATGAGACAAATCATTTCCTCAACTTAGGGAAGAAAGCCTATTTTATTGCAACTCTGGAATCAAACAGATCAGACATAATTATCAGCTTATTATATTCCTATAGGATTTATATTCTTACAGGATTTCTATGTACTTGTACATACCTACTATATATGTACAAGTAACATGCAATATAGCTAAAAATAAAATATGCATAAACATTGAATTTGATTGAAAGTAAAATAATTGTCTCTGACAGTAGAGAAATTATGTTCAAATGATTATTACTTTGAAATAGGCTTCTGCATTGATTATGTACCGTTTAGATTTGACATATTTGATACTGACTCTCAAAACACAATGGAGAACCCTCCATTTTCTAAATTTGTCATTCTCTGAAATCTGTACAAGTCCTTGGATAATATTGTATTATTGAAGTTTCTGGAATGAAAAATTATATGCAATTTACAGTTATGGATACGCAGTATTTAGAATAGGTTAAGGAAGAGTTCTGATTGACTTGCTAGCTGGTTTCTCATCTCATGTTGGCCAAGTTGTTTCAGTTGTTATAATCTGTTCTCAATTTTTATGCATTGCCTTTTTAAATGTTAGGTTTACTTTTATTGACAAGTAAAAATTGTATAGTATATTTATGTTGTACAGCATGAAGTTCTGATATATGCCTATAGTGTGGAATGACTAAATCAAGCTATTTAATATGTGCATTACCTCACATACTTATGAAATACATATAAAAACCATTATGCTATTAGGAAATAATCTTCCCTTTTTCTTTTCTTTTTATTTTTTGTCTTTGGAGCCAGGTGGACAGATGATTTTTAACTCTGGGCTTCAGAAAAATTTAATAACGTAGTGCATTTGTGGCACACAGGGGGAGTACAGATGCATGGGAGGCCGTAGGGTTAGGTAAAGGGGAGCACTAAAGTTGAAGATGAGGCACTGCCATCAATGCTGGGACTTCAGGCCAAGGGCAGGAGCTGAGGAAGCCACAAGGATGGACATTTTCTGCAGAGTTGCTGAACCGGTAGCAACCAGGGCCTGAGAAAGTCCTCTCTTGTGGAAGAATAAGAGCCAAGCAGGAAAGCTTTTCATCATGCAAAGCTGGGGCAGAAGGTTCCCCCTTGAATGTGGTCATCTGCACTTCAGCTCACGAGTCCTGCAGAGAGAGAGGAAAGTGTTGTTTTCAGACCTGGTTCCACTAACAGCTTCTTTTCCTCTCTTTCAAGGACTCAGATGAGAGCACTGCAGGAAGAAGAAAAACAAGTTCCTAAGTCTCCCTGAACCAATACTCCTGCAGAGCACAGGCCTAAGTGGAGAGGAGGAGTTTTGGTATAAATTGCCTGATCAGGAATTTGGATCCAAAGTCTTTCCTGCTATTTCTGTCTCATGCCTTATCACCTCTGCCATCATTCTAGGAAAACTGAATCTGTTTCTAAAAGAGGATTAAAAGGTATTACCTGTTGGGTGAAGTCCAGAGTGCCCTGGGAAAAAGAGGAAAAGATATACACTTAAAAGGTATGGAAGCAAATCTATTCTCCCAACACAATGTCCTAGTCCCAGATCTCCCACCTGAGATTTCTCTAACACCACAACCCACACCAACCAGGGCAGAGAGGAGCAGAAACAGACCATGTGACCCATGAAGCATGACATGTCTGTCACAGGATCCAGTGTAATTGCATTAGCCTTAGTGGCTCTTCCTTAATTTGCTCCAGGATTTCAAACCAAAGGACCCTTAACTAGTTAACCTTTCTCTTATCTCTGCAGGCCACAAGCTATTATGCTTTTGACATAGTAACCATGCATTAATGATTTCTGGATTAGCAGGGCATTGGAGGTCATTTGTGGAAAGAAAGGCTTTATCCAGGGCCACTCATATACTGAGAACTAACCTCAGCAAAGCCCTATTTCCTCCTCTGGAAAAGTCTATGGAGAGAGCCGCTACCAAAGGCTCCTCACCTTTCTGATTCTTGAAGTAGATGAATAGCCCGGCCCCAAGGAAGAGCAGGCCCAGCACAAAGCCCCCGACTCCACTCAGCATCTTGCTCTGTGCAGATTCAGACTGTGCTCCTGGGAGAGGAAACCAGGTTTAGTGATTTTTATCCCAAATTGAACCTTTTTAATTGAGACCCTGCAATATTCATAGCTTTGAAAATGGGGAAGAAGGCTGCTCTGTAAGAACTAAAATAACTAGCCATTTCTGGAGAAAAAAAAGGTTTTCAAATCACACTGAACAGTTACAAGTTTCAGGGATCAAATTCATTCTAATATTACAGCCCTGATGTAAGGCACGGCTTCAACATCTGATAAACAGAAAGCCTGAGACTCAATGAGGTTAAATAGTTTGTCTAGAGTGACAGAGCTAATAAAAGGCAGAGCTGATATTGGACTCCCCTCATGTCAGGAAGGCCCCTACACTTCTCCTCTTCCCAGATCACAACAAATAACTCAGATCAACAGCACCAGAAACACAGTCTCAGACCCAGAGGCAGGGTCTGGAGCCCTGGGAGAGGGGGTGACCCTGACCTGTGACATCATGGGGAGGTTCAAAACAGGGACAGCCTCTCCTTCCTGCCAGGAATGACTGCTTCCCCAGAGGATACAGGTGTTTCTAGAAACTATACAGGGCTACCCCCAGTGACCTGTGCTAATGGAGATGAGAACATGGAGCAAATGAAAATAGGATGTGGGAGATGAGAAACCTGACACTCAGGGATTAGTAAAGTTTGCTTCTTGGTGGTTGAGAAATTTATGAAGTCAGAAAGCTGCTCACTCCATTCCACTGTGAGAGGGCTCGTCACGCTTGGGTGCTCCACTTGGCAGGTGTAAACCTCTCCACTTCGAGGAACTGTTTCCAGCATCACCAGGGTCTGGAAGGTCCAGTCTCCATTCTGAATCAGGCCTGTGGACACCACCCCAGCCTTCTCTTCCTGGCTGTTCCGGAACCACCTGACTTCAATGCTGCCTGGATAGAAACCATTCACAGAGCAGACCAGGAGGTTGTGGTGCTGCAGGGTCTGGGTCCTTGCAGGATACACAGTCACCTTAGGCTCAACTAGGAGAAAGGAAATGTAGAGGGAATGACTCAGGAAGACAGAGTGAATCTCCCTTTTTGGCTGTTTGTCTGCTTCTCTGTAAACCCAGGCTCTGGCCTTGACCAGGCCTCCAGCACAGCTGGCCATGAGGCCTCACAGTGTCATCAGCCTGGAATTTAGTCTTTATAGTGGGGGCTCATCAGATTTGAGAGATGTGAAAAATTGTGTTTGTTTCTTCATCACTTGAAATTGGGATGCATTGTCAAAGTGTTTACAAGTCTTTGAAAGTACAGAGTGTAGTAATTAAAACTGATACCTGAGCCAGGTTGCCTGGCTCAAATCCAAGGTCTGCCTTTTACTGGTTGATGCTGGAAGAGTTTTTCGATTCTTCTGTGTCTCAACTTTCTCACCCATAATAGAGGATAATTATAGTAATTTACCTCTTGGGGTTATATGAGGATTAATGCACATAAAATATATAAAACAATGACTGAAGATAGCCTTTAATTTATGAGGTCATAAAGCTTCTCACTCCATTCCACTGTGAGAGGGCTCATCACACTTGGGTGTTCCACTTGCCACCTATTTATCATCCTTGTACAGTTTGAGAGAAAAATATGATTTAAAGTAATGTGGATAGATAAAGGGACCGAGTAGGGTACAAAAGGAGACTGAGTATGAATGTTTAGGAATACTACTGCCATGCACTCACACCTTAGAACAACACAGAAATGGTTGTGCCCCTGGGAAGGTAGGACAGACAGAAATGGTTCTCCAATCTTTAAGTTCCCAGCAAAGCATGAGTCATAAAGCAGAGAGAAGGATTAAGGAAAGTTATTTTAGTTTTGAAAATTCTTACATTTACATTTAGCTGATCAATGCATCTCCCATGCAAACAAGCATAACTATTATTATACTATCATTGTAAAATAATTTTTCTTTCCAGAATGACATTTGGATCAAGGCAGGCAGGGTCTGGGACTCATTACTTGGGGTGCTTATGCCTAGGAAAATCCCTAACACTAGCAGACTCTCAATAAATACATTTTTTTTAAGAAGGAAGGAGAAACCTGGAGACAAAAATACCACAAAATGATAGATTTAAGATGGTTTGTAAACCATTAATAAAAGTTTTGGAATATATTTTATTAAACAGAAATGTTCAAATTCTTAACATAGAATTTTCAAAATCAACATACAAATCAAAAACTGGAGAAAATGTGGAATCAAATATCAATAAAGTGTTAATAATCTTACAGTACAAAGAACCCACAAAATCACTGAGAAAAATACTAAGCCCTGGAGATAACAGAAAATAGATCATTGTCCATTACCTACCAAATACAATAGGGAATTCTTAGAGCAGTAATTATAATTGGGCAATAAATAGGTCAAGATAATTCAAAAGAATTCCAAATAAAAAAATAAATTAAATAATAACCAGAAACATATATTTTCAACTTTTGGTGAATGTCATAATAAAGGTCAACAAAGGGGAAAGTGAGATAAGTTGTGTCACAACTATTATATATAAAAGAATAATAGGTAAGTAGTAGAAAACTATTAGCATTATAATAAAATAGTAACAGTGTATTAAAATTTTAATCAAAAAGTTAGTTTCACAGTCATTTCAACTATGTAAAAATATACACACTAAGAAAACAAACAGAAAAAATAGCAAGAAATTTAGACCTAAAGAAGCTTCAGAAGTGCCTCAGAGGTCTCCTCAATTCCCCTAGAAATTAATCTAATGCTTTTGCAAACAAACACCACACACTTTTATTTCAGAGACTGCGTGAAGGGTGGGTGCCAGGGACAGTCTGGAACTGGCCTCCTCATATTATCACAAATCTTCCACACCCCTCAGCTCTCCTCCCCTAAACCTTCACCCCAACCACACACACCTTACACTTTCCTTCCCTGCATCTCTAAGGACACGAGACAACCAAGGTCTCCTCTCTCTCCAGCCCCCTGCACCCACCTCCCATGTCACCTCCCCACAGAGGCCTCCAAGGATAAGAAGAAGCCCCCTCCTGCTTCCCCTCCCACAAAGGCCACAAAGACAAATCCACACTCTACACACACACCTGTGTCCTCAGAAGTCCTTGCTCAAGATTGAGAGGATTCTAAATGCTCACAGATGGCGCGCTCCCTCTCTGTCTCTCTCTTCCTCTCTCTCTCACACACACACACACACACACACACACACACACACACACACACTCAGATTCCCAGCTCACAAGGACCCAGGCCCCGCCCCCCACCATGCTCACCTCGCCGCTGCACTGTGAAGCTCTCACCAACCCCGTAGTTGTGTCTGCAGTAGGTGTCCACCGCGGCGCGCCTGTCTTCCAGGAAGTCCTTCTGGCTGTTCCAGTACTCAGCGTCAGGCCGCCCCAGCTCCGTCACCGCCCGGTACTCCCCCACGTCGCTGTCGAAGCGCAAGTCCTCCTCTTGGTTATAGATGTCTCTGTGCAGGAACCGCACCCGCTCCGTCCCGTTGAAGAAATGACACTCATACTTATCCTGCTGCAAGAAACGTGCTGTGGGGACACGAAGGATCCGGTCACAGGGGCGGCCTCCGGGGAAGATACTGACAGAGACGCCGCCATCCGGGGCTCCCTGGGCGGGGTGCGGGCACTGGAACCTTAACTGATCCCAACCATAACCCCGACCACGCGCAGCCCAGAGGCTCATCCTCCGTCTTCCTGAGGCGAACGGGGTGTCTGGGGGACCAGGCAGGAAAACCCCTTCTGATCCCAAGGCTTTTGGGACCCCCTCCCCGCCTCCAGCCTATTCTGGAGACCTCCAAGCAGGAGCTGGAGGAGGATCCGCCCAGCACCGGAGCCCGCGCCGCCTCCTCCTGGGAGCCTGCACCCCAAAGACAATCTCTGCTCCTTCTCTCATCCCACAGGCTTTACCCGTTCCCTAACTCCCACCGCGTTCATCCTGTGAACACTCCTTTAGTGATGACCTTGTGCCAGGCTTGCACTGCCTCTGGGAATCCAAACACGGGAAAACAGACCTCTCCACTCCGCTGGGGGAGCTTAAAGAGCAGTAAAAGTGAGGCCAAAAACCAAACACACAAGAGCTTAGACAGGAATGAGAAATGTCTGAAGTGTGGAGTTCCAGAACACAGAGTAATAGGATGATCTCAATTACATTAGGGTGCCAGAGGAGGACCTTCTGAAGGGTGACAGTTCAGATGTGACTTGGCAGGTTAAGCAGGTGTGAACCAGGGGGCGGAGTGGAGACTCTGTGTCTGTTTGGGCAAAACGGGGGAAGCACATTTCAGGTTTAGGAAATACCATGCACAAAAGCTTGAATTGATGAACTTCTTCAAGAAACTAGAACAAAGTTCACTAAAGCAGAGAGGCTGAGGGGAAGGAGGGTAAAAGATTAGACTGGAGACATCACAAGAAGCCAGGTATTGAAAAGCGTTGTGGGTGGTGTTAGGATCTGAGATTTATGCTAAAGACAGTGGGAAAGTATCAAAGAGATTTAAGGAGAATAAAACCATGATCCCATGAATGTCCACAAACCTTCCTTTGCATTTCTAAATCCACAAAGCTCAGATATTCAGTTAAAAGAAATTTGTTCATAAAACTTATTTGGCAAATTTCACCTGATAAGAGTAAGGGGTCAAAAGTGTCTCAGAGCTCTTATTGGTGACATGAGCTTCTGTAGTTTCAATACATGTAAACATACATACATATATGTGTGTAAATATACACATATGTAAAATACTATATATTTTAGATGTTTTTGTCTTTATGTTTGATTGAAGTGTAAAAATGACAAAAATAACTGAAAAATAATCCTCTGGTTAAAAGTGAAATGAATAAATAAAAGCATTTTACATTATGAATCATACCAAATGTAGAATCACTACAGAAATCTCAGGCATGTTAGTGAAAAATAATTGCAGAGCATCACTATTTGTGACTTATAAGGGCAAGTTGTTGAAAGTTAATAGAGGTAGTGCTGACCAACAACTCATGAAAATGTTGAAAAATATTGCATAAGGCAAAAACTAACTATGAAGCTATTAAACTTGCATTGACTAAATGGATTCAACAAGAAAGTGGTTGAATTTATGCAACTGTCTACTTTTGCATAATGAAGCAAGCAAAAATAAACCATAAAGAACTGAATTGGGTGCTGAGTGTATAAAAGATGTGAGTCTAGAATTTTCAGAAAGAGCACAGTGTGAAACAGTGCTCTCAGCCTCAGCACTATTGACATTTTGGTCCAGATAATTCTTTGTTGGTAAAGGAGGCTGTTCTGAACATTGTAGGTTCTCTAGCAGTGTCCCTGGCTTCTACTCATTAAATATCAGAAGAAACCCCTGTGGTGACAACCAAAAATTGCTCAAACATTGCCACAAGTTCCCCAAGGGTGATGGGAGGGAAAGGAGCGGTGGTGAACGATCCCTGGGTAAGAACCACAGGTGTGAACCATCTGAAAAAACCTGTGTTGAACAAGCCACTAGTGGTTATGGAGCAGCTGAGAATTGTATTGAAAAATATCTGTGAATATCTTGGTCCTACATAAAACGAATGCTTTATAGAATTCTGGTCCCAATACAGTGCTATCTTTCCAGAAAATGAACTTGTTGAGAACTAAGATTTACTGATTTCCTTGCATTACCAACCAGTCACCAAATCATATCATTTGTCTTTCATATCATCTTCTTTCTTAATTTCTCTGCCACTTGTCCACTAATTATCTGTAGTAGTGAATCACAACCACAGCTATTTTATTCCCATTTAATGCCCCAACTAACTCACGTCTTTCAGTCTCCCACTCCCAACAATACTAGCAGGCATCAAATTACCAGCCTTGGCCAGAGATAGAACTCTTGGTTTTGTAGTCAAGTCCCCTCAGAAAGTCAGAAACCAAGAAAATGACGTTCTCATACAGACAGTTTACAAAACATGAGCAGGTCCCCAGACTTTGTGTAGAGACCTTCACAAAGCTCCGTTTGCCCTTTAGAAATGATGGCAGAGAGGTGTGCACCCTGGATCAAACAATGTCTATCTTTCTATTCCTAAATTATGTAAGCACTTTCTTTACAGACAGAATGTTAAAAAATAAACATTTGTAAAGTCACTGTCACTGTGGCTTGCATGGCTAGCACTGTAATCCATGCTCATGTGTCCCACTTAGGGTTGACAGATTTGACAAATAAAACCAGAGGATGCCCAGGTAAATCTGGATTTCCAATAAATTGTGGTCGTGTGTCTGAAATTCAGATTTAACTAGGAACCTGTTTGTTATCTGACAACCCTAGCCAGACTTGCTAGTCAAACCTCAGAAGAAGGAATGATTTAATACTTCTTTATGTTCTTCAACACATGCCTATGATAGACTTATAGAACTTTTAAAATGATAAATGCAAAATGAATGAAAGTTTCTTTTATACATTGGAACTAGAAGCCCTTGCATCTCTGCCCCCACTCTAAGAAACAACCTGGTACATATGAATATTAGAAATTTTGTCAATAATTCAGACACAATCAAGTCACTACTCACTAATGATGGAAAAACTCTCATATTCTAGAATCAGAAAATATGAATTGAAATATGACCTCTTTTAAATGGGTCACTTTTTGCCAACCATAAGCCTATTTGTAATCTATCAAATGCATTTTATAATAATCCTCACAGGATTTTTGTAAGTGTGAAATTTAATAAAGAGTCTTCTTAGCAGTGATCACATAATAAACACTCAAATGTATTCCCATTTTAATTTTTTGATCCCTATAACTGGAGCTCACATTATTTTTTCTATTACATGATTCTAAAGCAATTAGTATCTTCATCATGATTTTGCAATTGTCTTCTGTTCTTCTATTAGTTTCATAAAGAATTGTCATTCTGAAAACAGAGGGCAGAAACACTGGTTTATGTCTAATAATGCAGTATACCTAAACCTCACACAAAAGGCACCTGCTGACATAGAAGAAATGGACTTTCTACATGCTCAGATTTAAACTGCAATCTGATTTCTAGCACCAAATTTGTGATACTGGGTTTTACTTATAACCTTTCAATTTTAGATTCCAGAGATGTACATGTTTTTATATACCACAGATACAGCAGGATCATTATTGAAATTGCATACTGAAATTCATAGGCCTGGTACACAGTCACTGCAAAATGTTACATGGCATATACTGATGGAGACCAGATTCATTTTATTCATCACTCCATTCTCATGACCTAGAGTAGTAACTGGTATATTCTAAGTCACTAATAAATATGGGCTGTGTGAAATACTGGCTGTGTGACCTCTTCATGAGCAGTCACCACTGCACACAGGGGCCCTCTAATATTTCCTTGATAATAATGACCGAGCATCTCTGGTTCACAGGTCCTCCTGCTTCTCTTCAGCCTCTTTAGCCTTTTCCTTTTGATCCAGCTGGCTCCCTGAACCCAGAGCACAGTCCTTCCCTGAAGCTCGCTACTCAAAACAGTCAACCTTAACCTTGTCCTCTCTTCTACTCGCTCTTCAAATGGTCCAATCCAGTTTCCTCCCTGGATACTCTACTGACTGCAAATATCAGCTCCACCAATCCCAGCCGTTGCTTCTCTGTCACATTCTCACTTCACCCTCCTCTTAGTGGTACTCACCACAATTGGCCTCTCCCTTCTCCTTGAAAAAAAAAAATCTATTTTTCTTGACTTACACATATGATGTAATCTTGGTTTTTTCCCAACATCCCTGGGCTCTTTCTTAGTCCCCTTTGCTGGCCTGTGCCCTTTTCTTTTTTCTCCAGACAATCTCCCTATGTAACCTCTTCCACTCCCTGGAATTTAACACAGTACACCTATTGATGCCACCAACATAAATACCTCC
Organism: Homo sapiens; assembly: GCF_000001405.40. Taxonomy (NCBI): domain Eukaryota; kingdom Metazoa; phylum Chordata; class Mammalia; order Primates; family Hominidae; genus Homo; species Homo sapiens. The sequence continues at coordinate 32,526,494 of NC_000006.12, forward strand.
AGCCCTGGCCTCACCATGAGTCTCTTTTTTTTTTTTTTTTTTTTGAGACGGAGTCTTGCTCTGTCACCCAGCCTGGAGTGAAGTGGTGTGATCTCAGCTCACTGCAAGCTCCACCTCCCTGGTTCACGCCATTCTCGTGCTTCAGCCTCCCAAGTAGCTGGGACTACAGGCACCCACCACCATGCCCAGCTAATTTTTTGTATTTTTAGTAGAGACGGGGTTTCACCGTGTTAGCCAGGAAGGTCTTGATCTCCTGACCTGGTGATCCGCCTGTCTAGGCCTCCCAAAGTGCTGGGATTACAGGCATGAGTCACTGCGCCTGGCCCACCATGAGTCTTTTAAATGCCATTGACCTTCTGATTGCTCCACACAAATGTCAATAAATCATCTCAAACTTAAACAAAACTTTTATTTCCAACCACCCACTTCAAATCATTTCCTCCCACAGTTTTCCCTATCTCAATAAACACCACCACCTTTCACTAATTTGTCAAAACAAAATCCTTAGGAATAAGCTTGATATTTCTACCCCCTTTACAGTAATCCATTAACAAGGTAAGCAAAATCCACTTTATCTTTTTCACTGTCTTTATCACTAGTGAACTCAAGCCTATTTTCCCTGAGGATTCCCTGCTGTGCTCCTAAATAGTCTTCCTAACCACTTGTCAACCCCAACAATCCAATCCCCACAGAGTAGCTAGAATTAGTTTTAAAAATTCAATATAGGCCGGGCACGGTGGCTCACGCCTGTAATCCCAGCACACTGGGAGGCTGAGGCAGGTGGATCACGAGGTCAAGAGATCAAGACCATCCTGGCCAACATGGTGAAACCCTGTCTTTACTAAAAATACCAAAATTAGCTGGGCGTGGTGGTGCACTCCTGTAATCCCAGCTACTTGGGAGGCTGAGGCAGGAGAATCTCTTGAACCCAGAAGGCAGAGGCTGCAGTGAGCCGAGATAGTGCCACTGCACTCCAGCCTGGTGACAGAGCAAGACTATATCTCAAAAAAAAAAAAAATTAAAAAATTAAAAAAAAAGAATATAAATTGACTTTCCTTGTAACCATCCAGTAGCTTCCCATATCTATTTAAATAAAATTCAGGCCATGCGCAGTGGCTCACGCCTGTAATCCCAGCACTTTGGGAGTCTCAGGCGGGCAGATTACTTGAGGTCAGGAGTTGAAGACCAGCCTGGCCAACATGGTGAAAGTCTGTCTCTAGTAAAAACACAGAAAAAATAGCTGAGCATGGTGGCAGGTACCTGTAATCCCAGCTACTTGGGAGACTGAGGCAAGAGAATCACTTGAACCCGGGAGGCAGAGGTTGCAGTGAGCTGAGACCATGCCATTGCACTCCAGCCTGGGCAACAAGAATGAAACTCCCTCTCAAAAATAAATAAGATAAATAAATAAATTAATAAAATAAAATAAAATTCAAGTTTCTTACCATGGACATCAGAGCCTGATATGAGGCTCCCGACTTCCTCTCTGCATCCTACCTCATCTTCTGCCACTGCATTTCCTTGCTTGCTCACTTCAGTCCCTCTAGCCTTCTTTCTGTCCCTGCACATAATTTCCCACACCAGGGCTTCCCCCCCAATTCGGTCTCCCTGGAACTTTCGTCCCTTAGATCTTCACGACTGTCTACTTATTTTGTTTTCTCAGCTGGATGTCACTTTCTCAAGTAGGGCTCTCTAGACATATGAACTAAAGTAGGTGAATCCATTTCTCTCTTTTCCACAAACCTGATGTCTTTTCTTCAGTGCACTATGACTCTCTGAAATTTTCTTCTTTGTTAAATGCTTATTGGGTTAGTGTCTGTCTCCTCCACTCTTGTGTAACCTTGAGAGTCGGGACCCTCTCTATCTTACTCAAATAGAATGATTTGAACCTAGAAGGGAGCCCAGTACAGAGTAGCTGCTGATAAAAATAACTGTGGTTTATATTAATAAACCATGGTTCTGGGAACTGATCACTGCAAGGATCCTGGAAAGCAAGAAGGGGCTCGAGCTCCAGCACTCTTTCAATTTGATGTCACACTAGAATCCTTCTCCTCCCGGTGAGAAATACAGGCAAATTTCTTCTTTCTCCTCCTTCTAATTGGAAGAAGAATTCACAGATAAAGAAACAGTGATTTAAGAAAAAAGAAATTTTTCATTGAGATTCATTGCCTGGGCAATGAATTCACCGTGCCTGGGTGCGGTGGCTTACACCTACAATCCTAGCATGCTGGGAGGCCAAGGCAGGAGGATTGTTTGAGTCCAGGAGTTTAAGACCACCCTGGGCAACATGGCAGAAATCTCATCTCCAACAAAATTAGTTGGGCTTGTAGTCTCCGCTGCTCTGGAGGCTGAGGAGGAAGGATAGCTTGAGTCTTGGAGGCAGAGGTTGCAGTGAGCCTAGATCGGACCACTGCATTACAGCCTGGGTGACAGAGCCAGGCCCTATCTCAAAAAGAAAAAAATTATCTCTTTCAATGGATCTCATAGTGCTAAGGATCTGTGCAAGCTTTAGGGATTTCTGGATATGATGACAACATAGCTGGGGAAAAATAGAGAGAAACTGGAGGAAGAGGTAAGCAGACATGGCTAATTAAGGAAAGCTGAGGGCATGACGGGTGAACCTATGAAATTTAGGACAAGACCCCAGTAAGACAATGAGTTCCCAGGACTTGATCATTAACTTTCAGCCCTATGAGATGTGAACAATGTCCACATTCTCTCTGTAACCCCACACAGAGTATATAGTTTTAACCTTATCAAATTTCTGATATTTGACTATTTTTGACTTACAAAAATAGAATTTCATATAATTTGTCCTATGTTAGTTGAATCTCTTCCTGTCATGTCTAGTTAGAGCATGTAGGAGATATAGGAGCAAATAGTATAGAAAGGTTAAAAAAGATTTGTAATAAACTCTAACCTGGGCCAGGTTTTTAGAGGATGCCTTAAGTCCTTTAGGCACCAAAGAATACCTCATAGATGCCCTTTAACTGTAGGGTGACTCCACATACTAAAGATCTCAGCTTCAGCTCCAAGGATTTTTCCCCATAAGAAAAAGCACTAAGCATAACTTCTGTCAGAGACCTTGCATACATTACAGGGTAAACATTGGAGTTCAGAAAGAAAAGAAAGGAGGTAATGGGGAGGCCACTGGGTCCATTCTCACATATGAGGAAGAGGAGCCAATATCACAGGTTCTGTCAAGGGCATAACACAGGATTGTCTAGGAGAGACCCTTTGAATTCCCTTGACTCCCACAAAATTTTCAGAAAAAAACTCGTTTTGTCTGACATAGGTCAACATAATAAAGGGAAGTGCTGTATGGGGAATTTATTTTAGCATCCTTATTTCTAAATCCTCTAAAGACCCTGAGGACATGTGATGAAAAGGTTTCATTGGTGGAGATTTGAGAAGAAATGACCTGTATGGAGGCCCCTTACACAGTCTCATGGAGAGGGCAAGTAGTCAAGCTCCTTTTGTGGAGGAAATAATTTGGGATCCCATGATAAAGATGGGCAATCTCTGAAGAAAATGTCACAATTTCTTAAGGCACCTGGCCTGGGCACAATGTTAACAAAACTCCCTATTTTCCCCACCCCATAGTAGCTCAGCACCCACAATGTGCACTTACGTCGGGTGTCCCCAGCCAAAGCCAGTGGGGAGCTCAGCACCATCAGTGTCACTGTCAGCTTTGCCATGTAGGAACCTCCAGGGAGCTTCAGACACACCATGCTGGAGAACAGGACAGGACCAGGGGCCAGAGGAGCAGGCAAGTCTCACTCAGGGAGAACTATGATCCCCCTCCACCCACATTCCAAATTATGGGGAGGAAGTTACTGATTTCCTTCCTCCTGGTTTGGGTACTCTCGTGTTGGAGAACCAATCAGCATCTGAGTTCAATAGTATCATCAGTTGCTGGTCAGAGATGCTGTATGAAGGTCCTCTTCTGAAACAGAATTTCCTTATTTAAAGGATTGTTTTAAATTAGTACTTGAAAGATTTGATCCAGTTGCACGTAAAACACTTTAACTGGGTCCCTATCGTGAGCCAGCTCTGTGCTGGTCAGTGATGTGTTCACAAGTTTGAGCCTTGTAAGAGCATTCATTTCCCACTTGACAAGACAATTGTTTGCAGAAGTGAGTGTGTGAGTGTGTTTAGGAGTAAAGGAGATGGAGGGAACATGGTTGTAAATTGGAGACCTTTAATCTGGTCCTTATTGCACCGTATCTTAATGTTGTAGATTTGGGAAAATTATTTCATGTCTCACAGTTGAAATGAAGGCACTGCAATCTTTCAGGTCTTTCAATACTGGACAATGCTGTGATTCTGTGGACGCCTGAAGGAGCAGCAGCCCCGGGTATCTGATAATATGACAGAATGACAGCTATTGACTAGAGAGCTTAATCCGTACCTATTTACAGGTAGGGATGTCTTTAATAAGTTAAAGGAAATTGAAAGTTTGTTAATAATTTAATCTGAGTAAAAATATCTTTTTCAAGTGTGTCTCCTGATGCTGTCCCCAAGTTCAGTGGCACCTCCAGAACACACACAGGCAAGGGGCTTGCAGGGGCCACCTATGTGCAATGGAGGGTCTGAAGGTGCCTTTGTATGGCATTTACCCTAACAATGTGATAAGGTCAACTGTGCAGTCCAAGTATTCGTGGGTCTGAGAGATCGATCGAAGACTGTGAAAGTCAGCTGTTCACAGAGCAACTATCTTTTCTTTTTTTTTGAGGCGGAGTCTTGCTCTGTTACCCAGGCTAGAGTGCAGTGGTGCGATCTTGGCTCACTGCAACCTCCGCCTCCTCAGTTCAAATGATTCTCCTGCCTCAGCCTCCTGAGTAACTCTGACGACAGACATGTGCCACCACGCTCGGCTAATTCTTTGTATTTTTAGTGGAGATGGGGTTTCACCGTGTTAGCCAGGATGGTCTCGATCTCCTAACCTCGTGTTCTGCCTGCCTTGGCCTCCCCAACTGCTGGGGCTACAGGCATGAGCCATCGTGCCTGGCCACAATTCTGTTTTAAAATAATTAATACCCTCCCCCTCCCCCTCCCCCTCTCCCTCTCCCTCTTTGCACGGTCTCCCTCTGATGCCGAGCCAAGGCTGGACTGTACTGCAGCCATCTCGGCTCACTGCAACCTCCCTGCCTGATTCTCCTGCCTCAGCCTGCCGAGTGCCTGGGATTGCAGGCGCGCACCGCCACACCTGACTGGTTTTCGCATTTTTTGGTGGAGACGGGGTTTTGCCGTGTTGGCCGGGCTGGACTCCAGCTCCTGACCGCCAGTGATCTGCCAGCCTCGGCCTCCCGAGGTGCCGGGATTGCAGACGGAGTCTCGCTCACTCAGTGCTCAATGTTGCCCAGGCTGGAGTGCAGTGGTGTGATCTCAGCTCGCTACAACCTCCACCTCCCAGCCGCCTGCCTTGGCCTCCCAAAGTGCCGAGATTGCAGCCTCTGCCCGGCCGCCACCCCATCTAGGAAGTGAGGAGCATCTCTGCCTGGCCACCCATCGTCTGGGATGTGAGGAGCCCCTCTGCCCGGCCGCCCAGTCTGGGAAGTGAGGAGAGCCTCTTCCCGGCCGTCATCCCGTCTAAGAAGTGAGGAGCGTCTCTGCCCTGCTGCCCATCGTCTGAGATGTGGGGAGCACCTCTGCCCCGCCGCCCCGTCTGAGATGTGAAGAGCGCCTCTGCCCGGCCGTGACCCCGTCTGGGAACTGAGGAGTGTCTCTGCCCCGCTGCCACCCCGTCTGGGATGTGAGGAGCCCCTCTGCCCCGGCCGCCCAGTCTGAGAAGTGAGGAACCCCTCCGCCCAGCAGCCACCCCATTTGGGAAGTGAGGAGCCCCTCCGCCCTGCAGCCGCCCCGTCTGGGAAGTGAGGAGCGTCTCCGCCCGGCAGCCGCCCCGTCTGGGAGGTGGGGGGCGCCTCTGCCCGGCTACCCCGTCTTGGAAGTGAGGAGCCCCTCTGCCCGGCTGCCACCCCTTCTGGGAGGTGTACCCAACAGCTCATTGAGAACGGGCCATGATGACAATGGCGGTTTTGTTTAATAGAAAAGAGGGAAATGTGGGGAAAAGAAAGAGGATCAGATTGTTATTGTGTCTGTGTAGAAAGAAGTAGACATAGGAGACTCCATTTTGTTCTGTACTAGGAAAAATTCTTCTGCCTTGGGATGCTGTTAATCTATAACCTTACTCCCAACCCCGTGCTCTCTGAAACATGTGCTGTGTCCACTAAGGGTTAAATGGATTAAGGGCGGTGCAAGATGTGCTTTGTTAAACAGATGCTTGAAGGCAGCATGCTTGTTAAGAGTCATCACCACTCCCTAATCTCAAGTACCCAGGGACACAAACACTGCCAAAGGCGGCAGGGCCCTCTGCCTCGAAAAGCCAGAGACCTTTGTTCACATGTTTATCTGCTGACCTTCCCTCCACTATTGTTCTATGACCCTGCCAAATCCCCCTCTCCGAGAAACACCCAAGAATGATCAATAAATACTTTAAAAAATAATAATAATAATAAATAAAAAATATTAATAATTAATATTTTATGTGAAGAGTGTTCAATCCCTCATTCTTGGTTCCCATTATGATTTTCTCATTTGATTGAGGCTATAGCACTTTACTATTATGTTTCTCTTGTTTTATCATAAGGGAAGATATAAGACGACTTTGATAACTAATACATTTTAGAATGTTCAGGAAAGAGAACACTAGGGAAAACTATGAATTACATCAGTTGATGTAACTATATAATATTGAACATTATTATACATTTAGATAATTATTATGCTTTTTATTAATATAAATGTAACATCTAAGATTCAGAATGGACTTCAAAGTACAACTATACTTAGAACGCTCTGCATTAATTCACACGCTACCACATAGGCAATCCTTCCTCATGGGCCTTAGTGTTTCCAGGGGCAGCATTCTCACCATGCTACCATAAAAATGAGCATTTTACTTTATACTCAGAATTGTACTAAGCGCTTTTTATACTTCATATTTTTATTTCATTCTCACATCAGCTCGGTAAAATAAACACCCTTTTCATGCTTACAGGTAGAGAGAATAAAACGATGGAGATGAAACAACTTTTGCAAAGATACAAAGCTAGTAAATGGCATACTATAGATTGAACCAAATTACATGCCCCTCAGGCTCAGCCACTATATCATAATCCTTCTCATTCTATTTCTGAGAATAATGTCCTGTGTATTAAAATTATTTATATTCCTATAATTTATGGATGCGCATAGCAATATCGCTACTCATGTTAGTGAATGGCAGCAGTATACAATTTGAAGAAGATACTGTGTAGCAATTCTAGTTCCTTCAAAAGAATCCCCTCATTATCATCCTTACCCTCCCCTGGAAATGACAGCATTTGCATTTATCTTATGTGATGACACCCATAGCTCCTGAGAAGTCTCCTTCTTATTAAAGGTAACAGTGACCTCAAAATTCTTAAATATAAACTATTGCTCAGAATTATTATTTCAGATTTCTCATGATAAAGTAGTAAATTTGATCATCTCAAAATAGAAGAAAAAAAGTGCCTCACTTACTTTGGGAAAACATACTTCTATTAATATAGAAAGTTCAAAATTTCATGGGTAAAAGTCACTATTGTCCCTGGATTTGAGAATAAACTATGTCTCTATACCCCAATAATAATTCAATACTATTGGAAGTTGTGAAATTGCAACCAGAATATCACATTTAATTTGGTCAACAGAAAATAATAATTTACTTAGAAACTAATTTAGTCCCAGCTACTCAGGAGGTGGGTGGATTGCTTGAACCTGGAAGGTCCACGCTGCAGTGACGCAAGATCATGCCACTGCATTCCAGCCTGGGTGACAGAGGGACACCCTGAAAAAATAAAAAGAAAAAGAAAAAAAAGAAACAAAAAAAAGAAAAGAAGGAACAAACTGTGTAAAAAAGAAACTAATTGAGATGATGGTAATCTAGGAAATCCAGCTAAGGTTCAGCTTAGTATTTGAGGTTAAAAGGGTGGTGATGCCGGCAGTGGCGAGCTGTCCAGAGTGGCCGGCTGCAGCGGGAAATTGCAAGCGGTGGTGGCAGGAACGACTGCGGGAACCGTGGCCATGGTGGGACCCCGGTGCCCCATGTCCCGTGTGCCTCGCGCCCCTGAGGCAGCCAACTGCGCTGCCCAAACCCTTCAGCAGCCGGAGGGACCGCCCCCAGGCCAGGAGCCTCCACGACTCCTGCTTTACTGCTATCACCCTGTAGCTGTGGGGAGGGCATGGAGCTAGGGCCAGGCTTGTTGGGCCCGGTTTGGGAAGTGGGAGTGGCCTTGCTTTGGGGACCCAGCCAGCGGCATGATCACTGTCCCACCATGCTGAGGAAGCCCAGTTCCTGCACCTCAGGAGGAGGTTCTGCCTGAGGCTGCCCAGGGTTGTGTCCCCAGGGTGGCCACGAAGCCTGATTTTCCCGACGGCCAGGCTTGGGCGTGATCTGCTCCCCACGGTGCCTCCCCCATCCCATCCAGGCAAGAGGGAGCCCCAGGCACCCCTGAGTGGTAGGGGAAGAACTTGCAGACACATCATCCTTGCCCCAGATGCTGGCATGGGCACAGGCGAGGGGGAGCTGCCCACCCCAGGCTATGTGAAGGTGGGACAGGGGCTACCTGCAGACTCCAAGGATTGAGTGGGAGTCCTGCCCTCTACGCAGCAGGATCCAGGCCTCTCTGCACTCCATGCTTTCAAGGACGTGAAGAACCCCCTGCCCCTGCAGGCTTCCAGGTATCTGCTCCCAGTGCCTGGCTTCTCACCTGGCCTCTCCAGGCCCCGGGTGCCCGCTTTGATCTCAGAGTGGAGTTTGGGGCCAAGCCCCGGTGCTGTTACAGCCTAGCCGGGTGTATGCATGCTCAGGGCAACATTGACACACCAGCCTCCTGCCACCTCAGCCACGGGGAAGCCGAGGGAAGATGGGCTGAGGGCAACTGGTGCTGGCCTACAGGCCCCTTGCCATGAGCAGCCTAGGTGCCATGGACGGGGTTGGGAGGCAGACAGTCTCCTGGGCAGAAGGGGGCAGGTCCCTGGTGAAGCCCCTCCTTCAGGCCAGGGAGGGATTGAAGGCTGTGGGTTGGGCTGCCAATCCTGCGGACAGGAGTGGGAACTTGTGCCTTTTCTGGGCCTGCCCCATGGCCATCCATTCCTCCCCTCTGAGGCCTGTAAAAGCCCTGGGCTCAGGCGGACTTGAGAAGAGGATGGAGAGAGCATAGAGACAGGACAGGGACATGAGGGATGAGTTGCTGAGGAGAGGAGTTAACCTCCCCAGCGTCTCCTCTCAGCTGCAGAGTGAAGCTGCCCTCACCAAGGTCTCCTCTCTGCTGAGAACTGAGGAAAGGACAGGACAATCAGCTGCAGAGAGGAGCTACCCTCTCTGTTGATAACTGAACAGGTGTTGGGGCAACCTGGCTATGGAGAGGAGCTGCCCACTGCAGCTCTCTGAGCTGTTCTATTGCTTAATAAAGGTCCTCTTTGTCCTGCTAACCCTCTACTTGTCTGCATACCTCATTCTTCCTGGATGCAGGACAAGAACTGGGGATCTGCCTAATGATGAGGCTAAAAAAGCTGTTACACGAACAGGGTGTAGATGAGCAACAGAGAATGTAGTCAAATGCAGACAAAGACGGAATGAAAAAGCAAAAATAAATCCATATCATTCCATGTAACAAGACCATTTTTTAAAAGTAGTTTTAAGTGGACAGAAAAATTACAGAGAAAGTTCATAGAGTTCCCACAGCCCTTCTTCCCTAAAGCATCCCTCTGCTCAGTTTCTCCTATTATTAACATCCTGCATCAGTGTGGTACACTTGTTACTACTGATGAAGCAGTACTGATACTTGTTGTTAACTGAGATCCATAGTGAAATTAGGGATAATTCTTATACAGTTCTATGGGTTCTGATAAATACATAATGTCATATATCCACCATTTAGTGGAACTGACCCAAGAGTCCCATAGGCAGTTTTTTTTTTTTTTAAATAAACATAGAAATGGACACTTCTGGTCTTAAAGCTTGAAACTTACATTTGTTTTATCTGAGTTCCTTTCCAAAAAAAGATTCCCCCATGCCTCTCAAAAAGTATCAAAGAGCTGGAACTCACCAGATCATCTCATCCAGACAATGAGACTCCAAGTTCCTCATTCATCGTGATTGTTCCCTTACCCCTCTCTAGTTCCTGTTTTCCCATACATAGTTACATTTCTTCCATGCTAGATAAACTCCTAATTTTAGTCAGTCACAGAGATGGATTTGACACTGGTCTCCTATCTCCTCAGCTTTAGCACCTGATTAAAGATTAAAGCCTTCTTCTTTGGCAATACTCATTGTCATCTCAGTGATTGGCTTTCTGTGTGGTGAGCAGCAAGATCCAGACCAAAGCCCTTGTGTGCAAGATCTAGACTGTACCCCTGGTGTTTCAGTGACAAAATTATCCTATGAAGTAGTTTCGCTGACCTAAAATTGTCCCAGGCTCCACCTACTCATGCACTCCTCTTTCTCCTGAACCCCTGGAAACCACTATTTACTGTCACTGTATTTATGCCTTTTCCAGAATGTTATACAGTTGTAATCATATGGTATATAGTTTTTCAGACTGGCTTTTTTCACATAACAATATGCATATAGGTTTTCTCCTGTCTTTTCCTAGCTGGATAGCTTACTTCTCTTTAATGTTGAATAACAACCCATGGTATGGATGTACCACAATTTGTTTATCCACTCACTTACTGGAGGACATTTTCGTTGCTTTGAATTTTTGGCAATTATAAATAAAGCTGCTATAAACATTCGTGTACACTTGTGTGGACAGAAGTTTTCCACGTATTTGGGCAAATACTTAGGATTGCAATTGCTGAATCTTATGGTAGAGTATGTTTCGCTTTGTAAGAAACAGCCAGAGTGTCTTCCAGATAAGCCAGGAGAATAGGGTCTGGAGGCAGGGAACCTAAGGCCGTTTCATGTTGACTTCCGAATGGAACTAAATTGAAAGGAAAACTCAAACTTTCTATGCCTAATTAGCAAAAGTTCCAGAGACTACTCCCTTTGTAACACCCCCCCTTTACTGCGTGACAAATGGGAAACTGAAAGTGCCTCTGATTGGTTGTTTTCAACTAATCAGATGTTTGCACAGGAGTGTAACTTTGTAACTTCATTTCGGCCTTGGATTGGTTGCGGAATTGTTTTCCTCAAAATTTCTACAGCCCAGTGATAAAAATCCTAGAAAAGCAAAATAAGCACAAACCAAGATGGCATAACCTTGTAAGACTTAACGAATAAATAACAAGTTTCTTTACCTATGGTTTAAAGAAAGCAGACTCTTGAGAATGTTGCAAATGGAATAAGTGTTAGCTAACATATCTACAGTTTTAATATAAAATAAATAGGTGACAACAGAGAATACACTCAAACTCAGACAAGTATGGAATGAAAAGCAAAAGTAAGTCCATATCCTCCCATGTAACGAGACCATTTTTAAGGCAGTTTCAAGTGTATAAAAAACTTCCAGAGAAAGTTTAGGGAGTTCCTACATACCTCCTTCCCTAAAATGGCCCTCTGTTCAGTTTATTTTACTATTAACATCCATACAACTAATACCCCTACTTGTAGGGTTAGGAATGGCTACTGCTACAGGAACCAGAATAGCCAGTTTATCTACTTCACTATCCTACTACCACACACTCTCAAAGGATTTCTCAGGCAGTTTGCAAGAAATAACGAAATCTATCCTTACTCTACAGTCCCAAATAGACTCTTTGGCAGCAGTGACTCTTCAAAACCGCCAAGGCCTAGACCTCCTCACTGCTGAGAAAGGAGGACTCTGCACCTTCTTAGGGGAAGAGTGTTGTTTTTACACTAACTAGTCAGGGATAGTATGAGATGCCACCCAGCGTTTACAGGAAAAGGCTTCTGAAATCAGACAATGACTTTCAAACTCTTTTTTTTTTTTTTTTTTAGACGGAGTCTCACTCTTTCGCCCAGGCCAGACTGCAGTGGTGCTATCTCTGCTCACTGCAACCTCTGCCTTCCAGGTTGACGCCATTCTCCTGCCTCAGCCTCCCGAGTAGCTGGGACTACAGGCACCCGCCACCATGCCCTGCTAATTTTTTGTATTTTTAGTAGAGACGAGGTTTCACTGTGTTAGCCAGGATGGTCTCGATCTCCTGACCTCATGATCTGCCCACCTCGGCCTCCCAAAGTGCTGGGATTACAGGCGTGAGCCACTGCGCCTGGCCAGCCTTTGAAACTCTTATACCAACCTCTGGAGTTGGGCAACATGCTTCTCCCTTTTCTAGGTCCTGTGACAGCCATCTTACTATTACTCCCCTTTGGGCCCTGTAGTTTTAACCTCCTTGTCAAATTTGTTTCCTCTAGGATCCAGGCCAACAAGCTGCAGATGGTCTTACAAAGGGAACCCCAAATGAGCTCAGCTAACAACTTCTACCAAGGACCCCTGAACTGAGCCACTGACCCTTTCACTGGCCTAAAGAGTTCCCCTCTGGAGGACACTACAACTGCATGGCCCCTTCTTCGCCCCTATCCATCAGGAAGTAGCTAGAGTGGTCATTGCCCAATTCCCAACAGCAGTTGTGGTGTCCTGTTTAGAGCGGGGATTGAGAGATGAAGTCAGCTGGGCTTCCGGGTCAGGTGGGGACTTGGAGAACTTTTCTGTTTAGCTAAAGGATTATAAGTGCATCAATCAGCACTCTGTGTCTAGCTAAAGGACTGTAAATGCACCAATCAGTACTCTGTAAAAATGCACCAATCAGTGCTCTGTGTCTAGCTAAAGGATTGTAAATGCACCAATCAGCGCTCTGTAAAATGGACCAATCAGCACGCTGTAAAATGGACTAATCAGTAAGATGTGGGTGGGGCCAAATAAGGAAATAAAAGCTGGTCACCCGAGCCAGCAGTGGCAACCAGGTCAGGTCCCCTTCCACGCTGTGGAAGCTTTGTTCTTTCACTCTTCACAATAAATCTTGCTGCTGCTCACGCTTTGGGTCCAGATCACCTTTATGAGCTGTAATACTCACCCTGAGGGTCTGCGGCTTCATTCCTGAAGTCAGCAAGACCACGAACCCATCGGGAGGAACAAACAGCTCCAGACGTGCCACCTTTAAGAGCTGTAACGCTCACTGTGAAGGTCTGCGGCTTCACTCCTGAAGTCAGCGAGACTACGAATCCACCAGAAGGAAGAAACTCCGGACACATATGAACATCTGAAGGAACAAACTCCCGACACACCGTCTTTAAGAGCTGTAACATTCACCGCGAAGGTCTGTGGCTTCGTTCTTGAAGTCAGCGAGACCAAGAACCCACCGGAAGGAATAAATTCCTGACACAGAAGGACTGTCCCATTTTACATTCTCACCATCAGTGTATGAGAAATTCAATTTTTCTGCATTCTCACCAGCATTTACCATTGTCAGATTTTTTAGAGATTTTAGCTTTATTAGAAGTTGTGTAGTGCTATTAGACCAAGTTCTTAATTTGCATTTCCCTGATGGCTGCTGATTTGCATGTCATTCATTGTGCTTATTTGCCATGTATATATATCCTCTTTGATAAAATGTCTCTTCATATCTTTTGCCCATTTTGTAATTAAAAATTTTTTTTTTTTTTTGAGATAGAGTTTCGCTCTGTCGCCCAGACTGGAGTGCAGTGGCACAATCTCAGCTCACTGCAAACTCTGCATCCCGGGTTCACGCCTTTCTCCTGCCTCAGCCTCCTGAGTAGCTGGGACTACAGGCGCCGGCCACAACACCCGGCTAATTTTTTTTTTTGGATTTTTAGTAGAGACTGGGTTTCACCACGTTAGCCAGGATGGTCTCCAACTCCTGACCTTGTGATCCACCCACCTCGGCCTCCCAAAGTGCTGGGATTATAGGCGTGAGCCACCATTCCCGGCCACAATTAAATTTTATAGTCTGCACTCTACTATATATTTTATAGAAGAGCTTTTATAGTTCATTACATATTTTCAACAATGTATTCTTGGTAATACATGTGGTTTTAAATATTTTCTCCATATCTCTAACTTACTTTTTATTTCTTAACAGGATACTTTACAGAACAAAAGTTTTAAATTCTGAAGAAACCTTATTTATTGATTTTTTTGTTTTTGTTTTTGTCTTTTTGTTTTTTACACATAGTGCTTTTGATGTCATGTCTAAGAACTCAGAACTCAGACAGCAGGCCCTAGCTTCTGATGATTTTTCTTATGTTTTCTTCTAAACGTTTTACATGTAGACATGATGTAATTGGGATAAATGTTTTCATAAGGTCTGAGAATTTAAGTTTCTTTCTTGCTTCTTTTTCCTTTTGCTTCTTTTTTGTTTTTGTTTAGTTTTGTTTTTGTCTATGAATTTCCACTTTCTCCTGGACCATTGTTTGAAAAGACTGTAGCCTATATTACCTCCATTGAATTATTTTGCATCTTTGTCAAAATGAGTTCATATAGGTGTATTTCTGGATTCTCTATGCTGCTCCACTAATCTATGTCTATCCCTGCACTAATGTCAATCAGTATTGATTACTATAGCTATAAAAATTCTGAAATTTGGTAAGAGTTACTTCATCTCTTTTTCCCTGTGAAATTTGTTTTACCTATGCTAGTTCCTTTGGTTCTCCATATGCATTTTAGAATAACTTTGTCTACAACTATTACAAATCTTGCTGAAATTTAGAGAGAAATTGTGTTAAACCTGGACATCAAATTGGGGAGAATTGACATCTTTACTATATTTAATTCTCTAGTTGATGAACACAGTAAATCTCTTCATTTCTTCAGATTTTTTTATTTATCAGCATTTCAGCATATGGATTGTGTACATGTTCTGTTGGTATACTTATGAGGTTTTTTGAATGAAAATAATTTGTGTTGTAATTTTAGTATTTGTTTTGATTTCTTTATTACTGTATATTCAAATAAAATTGATTTTTTTTGTTGATCTTGAACTCTGTGACCTTGTGAATTTCCTTAGTAGCTGAAGCAGAAGAGGAAAAGCATTCAGACTTCCACTATTAAGTACAATTTAGCCGCAACGTTTTTGTAGAAGTTATTTATCCAGTTGAGGAGGTCATCCTCAGTTCCTACTATTTTGAGGGGCTTTTTAAAATCATAAATTAATGTAGAATTATGTCAAAGGCCTTTTCTACATCAACTGATAGAACCATGCGATGTTTCTTCTTTAGCTTCTTAATAAGATGGATGACATTGATTGATTTCAAACATTAAACCAGACTTGTGTCCCTAAAATAAACGCTATTTGGCATAGTTTACATATATTTTTAGTTTGGCTGATTTTTTACTTGCTAACATTTTGTTAGGGAGTTTTGCATGTATAGTCATGCAGGTATATTGCTTTTTAATTTTCTTTTCCTGTACTATATTTGTGTGCTTTTGATTTTAGGAAATGCTGGCCTCATAAAGTAAGTTGGGATGTCTTCCCTTCTCTTCTGCTTTCTGGAGGAAATTTTGCAGACTTGTGTTAATTCTACTGAAATGTTTGGTAGATTTCTCCTGTGAAACTATTCTAACCTAGAGATTTCTCCTATAAGTTCAATTCTTTTTATAATTATAGAGCTTTTCAGTGTATCTATTTCATATTGAGTTAGTTGTAATAGTGTGTACTTGTGTACTTTTAAAGGATTCTTTTCCATTTCACCTAAGTGTTCTTGGTGTATTCCTTTGGTGTACTATTGATGTCGAAGAATCTGTAGTGATATAATGTTTCCACCCCAATATTGGTGTTTTTTCTCCTTTTTCCTTTTATTTTGTCCTAGAAATTTGTCAGTTCTATTAATATTTTTAAAGAACAAACTTTTTTTTTCCACTGATTTTCTCTCTCTCTCTCTCTTTTCTTTTTTTGAGATGGAGTTTTGCTCTTGTTGCCCAGGCTGGAGTGCAGTGGCGCAATCTCGGCTCACTGCAACCTCCACCTCCCAGGTTCAAGTGATTCTCCTGCCTCAGCCTCACAAGTAGCTGGGATTACAGGAATGCGCCACCATGCTCGGCTAATTTTGTATTTTTAGTAGAGATGGGGTTTCTCCGTGTTGGTCAGGCTCAAACTCCCGACCTCAGGTGATCCACCCGCTTCAGCCTTGCAAAGTGCTGGGATTACAGGCATGAGCCACTGAGTTCTGCCTTTATATTAGTTTTTTTTTTTCCTTCTTCTTGCTTTAGGTTATTTTTGACAACTTTTCTAGATTTTTGAGGTGGGAACTGAGATTATTGCTTTCTGAAGTTTTCTCTTTTTCAGTGTATACATTTTGTACTATGCATAGTACTTCAAAGCACTCCTTTAGCTATGTGCCAAACATTTTGATATGTTGTATTTTCATTATCACTTAGTTGAACATACTTTTTATTTTCCTTAAGACATCTTTTTTTTTGAGATGGAGTCTTGCACTGTCGCCCAGGCTGGAGTGCAGTGGCATGATCTCAGCTCACTGCAAGCTCTGCCTCCCGGGTTCACGCCATTCTCCTGCCTCAGCCTCCCGAGTAGCTGGGACTACAGGCGCCCGCCACCAAGCCCGGCTAATTTTTTTTTGTATTTTTAGTAGAGACTGGGTTTCACCGTGTTAGCCAGGATGGTCTCGAGCTCCTGACCTCGTGATCCACCTGCCTCGGCCTCCCAAAGTGTTGGAATTACAGGCGTGAGCCACCGTGTGACGGCTCTGGCTGGAGTGCAGTGGCGCGATGTTGGACAAGCTCTGCCTCCCGGGTTCAAGTGATTCTCCTGCCTCAGCTTCCCAAATAGCTGGGACTACAGGCGCCCACCACCACACCGCTAATTTTTTGTATTTTTAGTAGAGACGGGGTTTCACCATGTTGGCCAGGATGGTCTCGATCTCTTGACCTCGTGATCCACCCACCTCGGCCTCCCAAAGTTCTGGGATTACAGGCGTGAGCCACCTCGCCGGGCCTTTTTTTTTTTTTTTTTTTTTTCTGAGACAGAGTCTCGCTCTGTCATCCATGCTGGAGTGCAGTGGCACAATCTCCGCTGACTGCAAGTTCAGCCTTCCCGTGTTCCAGCCATTCTCCTGCCTCAGCCTCCTGAGTAGCTGGGATTATAGGCAAGCGCCACCACGCCCAGCTAATTTTTTTCTATTTTTAGTAGAGGTGG
Source organism: Homo sapiens (assembly GCF_000001405.40). Lineage (NCBI taxonomy): Eukaryota > Metazoa > Chordata > Mammalia > Primates > Hominidae > Homo > Homo sapiens. Next base: position 32,543,654 of record NC_000006.12, read on the forward strand.
GGGTTTCACCATGTTGGTCTGGCTGGTCTCGAACAACTGACCTCGTGATCCACCCGCTTCAGCCTCCCAAAGTGCTGGGATTACAGGCGTGAGCCACCGCGCCTGGCCAAGACATCTTTTTTGATCCAAGGGTAATTTAAAAGTATGTTACTAAGTTTCCATGTGTTTGGAATTATACTGATTTTCTTCATGTTACTGATTTCTGGTTCAGCTCCGTTGCTTCCAGGGAGCACAGTCTGTATGATTTCAATTCTTTACATTTGTTGAAGTTCCTTTTATGGTCCAGGGTATGAGCGATGTTGGTAAATATTCCATGGACAGTTAAAAATGTGTATTCTGCTGTTTGGTGTGGTGGTCTGCAAATGTCCATTAGATCTTATTGGTGGATAGTTTTGTTGGGTTTCATTATCTTGCTGAGTTTTTGTCCAGTTGTTTCATTAACTTTTCAGAGTTGGTTTGTGGAGTCCCAAAGTTTAACTGTGTATTTGTCTATTTCTCCTTCCAGTTCTGACCGTTTTTTGCTCTACTTATAAGTAACTTAGTTGTGTGGTGTACACACTTTTAGAGTTGCTATGTTTTCTTTCTGAATTAACATTTTTATGATTATGTAGTGTTTCCGTTTGTCTCTCAGAATATTCTCTGCTCTGTGCATTTTATGTTATCTGATATTATAGCCATTTCTGCTTTCTTTGACAACAGTTAGTATGGTTTATTTTTTTCCATTCTTCTGTTTCAGCCTTCCACTCTTGAAATATTTGCAGTAAGTTTCTCATAGGTAGCATATCGACGGGTAATTATTTTTCACTCTGACATTTTGTCTTTTTAGACAATTTAATGTAATGCAATTATTAATATGTGAGCTCTCATGACTGCCATTTGTTTTTTGTTTCCTCTGGTTTTTGCTTCTCTGTTTTCTTTCCCTGTTTTTTGATGTGTCCCTTAAGCAATATTTAGAATTCCATTTTTTAATCAATCATTTTTTGGTGTATCTCATTGTAGAGTTTTTGTGATTTATCTATCTATTAATGCAACTTATAGTCTACTTGTGCTAAGATTTTTTCAATTTGACTGCAGTATAAAAACTTTACCTTTTTATCCCTTTCGCTCCCGCATTTATAATACATATTTTTTATTTTCTCTACTTGCATCAAAACCCAGATCTGACAATGTTGTAATTTTTGCCTCAACCATCAAACTAATTTATAAACGTGAAGAAGAGAAGTCTGTTGTATAGAAAGAAAAGTCTGTTGTCAAAGAAAGCAGAAATGGCTATAATATCAGATAACAAAATGCACAGAGCAAAGAATATTCTGAGAGACAAACGGAAACACTACACAATCATAAAAATGTTAATTCAGAAAGAAGACATAGCAACTCTAAAAGTGTGTACACCACACAACTGAGTTACTTATAAGTAGAGCAAAAAACGGTCAGAACTGGAAGGAGAAATAGACAAATACACAGTTAAACTTTGGGACTCCACAAACCAACTCTGAAAAGTTAATAAAACAACTGGGCAAAAACTCAGCAAGATAATGAAACCCAACAAAACTATCCACCAATAAGATCTAATGGACATTTGCAGACCCATATTTTTACTCATTCTATAGTTTTTTTTTTCCTGATTGTCCAAGATTTCTTCCCTCATCATTTCTATTCCAGTTCAAGCACTTCCTTTACCCTTGTTTTAGGATAAGTCTGCTAGCATCAAATTCTCTTGATTTTCCTTCCTCTAAGAATGTCATGGCCGGGCACGGTGGCTCACACCTGTAATCCCAGCACTTTGGAAGGCCGAGGCAGGCGCATCCCCTAAGCTCAACAGTTTGAGACCAGCTTGGGCATCATGGCAAAACCCTGTCTCTGCCAAAAATACAAAAAGTTAGCCAGGCTTGGTGGTGTGTGTCTGTAATTCCAGCTACTCAGGAGGCAGAGGTGTGAGGATCACACGAGCCTGAGAGGCAGAGGCTGCAGTGAGCCATGGTTGCGCCACTGCCCTCCAGCCTGGGTGACAGAGCAAGACTCCATCTAAAAAACAAAAAAAAAAAAAAAAGAAAAAAAAATGTCATAATAGAACCTTCATTTTATAATAATATTTTTCTGTATATACATTCTAGTTAACATTACTTTCAGCCATTAAAATATCTGGTGGCACTTCTCTCTGGTCTGCATGATTTCTAATGAGGAATACACTGTCATTTAATTTATTTTCTCCTGTACATGAGATGTCATTTCTCTCTTGTTGCTATCAAGATTTTTCGACATAAATTTCTTTGGATTTATCTTACTTTAGATTCGCACAGATTCTTGAATTTTTACTTTAAAGTCTTTATCCAAATTTGGAAAATAGTCAATCTTCCTTCAAAGACTCTTTGGGCATCACCCATTTGTCATCTTTCTCTAAGACTCTAGTGACACAAATTTCATATCTTTTGTTATAGTCTTACAGATTTATTAGCATGAAATAATACTGAATATTATGAATAACTTTACAAAAACAAATTTGCATGTAATGAATAAATTACTCAAAATGTGCAAAGTACTGAAGCTAACAAATAACGTAAAGTATGAAGAGTTCCACATCTCATAGAGAAAGCCGATTGTATAAAGCTTTCCCAAGACAAAACCCCAGGTTCATTTAGCTTCAGTAAATATTTTAAAATATTTAAGGAACAAACAACACTAACTTTATGCAAACTTCAAACATTTGAAAAAGCGGAAAACACTTGCAGTTAGGTTTGATGAGATCTGTGTAAATTTTACTTCAAGATCTGAAAAGAACTCTACAACAAATAGGAATTTATGGACCAATAATTCTTAAGAGCCAAGTTCTTAAGAAAATAATAGCCAACTGAAATCAGTGATATAAAAGACAGCTACTACATCATGACCAAGTGGAGTTTATTCCAGAAATGCAAGGTTGTTTGAGCATTTGAGAATCCATTAGTGTGATTCATTACATTAACTGAAGGAAGGAGAATACACATGGCAACCACCTGGATAGAGTCTTGAAATATGATTTGACAGAACTCAGCACTTGGCCTTAATTTTTTAAAAATCTATTTGCAAACTTGTATTAAAAAGTTATTTCTTCAGTCTGAGAAATGATAGCTACCTTATTGCACATATTAGTGTCAGTAGTGAAATATTTAAAACTGTCTCCTTCATATCTGGAGTACTAGAGGAGTTAGGCAAAGAAAACGGCAAGAAAAATAAATAAAAGATAATTGCATCCAGGTGAAACGGTCATTATTTACTCTCAACATAATCAGCTACTTAAAAAATAAAATTAGTAAACAAACTATTTTAATAAGTGAATTTAAATAATGTTGCTGGATACAAAGTCAGTATACATTAAAGCAAGTACGTTATTGATATAGTTTGGATGTTTGTCCCCTCCAAATCTCTTGTTGAAACATAGTCTCCAGTGTTGGAGGTGAGAGGTATTTTGGTGGGCGGCACATCCTTCATCACTGGCTTGGTGCCGTTGTGTCCGGACTTGGTGGGTTCTTGCTCTCACTAACTTCAAGAATGAAGCCACGGACCCTCGCAGTGAGTGTTGCAGCTCTTAAGGTGGCGCGTCTGGAGTCTGTCCCCTCTGATGTTCACATGTGTTCAGAGTTTCTTCCTTCTGGTGGGTTCGTGGTCTCAGTGGCTCAGGAGTGAAGCTGCAGACCTTCGCGGTGAGACCTTCGCGGTGAGTGTTACAGCTCTTAAGGCAACGCATCTGGAGTTGTTCGTTCCTCCTAGTGGGCTCGTGGTCTTGCTGGGCTCAGTAGTGAAGCTGCATCTTCGCGGTGAGTGTTACAACTCATAAAAGCAGCGTGGACCCAGAGTCAGCAGTAGCAACATTTATTGCAAAAAGTGAAAGAACAAAGCTTCCACAGTATGGAAACGGACCAGAGCAGGTTGCCAAGGCTGGCTTGGGCAGCCTGCTTTTATTCTCTTGTGTGGCCCCACCCACATCCTGCTGATTGGTAGAGCCCAGTGGCCTGTTTTGTCAGGGCGCTGATTGGTGCGTTTACAATCCCTGAGCTAGATACAAAGGTTCTCCATGTCCACATCAGATTAGTTAGATACAGAGTGTCGATTGGTGCTCTCACAAACCTTGAGCTAAACACAGGGTGCTGATTGGTGTATTTACAATCCCTGAGCTAGATATAAGGACTCTCCGCGTCCCTACCAGACTCAGGAGCCCAGCTGGCTTCACCTAGTGGATCCCGCACCAGGGCTGCAGGTGGAGCTGCTTGCCAGTCCTGCACCGTGCGCTCGCATTCCTCAGCCCTTGGGTGGTCGATGGGACTGGGCGCCCTGGAGCAGGGGGTGGTGCTCGTCCGGGAGGCTCCGGCCGAACAGGAGCCCATGGAGTGGGTGGGAGGCTCAGGCACGGCGGGCTGCAGGTCCTGAGCCCTGCCCCGCGGGAAGGCAGCTAAGGCCCAGCGAGAAATCGAGCGCAGTGCCGGTGTGCCAGCACTGCTGGGGGACTCAGTACACCCTCCGCAGCCACTGGCCCAGGTGCTAAGTCCCCCATTGCCCGGGGCCAGCAGGGCTGGCCGGCTGCTCCGAGTGCGGGGCCCGCCAAGCCCACGCCCAACCTGGAACTCCAGCTGGCCCGCAAGCGCCTCGCAGCCCCAGTTCCCGCTTGTGCCTCTCCCTCCACACCTCCCTGCAAGCTGAGGGAGTGAGCTCCAGCCTTGGCCAGCCCAGAAAGGGGATCCCACAGTGCAGTGGGGCGCTGAAGGGCTCCTCAAATGCCACCAAAGTGGGAGCCCAGGAAGGGGAGGTGCGGAGAGCAAGCGAGGGCTCTGAGGACTGCCAGCACGCTGTCACCTCTCACCATCTTAGCTGTAATCCATGGGTTCTCACTCAGTTCACAGGAGATCTGGTTGTTTAAAGGAGTGCGACTCTTCCCCACTTTCTCTGCGCTCCTGCTCTCACCGTGTGATACCTGGGCTCCCCTTTCCTTCCCCCATGATTGTTAGCTTCCTGAGGCCCTCACCAGAAGCAATTGCCAGCACCACACCTCCTGTACAGCCTGCAAAACCCTGAGCCAGTTAAACCTCTTTGCTTTATGAATTACCCAGCCTCAGGTATTTCTGTTTAGCAATGTAAGAATGGACTAACACAATAATGTTCTACCATAAACAAATAGAAAACAAAACCAAGAAAATAATTTTATCAATTTCCTCACCTCTTTGTTTTTTTGTTGTGGTTGTTTTTTGTTTTTGAGACAGAGTCTTGCTCTGTCTCCCAGGCTGGGGTGCAATGGTGTGATCTCCGCTCCCCACAGCCACCGTCTCCCGCTCACAAGCGATTCTCCTGCCTCAGCCTCTTGAGTAGCTGGGATTACAGGCATGCACCACCACGTCCGGCTAATTTTTGTATTTTTAGTAGAGGCAGGGTTTCACTATGTTGGCCAGTCTGGTCTTGAACTCTTGACCACGTGATCTGCCCACCTCAGCCTCCCAAAGTGCTGGGACTACAGGCTTGAGCCACCATGCAGAGCCTTGTTTTTTTGTTTGTTTTTTTTGTTTTTTTTTTAGATGGAGTCTCACTCTGTCGCCCAGACTGGAGTGCGGTGGTGCGATCTTGGCTCACTGCAACCTCCACCTCCCGGGTTCACGCCATTCTCTGCCTCAGCCTCCCAAGTAGCTGGCATTACAGGCACCTGCCACCATGCCCTGCTAATGTGTTTGTATTTTTAGTAGAGACGGGGTTTCACTATCTTGGCCAGGCTGGTCTTCAACTCCTGACCTCGTGATCCACCCGCTTTGGCCTCCCAAAGTTCTGGGATTACAGGTGTGAGCCACCACACCTAGCGACGATGTCTTATTTTTTAAAAAAAGAATTATTTTAACAGGTTTATTGAAGCATAATTTACATACTGCAAAATTTACTCATTGTCTATATAAAATTTAATGATTTTAGTTAGTGAATGGATTTGTGCAATTATCACAACAATCCAGTTTTGTAACATTTCTATAGTGTCCAAAATTTCTCTGTTTATAGTTAATTCCCACCGATACCCCAAGTCCTAGGCACCCAATGATCTGCTGTTTGTTTCTGTAATTTACCTCTTCTAGATATTTTAAGTAAAGGAAATCATACAACATGTAATCTTTTGTGTCCAGTTTCCTTCACTTAGTTAACATTATTGAAGTTCACCAGTTTTGTAGTATGTATCATCAATTTTGTTTCTTTTCATTCCTTTTTATTCATGTTGTCTTCTTTCATTTGTGTGAATTTATAAGGTACAAGTGTAGTTTTGTTACCTGCATAGATTGCATAGTGGTGAAGTCAGTGTTTCTGCAGTATCCATCACCCCAATCACATGCATTGTCCCCATTAAGTAATGTCTCATCATCTGGAGTGCAAGGATTGAAACTTGCCTTGGGAAAACTACCCTCATGTTCATGGTATCTCCCCTGCCATATAAGTCTATTTTTGTCCCCTTTTATTGTTGAATGATATTGCCTTGCATGGATGTAGTACCATTTTGTTTATCTGTTTACTAGTTGAAGGATATTTGGATTGTTTTCAGTATGGGCCTACTATGGCTAACGCTGTTCTGAACACTCAAACACATATCTTTGTGAGGACATATGTTTTTATGTCTCTTAGGTAGATTCCAAGGAGTGAAATTGCTGGGTCATATGGCAAACGTACGTTAAACTTTGTAGGAAATTGCCAATTTCCAGGTATTTGTAAAATTATACACTCCCAGCAGCACTACGTAAGAGTTAAGTCTGTTTGTCTTCAAACATAATTGTAATGTTGATGATACTATTAGAAATAACATCTGTCAGCTGAACACGGTGGCTCACGCCTGTAGTCTCAACACTTTGGGAGGCCAAGGCAGGCAGATCACAAGGTGAGGAGTTCAAAACCAGCCTGCCCAACACAGTGAAACCTTGTCTCTGCTAAAAACGTAAAAATTAGCCGGGCATGGTGGCATGCACCTGTAGTCGCAGCTACTCGGTAGGGTGAGGCAGGAGAATTGCTTGAACCCAGGAGTCAAAGGTTGTGCGGAGCAGGAAACACACCACTGCTCTTCAGCCTGGACAACAGAGCAAGACCTCGTCTCAAAAAAGAAAAATAAATAAATAAATAACATCTGTCTTGTTGATTTTATATTTTCTCTTTATGTTTCAATTTTAATTTATCCAGGATCTATTTAGTGAAAGAAAGGAGTTTGGAATACAACTTACCAAAAACTGAAACTAAATCTCAACTCTTTCTAATTCTAGACTCTGTTTTACTAGTATTTAATGAAAAAAAAAATCAGTAACAAATGCCTTTTAAAAAATAAATGTATAGTGTGTTTTAAAACAGCACCTTATAGAGCTAGTCATTCCTTATTCTGCTTTTTTCCAAAAATTTCCCTAGAAAATATATTTACCTCATAAAATAACATGTCAGCATACTTGAGTTCTAAAAACAATCCTTTTTACTTGCTTTTTTGTTTTATTGTAATTGAGTTAATGGTTGACATTTAATACTCAATGTATGTATATTATATATATTTATGTTTTAAAAATATATATATTTAAATATATGTATAATAAATATATATGTATCTAAAAAGACCCAAAAACCCTGAATTGAGGATGCCTGTCAGGAATCTCTAGGCCTTCATGTGAAATTTAACTACAAATACTAACAACCTAATAATACCACAATGTTTCATTTCCCTACCCTGAAATCAATCTCTCCTACTCCATCCACCATTTCTTTATTTTTAAAAATATATGATTTTGCTCCTTTTCTTCCCATGTGCATCAGGCCCACTCTACAAAGGTTGAATCCTGGCTTGTCTGAGCCCATGTGATCCCACAGTCATTCCATTGTTTGAGAAAGTGGGGTACTGGGAACACTCTAGAAACTGTTTAGTTGATTCTTATAAAGACACACGGAAAAAGTCATATCCTTTTCCTGCCTTTGGGAGTTGTGAAAGAATAAGAAACGTAAAGCTGCTGCAGGGGTCCTCCTACCATCTCAGGAAAGCTGACGTGCTGTGTGTGATAGAGAGATGAGATATGAAGTTCCAGGATCGCTGGTGATGACACTGGCCTGCTGGGTTGAGCAACCCTGGAGATGCCCAGCCTTGGATGTATCAGCTATGTGAGATAACGGGTTAAAGAAAAGAAAAGCCCACTAGATGAGATTTCCTGCAATTCGCAGCAGAAGGCATCTTCATTCAAATATTCATCCCACACATTTTAATTCTACCTTAGAATTCCACACCACAAGTCTCATATAAAATGAGACAAATCATTTCCTCAACTTAGGGAACAAAGCGTAATTGTTGCAACTCTAGGATCAAACAGAACAGACATAATTGTCAGCTTAATATATTCCTATAGGATTTATATTCTTATAGGATTTATACATACATTTACTTCTATGTATGTATAATAACATATAACTAAAAACAAAATATGCATAAAATAAACATTGAATTTGATTGAAAATAAAATAAGTTGTCTCTGACAGATAAATTATGTTCAAATGATTATTACTTTGAAGTAAACTTTTGAATTGATTATGTACTTTCAGATTTGACATATTTGATGCTGACTCTCAGATAGAATACAATGGAGAACCCTCCATCTTCTAAATTTGCCTTTCTCTGAAATCTGTATAAGTCCTTTGATAATACTATATTATTGAAGTCTCTGGAATGAAAAACTATATACTAATTTAAAGGTACAGATTCACAATATTGTAGACGGGGTTAAGAAAAAGTTCTGATTGACTTGCTGGCTGGTTTCTCATCTCAATGTTTGACAAGTTTGTTTCAGTTGTTATAGTCTGTTCTCAGTTTTTATGCACTGCCTTTTTGAACGTTAGGTTTACTTTTTTAATTGACAAGTAAAAATTGTATAGTATATTTATGTTGTAGAGCATGAAATTTTGATATATGCCTATAGTGTGAAATGTCTAAATCAAGCTATTTAACATGTGCATTTACCTCATATACTTATTATATATATATGAAAACCATTATTCTATTGGGAAATAATCTTCCCTTTCTCTTATTTTTTGTCCTTGCAGCCAAATGGACCAGATAATTTTTAACTCCATGTTTGAGAAACATTGAATAATGCAATGTGTTTGTGGCACAAGGGGAATACAGACCCAGGGGAGGCAGGAAAATTTAGGTAAAAGGAAGCACAAAAGTTGAAGACGAGGCGCTGCCATCAAGGCTGTGGGGTTTCAGGCCAAGAACAGGAGCTGAGGAAGCCACAAGGGAGGGCATTTTCTGCAGAGTTGCTGAACGAGTAACAACCTGGTCCTGAGAGAGCTCTTGTGGAAGAATAAGAGCCAAGTGGGAAAGCTTTTCATCCTGCAAAGCTGTGGCAGAAGGTTCTTCCTTGAATGTGGTCATGTGCACTTCAGCTCAGGAGTCCAGCGCAGGAGTCCTGCAGAGACAGAGGAAATTGTTTTCAGACCTGGCTTTACTAAAAGCTTCTTTTCCCTGCTTTCAACGACTCAGATGAGAGCACTGCAGGAAGAAGAAAAACAAGTTCCTAGATCTCCCTGAGCCAATGATCCAGCAGAGGACAGGCCTTTTCTAAGTGGAGAGGAGGAGTTTTGGTGTAAATTGCCTGATCAGAAATCTGGATCCAAAGTCTTTCCTATTATTTCTGTCTCATGCCTTATCACCTCTGCCATCATTCTAGGGAAACTGAATCTCTTTCTGAAAGAGGATTAAAAGGTATTACCTGTTGGCTGAAGTCCAGAGTGTCCTGGGAAAAAGAGGAAAAGATATACACTTAAAAGATATGGAAGCAAATCTGTCTTCCAACACAATGTCCCAGCCCCAGATCTCCCACCTGAGATTTCTCTAACACCACAACCCACACCAACCACGACAGAGAAGAGCAGAAACAGACCATGTGACCCATGAAGTGTGAAGTGTCTGTCACAGGATCCAGTGTAATTGCATTAGCCTTAGTGGCTCTTCCTTAATTTGCTCCAGGATCTCGAACCAAAGGATCCCTACTTGTTAACCTTTCTCTTATCTCTGCAGGCCACAAGCTATTATGTTTTGACGTAGTAACCATGCACTGATGATTTCTGGATTATCAGGACATTGGAGGTCATTTGGGGAAAGACTTTATCCAGGGCCACTGATATACTGAGAACTAACCCTAGCAAAGCCAAATTTCCTCCTCCAGAAAAGCCTATGGAAAGCTCCTCACCTTTCTGATTCCTGAAGTAGATGAACAGCCCTGTCCCAAGGAAGAGCAGGCCCAGCACAAAGCCCCCGACTCCACTCAGCATCTTGCTCTGTGCAGATTCAGTCCGTGTACCTGAGAGAGGAAGCCAGGTTTAGTGATTTTTATTCCAAATTTAACCTCTTTAATTGAGACTCTAAGATTCAGAGCTTTCAAAATGGGGAAGAAGGCTACCTCCTGTAAGAACTAAAATAACTATTTTTTCTGGGGAAAAAATTTATTTTTTCTGGGGGAAAAATGGTTTTCAAATCACACTGAACAGTTACAAGGTCCAGGCATCAAACTCATTCAAATATTACAGCCTTGATGTAAGGCACAAGTTCAAAATCTGATCAACAGAAAGCCTGAGTCTCAGTGAGGTTAAGTAGTTTGTCTAGAGTGACAGAGCTAATAAAAGGCAGAGCTGAGATTGGACTCCCCTCATGTCAGGAAGGTCACTGCAGTTCTCCTCTTCTCAGATCACAACAAACAACTCAGATCAACAGCACCAGAAACACAGTCTCAGACCCAGAGGCAGAGCCTAGAGCCCAGGGAGACCGGGTGACCCTGACCTGTGCTATCATGGGGAGGTTCAAAAGAGGGACAGCCTCTCCTGCCTGGCAGGTGTGACTGCTTCTCCAGGAGGTACAGGTGTTTCTAGAAGCGATTACAGGGCTACCCCCAGTGACCTATGCTGATGGAGATGAGAACATGGAGCAAATGAAAATAGGATTGGGAGAGTAGAAACCTGACGCTCAGGGATTAGCACAGTCCCCTTCTTGGTGGTTGAGAAATTTATGAAGTCAGAAAGCTGCTCACTCCATTCCACTGTGAGAGGGCTCGTCACGCTTGGATGCTCCACTTGGCAGGTGTAAACCTCTCCACTCCGAGGAACTGTTTCCAGCATCACCAGGGTCTGGAAGGTCCAATCTCCATTCTGGATCAGGCCTATGGAGACCACCGCAGCCTTCTCTTCCTGACCATTCTGGAACCACCTGACTTTAATGCTGCCTGGATAGAAACCACTCACAGAGCCGACCAGGGGGTTGCGGTGATGCAGGGGCTGGGTCTTTGCAGGATACACAGTCACCTTAGGATGGACTAGGAGAAAAAAAGGTAGAGAGAATGAATCAGGAAGTTAGAGTCTCGTTGTTCAGCTGTTTGTATGCTTCTCTGTAAACCCAGGCTCTGGCCTCGACCAGGCCTCCAGCACAGCTGGCCATACGCCCTCACAGTGTCATCGGCCTGGAATTTAATCGTGATAGTGTGGACCTATCAGATTTGAGAGATGTTATAAAAAATTTTATTTGTTTCTTCATAGCTTGAAATTGTCACGCATTGTTGAAGTGTTTACAAATCTCTGAAAGTACAGTGTGTATTAATTAAAACTGATACCTGAGCCAGGTTGCCTGGTTCAAATCCAAGGTCTGCCTTTTACTGGTTGATCCTGGAAGAGTTTTTTGATTCTTTTGTGTCTCAACTTTCTCACGTATAATGTAGGTTAAATTATACTAATTTACCTCTTGGGGTTATATGAGGATTAATTTACGTAAAATATGTAAAATAATGACTGAAGATAGCCTTCAATTTATGAGGTCAGAAAGCTTCCCACCCCATTCCACTGTGAGAGGGCTCATCACACTTGGGTGCTCCACTTGGCACCTATTTATCATCCTCTTACACCTTGAGAGAAGAATATGTTTTAAAGCAATGTGGATAAAGGGACAGAGTAGGGTAAATGAGGAAACCGAGTCTGAATTTTTAGGAATACTACCACCATGCTGTCACACGTTAGAACACCAGAGAAATGGTTCTGCCCCTGGGAAGGTAGGACAGACAGAAATGATTCTCCAAATCTTTATGTTCCTAGAAAAGCCTGAGTCCTAAAGCAGAGATTTAGGAATTAAGAAACGTCATTTTAGTTTTGAAAGTTATTATATTTACATTTAGCTGATCAATGCATCTCCTGTGCAAAACAAACAGAAATGATTCTCCAAATCTTTTTTTTTTTTTGAGATAGAGTCTCGCTCTATTGCCCAGGCTGAAATGCAGTGGCGCCATCTTGGCTCACTGCAACTTCTGCCTCCCAGGTTCAAGTGATTCTCCTGACTCAGCCTCCTGAGTTGGTGGGACTACAGGCACCCGCCACCATGCCCAGCTAATTTTTTGTATTTTTAGTAGAGATGGGGTTTCACTGTGTTAGACAAGATGGTCTCCATCTTATGACCTCGTGATCTGCCCGCCTTGGTGCTGGGATTACAGGCATAAGCCACTGCACCCAGCCTATTCTCCAAATCTTTAAGCTCCTAGAAAGGCATGAGTCCTAAAGCAGTGAGAAGGATTAAGGAAGGCCATTTTAATATTGAAAGTTCTTATATTTACATTTAGCTGATCAATGCATCTCCTGTGCAAAACAAACATAGCTATTATTAGACCTATCATTGTAAAATGATTTTTTTTCCAGAATGACATTTGAATCAAGGCAGGGTCTGGGACTCATTAGTAGGGGTGCTTATGCCTAGGAAAATCCCTGACACTAGCATACCCTCAATAGTACAATTTTTTGTGAGAAGGAAGGAGAAACCTGGAGACAACAATACCACAAAATGGTAGATTTAAGATGGATTGTAAATCATTAATAAACATTTGCAATATATTTTATTAAATAAAAACGTTCAGGCTCAAGCCTGTAATCCCAGCACTTTGGGAGGCTGTCAGGAGTTTGAGAACAGCCTGACCAACATGGTGAAAACACGTCTCTACTAAAAATACAAAAATTAGCCGACCGTGGGGGTGCGCGCCTGTAATCCCAGCTACTCAGGAGGCAGAGGCAGAAGAATCGCTTGAATCCAGGAGGTGGAGGTTGCAGTGAGCCGAGATCGCGCCACTGCACTCCAGTATCGGCAACAGAGTGAGACTCTGTCTCAAAAAAAAAAACAAACCAAAAACAAACAAACAAAAAACGTTCAAATCCTTAATATGGAAAAAAATTTTCAAAATCAACATACAAACCACAAACTGGAGAAAATGCTGAATAAAATATCAAGAAAGTGTTAATAATCTTACAGTACAAAGAACCCACAAAGTAGCTGAGAAAAATACTAAGCCCTAGAGATAATAGACAATAGATTATTGTCCATTACCTACCAAATACAATAGGGAATTCTTAGAGCAGTAATTATAATTGGCCAATAAATAGGTCAAAATAATTCAAAAGAATTACAAATCAAAAATATAAATTAAAAATTAACCAGAAACATACATTTTCAACTTTTGGTGAATGTCATAATAAAGGTCAACAAAAGGGAAAGTGAGGTAAGTTGTGTCACAACTATCACATATAAAAGAATAATATGTAACTACTAGAAAACTATTAGCATTATAATAAAATAATAACAATGTGTTAAAACTTTAATTCAAGAAGTTAGTTTCACAATCATTTCAGCTATGTAAAAATATACACACTAAGAAAAAAAATGGCAAGAAATTTAGACCTAAAGAAGCTTCAGAGGTGCCTCAGAGGTCTCCTCAATTCGCCTAGAAGTTAATCTAATGCTTTTGCAAACAAACACCACGCACTTCTATTTTAGAGATTATATGAAGGGTGTGTGTCAGGGACAGTTTGGAACTGGCCTCCTCACATCATCCCAAACCTTCCATGCCCCTCAGCTCTCCTCCGTTAAACCTTCACCCCAACCACACACACCTTACATTTCCCTTCGCTGCATCTCTAAGGACACGAGACAACCAAGGTCTCCTCTCTCTCCAGCCCCCTGCACCCACCTCCCATGTCACCTCCCCACAGAGGCCTCCAAGGATAAGAAGAAGCCCCCTCCTGCCTCCCCTCCCACAAAGGCCACAAAGACAAATCCACACTCTACACACACACCTGTGTCCTCAGAACTCCTTGCTCAGGATTGAGAGGATTCTAAATGCTCACAGATGTCTCTCTCTCTCTCTCTCTCTCTCACACACACACACACACACACACACACTCAAATTCCCAGCTCACAGGGACTCAGGCCCAGCCCCCCGCCGCGCTCACCTCGCGGCTGCACTGTGAAGCTCTCAAAAAACCCCGTAATTGTATCTGCAGTAGTCGTCCATCTTGTCCCGCTTCTCCTCCGGGATGCCCTTCTGGCTGTTCCAGTTCTCTGCGACAGGCCGCCCCAGTTCCGTAACTGCCTGGAACTCCTCCACGTTGCTGTCGAAGCGCAGGTTCTCCTCCCGTTTATGGATGTATCTGTTCAGGTACTGCACCCGCTTCATCCCATTGAAGATATGACACTCACACTTAGCCTGCTCCAAGAAACGTGCTGTGGGGACACGAACGATCCAGTCACAGGGATGGCCTCTGAGGAAGACACTGACAGCGACGCCGCCATCCAGGGCTCCCTGGGTGGGGTGCGGGCGCTGGGAATCTTGATCAGCCCCACCTGCAACCCTGACCATGCACAGCCCAGGGGCTGATCCTCCGTCTTCCTGAGGCGTACAGGGGTTTGGGGGACCAGGGAGGAAAACTACCAATGATTACAAGGCTTTTGGGACCCCCTCCCTGCCTCCAGCCTGTTCTGGAGACCTCCAAGCAGGAGCTGGAGGAGGATCCACCGAGCGCCGCAGCCCGTGCAGCCTCCTCCTGGGAGCCTCCACCCTAAAGACACTCTCTGCTCCTTCTCTCATCCCACACGCTTTACCGGTTCCTTCAACAGCACCCACCGCGTTCATCCTGTGAACACTTCCTTAGTGATAACCTTGTGCCAGGCCTGCGCTGCCTCTAGGAATCCAAACGAGGGAAAACAGACCTCTCCACTCTGCTGGGGGAGCTTAAAGAGCAGTGAAAGCTATGGCCAAACACCAAACACACAAGAGCTTAGACAGAAATGAGAAATGTCAGAAGTGTGGAGTTCTAGAACAGAGAATAATAGGATGATCTCAATTACATTAGGGTGCCAGAGAAGGACCCGTTGAAGAATGACAGTTCAGATGTGACTTGACAGGTTAAGCAGGTGTGAGCCAGGGGGCGGAGTGGAGCCTGTGTGTCTGTTTGGACAAAACGGGAGGCACATTTTCAGGTTTAGGAAATACCATGTACAAAAGCTTGAATTGATGAACTTCTTCAGGAAACCAGAAGAAAGTTCACTAAAGCAGAGAGACTGAAGGGAAAGAGGGTAAAATATTAGCCTGGAGACATCATAAGAAGCCAGGTGTTTAAAAGCCTCATGGGTGGCATTAGGATTCTGGATTTATACTAAAGACAATGGGAAAGTATCAAAGAGATTTAAGGAGAATAAAACCACGATCCCATGAATGTCCACAAACCTTCCTTTGCATTTCTAAATCCACAAAGCTCAGAAATTCAGTTAAAAAAACTTGTTTCTACAACTCATTTGGCAAATGTCATCTGATAAGGGTAAGTGGTCAAAGGTGTCTCAGAGCTCTTATTGGTGACATGTGCTTCTGTAGTCTCAATACATATAAACATACATACATATATATGTGTAAATATACACATATGTAAAACACTATGTATATATTTTTGATGTTTTGTCTTTATGTTTCATTGAAGTGTGAAAGTGACAAAAATAACGTAAAAATAATCCTGTGGTTAAAAGTGAAATGAATAAGTAGAAGCATTTTACATTGTGAATGGTATCAAAAGTAGAATCACTACAGAAATCTGAGGCATGTTAGTGAAAAATAATTGCAGCAGCATCACTATTTGTGACTTACAAGAGCAAACTGTTGAAAGTTAATAGAGATAGTGATGACCAACAACTCATGAAAATGTTGAGAAATATTGCATAAGGCAAAAAATAAATATGAAGATACTGAACTTGCATTGACTAAATTGCCACAGTCCCTGTTGGACTGAACAAAGGAGGATGAATGGGTGAATAAAGACAAAAGACAGAAGAGTATATTTGGAAGAAGGGGTCAGGGCGCACCTTGCTCTTCGGGGGTGTTTCAGTCTGTGGCTTGATCCAGAGCAGGCTTGCAAGACTGCATTCCTCAAACAATAGGCTCTAGATGTCCCAGTGCATAACCTCAAGGAGCCCGGCACCAGGGAGTGATTGCCCTCAGCAAACCTTCTGGCGGCCGGCACAGAAGCGAGTTTGCCCACATTCTGTATTCATGATAAACAGTTCGCTGTTTGATCATATAGCCTCTGTGGAATGCTGAATTGGTGACAATTCTCCAGCCTCTGGCTCTCTATATTTCCCTCTTTCTGTTTATGTATTAATTGAAAGAATGTAAGGCCAGGTTGGGCAGCTCTCATTTTCCCATTGGCGGTCCATCCAGTTTTACAGACTATGAACAGAAGACAGAGACAAAACAACATCATTTCCAGAACTACAAATGAGATGTTAACGTAGTGTTTTAGATAGGTCCAAGGATTGAGGCTCTCCAGGCCTTGCTGGAATTCAGTCCAGTCTTCTAAAGAAGGCTGAAATTCTTGAGTTTGCTTATTTAAGTCAAAAATTTTGTTTTGTAATTCACCAATATCAAAGGTGATGTTGGATGTGAAAGCTCCCTGCAAATGGACTTTCACAAGGTCCCATGGATACTCACTTTGGTTATATTCTAACCATTTGGTTACACAAATATGAGGGTGATTAAGATGACAAAGCAATTGCTGCTGCAACTGTAAACTTTGTACTTGTTCCTCTAACCATACAACAGTGGATTTCAACATTGCTACTTCAGTTTGTAACTCAGTGTTAATTTTATTCTGAAGTAGCCACGCTTGGTCAGCCATAGGCATCCAGTTCTCCATGTAATGAGCTGTTTGAATAGAACTATGAAAAGCTGCAGAGGACATCACAACAGAAGTTATTAGTGTGACCAAGGAAACTATAGCAAAAATTATCATGCGTAAGGCTCTATGGCCATGATGAGTAAGCTGAGTTAGAAAAAGTTTCACATAATGCAAAGCAGGTGTGGCAGCCCAAGGCTTGGAAAGATTAACAGGAATCCATAGTCCAGGGATGCAACCCAAAATTATCAAAGTAGAGATATTATGTGTTTGCAATGTGCTATGATTAATGCAGTGATATAACTGGCAAGATTTACAGGCAAAAACACAAGCTGTAAATTGAGTGGTGATATTCCTTACAAATGTAACATTAAAACTGTGTCACTTACTATTGCTATTATTGGATGATATCCCAACCCAGATGCTGCCATTCATAAATGGGAGTGCTGCCTTCCATAACATCTCTTGGATTGGTCCTTTCCTCCCTAGATAATACCACTGAGGAAGAGGCAGGCTAAAGCCTGCTCCATGCCAAGCAATCTGGGCAGCAGAATAGGATTGGATCCCGGTGTGGTATAAAGAAGAAGCATTATAAGCTTGCCACCAATGCCAGTGAAATTTGTGCCATGATTTCTGATTATTATCTTTTCCATCTAGTTGATCTTTAGGTCTCCAATCCACAATATCTCCAGTTAATATTGATTATTTTTTAGCCAGTGAGCCAAGACACGGGGTCCACAGAGGGGGATAGGAACTATTGAAGGGAATTCATTCCGTATAGTCAGCACGATTAGGGCAATTGGCCTGGGAATGGTCGGTTAGCACACCAGTTACATTAATAGAACTAAGACTTAAGAAGTACATGAGTTTTCTGTAGTGACTCAACCATGTTTGAGCTTGAATTGTAAGACAGCTATGGCTGAGTGACGTCTTTGAGGTGATACACAAAGGGAGTCCTTCCAGCGGAGCGGTATAATTGATGACATTGTTCTGAGAGTCTAACTGTTCTATGTCACCGGGAGTTAGGGGTCCTGGAGCCCACGCTCCCTGATTATGATCAATCTCAGGAGGAGTGTCACTCCAGAGTATAGGCCATACTGCTGGGGGGATTGGGAATATATGCCCAATATATTTTTGCCTCTGCACAGGGAAAACATACCGCACAAGACATTATGGGTATCTTAGCCAAGAACATGGAATCAGGGGTTTTTGCCTGTCCCTGATGCTCCAGTAGTTTCTCAGCTTCCTGCATGGTTTTCCTGAGTTGTCCGCAGTTTATGAGGTTTGATATTGCCATGACTCTGATTGTCCTTCTCTCCATCTTTTCACTCAGGCTCAGCTGGCTCATGGCCCGTACTGGAGGGACCGGGCCCATGGTTGGCCACCCTGGGTTCCTCCAGTCTCCTGTTCCATGGTTGCACGCACCTTGAGGGCACCCACATGGTTTGTCCATCTCCTGTGAAAACACAAGCATACCCTCATCCCCACATCAGTAAATCCACCGGATCTTTCCATTTTCCTTTTTCTGGGGATTTCCATAACACTTTCGGAAAACCTCTCCTCTTTTTCTCTAACAGTGACCAATGTCTTTCCGCTGGAGTCTTAACATTCGTACCAGGAGTCAAAAAATTTAAAGCAAATAAGTCTAAATACAACTTTGATTGCAGTGGTAACTTGTCCCCTACTCCTCCTTTTTGTCTTTTCAACATGTGTTGTAATGTTTGATGTGCCTGCTCTATAATATCTTGTCCTCTAGGATTATAAGGAATTCCTGTTTTATGGGTTATGGCCCAAAGTTGCAGGAAATTTTGAAAAGCATGACTAGCATAAGCAGGTCCATTGTCAGTTTTTAATTGTTTAGGTATCCCCATATGAGCAAATGACAACAGAAATGTTGCCGCACATGACCAGCTGTCTCACCTGTTTGGCATGTAGCATGCAGCATATGAGAATAAGTGTCTATAGGCACATGAACATAGCTAAACTTACCAAAGGCTGCTATGTGCGTAATATCCATTTGCCAAATTTCATTTGGAGGCAAGCCTCGTGGATTACACCCTTCTATAGGTGTGGCTCCAGGGACATGCTGGCAAGTAGGACAGGCTTGTATTATAGACCTAGCTTGGCTGTGAGGCAAGTTAAATGTACAAGTAAGGGCAGAGGTGTTTTGATGCAGTAATGCATGAGAGGTTTGAGCTTGCTGAAATACAGAATCAATCAATTTATCTGCTCTATCATTACCTAGAGATAGGGCTCCAGGAAGTTGTGTGTGAGAGCAAATATGAGAAATATGAAAAGGAGCTGCATGAGAGTGAATAGTTTGTTGAAGTCTTAGGAACAAATTAACTAGTTTTGGTTCTAGGGTGCTTTTAATTGGAGCAGTTTCTACGTGACTGGCTACATTTACAACATAAGCTCAATCACAGACAATGTTGATAGGATCTGAAGCTGTGAGCTGTAAAACCTGAATGACTGCAATAAACTCTGAGCCTTGAGTGGAAATCCCAGAGGTCATTATTGTTTGAGTGTGCTTGGGTCCATAGATAGCTGCATGACCTTTGGAAGAGCCATCAGTAAAATGGTTTGTCCACCTGGAATAGGCTTGTGATGAGTAATCACAGGAAGAATGAAAGAATAGACTCTATAAAACTGCAAGATTTTGTCTGACGGATAGAGAAAACAAAGGCTTTTGTGGCTGTAGCTGGGAGGTATGCCGTTGCTGAAGCATCTGTTCTACAAGCTGTAACTCGGCTTCTGCCTCTTTGGTCAATTGCTGTGGGAAATCTAATGAAGAATCTCCTTGTAGGGTTTCATAAAGATGTGTAAGTTGATAAGTGGCAATACCTAGCATCGGGTGCAGCCAATTAATATCCCCTAACAACTGTTGAAAATCTTTTAAAGTCTGTAACCTGTCTTTATGGAGAACTACTTTTCGAGACCGTACACTTCTTTCAGTAACAATATTATCTAAGTAATGATATGGTGAAGTTGTTTGTACCTTTTCTGGAGCTATTTTGAGACTCCATTTAGTTAAAGCCTGTTTTGTTTCTCAGAATAACTGATGTAAGATTTGATCTGTAGGAGCGGCCAAAAGAATGTCATCCATAAAATGAATGATGTAAGCAGTAGGAAACATATTTCGAGGCTCCTTTCACGCCTGTCCTACAAAATGCTGACATAGCGTAGGACTGTTAAGCATGCCTTCGGGTAAAACTCTCCATTGATAGCAAGAAACAGGTTCTCTTTGATTAATAGAAGGCACAGAGAAGGCAAATTAAGGCTTATCCTTCTCATGTAATGGTATCGTGAAGAATCAATCCTTAAGATTTATTGCTACAAGAGATCAGTCTCTAGGAATGACCACTGGAATTGGCACACCTTGCTGTAATGGACCCATTGGTTTAAATTGTGCATTAATAGCTCTCAAATCATGCAGCAGTCACCATCTTCTGGACTTTTTTGGAATAAAAAACATTGGTGAATTCCAGGGGCTAACTGACTCCTCTATATGTCCTGTGTCCGATTGTTCTTATACTAGCTGCTGAAGTTGCATCAGCTTCTCCTGAGGTGGGGGCCATTGATCCACCCATATGGGTTTGTCACTGGCCATTCTAATGGTAAGGCAGAGGGTGGAGGAGAAATATCAATGACCTGCATCAGAAATCCTGACGTCCTATCCCTTTTCTATCTGTTTTTCCAGTTATTGATATCGGGTTAGGTTTTCCTTGTAGGAATTTCCCTAAACCTGTCCCACTCTGATATCCCATGTCCGTCAACATTTTAAATCCTGGGTTATCAAAGTTTTCATTTGTAAGTCTCATATTCTATGCTGTAAGTCTCAATCCCATATATTGATTGCTGTATTTGCAACATAAGGCTGAAAAGTACATGACTGTCCATCCGGACCAAGACAAGGTAAAATGTCAGCACTCTGTTGAACACTTGTAGCTGCTCTTATTCCCACTAGGGATGTGGAGGTTAGTCTGAGAGACCATACTGGGGGCCAGTCCTTACTGGATATTACTGACACTTCAGCTCCTGTATCCATAAGCCCATAACATTTCTTTCTTTTAATTTGTACTACACAGGTGGGTCTATTAGAGGCTGTGGGCTGGGATAGATAGATTTCCATTGTAGTTGTGCTCCCAAACCCTGTATTTCCTCGTTTCTCCTTTCATGGACAAGGATGTAATTTGCAGGGAATAAGCAACAATTGAGCAATATATTCTCCCAGTTCAAAAACGCAAAGATTTTTGACATTAAAACTACTTGAATTTCTCCTTCATAATGGGAGTCAACTACTCCAGGGACTACAGTGATGCCTTGCAAGTTAAGGGGGTTTTTGCCTAAAATTAGTCCTATGTATCCTGTTGGTAAAGGTCCCCAAATGCCAGTGGGAACTTTGGTAGGTTTGTCTCCTCCAAATAACGTTCTTTCTCTGGTGGGGAGATCTAATCCTGCACTTCCTGGTGAGGTGAGGAATACCAGGAATCAATTTTTCTCCTGGGACCCATCCCTGAAGTGGGACTGTGGTCTGAACTGGAAATGCCCTCATTGTTTGAGGGGCCCGGGTCCAGGCCCCCTTCTAGTTTCCCGACAAGTGGGTGCTGTTTTGATGAAATTTTGAGTGGCACTGATTAGCCCAGTGACTTCCTTGGTTACAGCGAGGACAAAGTGCTGGTGTTTTTTCTGTTGGGTGGAGCACTGCATTGTACGGTCCTTTCTGTCCGGAGATCTGGCAGCATTCCTTTTTAAAATGTCCAGTTTTTCCACAATTATAACATTTTCCCATTTTAGGGTTTGACCCTTGGCTCCTTTTAGATTTGTCAACTGCTAAATTAGCCACTGCCTGCACTAATATTGTAGAGCAATGAAGCTCAGTTCCCACATCTTGACAAGCTCTGAGAAAATTTCCCAAGTTTTTTGTACACCTCACAGGTGCCAATGCACATTTACAATCTGCATTTACATTCTCAAAAGCTAGAGTTAAAGTTAGCATCTCTGCAGCAGCAGTATGATAAATCTGATGCTTCATTGCCTCTTGTAGTCATGCAAGAAATTGTGCATAAGGTTCCTGTGACCCTTGCATGATATGTAAAAAGGATTGTAATGGGACTCCCTTTTCCGGAATTGTGAAATTGTGGCCCAGTCACATTTAGCAGCCTGTGCACACTGCTGGCATTTGAGAGTGCCATTTGATGTTCCAGGTCTGAATAAGGGCCATTACCTAACAGCATGTCCTCTGTAATGTCTCTGTGTCCAGCCACATGATTCTGTCTAGCCTGGTCTGCACACATTTCTTGCCAATTTAAATTCCATGTCAGGTATGCACTAGGAGACAAACAAGTGTGAGACAAATTCTTTACATCGAAGGGTAGAAGGTACACAGCACCAAATACAGATACTAGCAACCCTAAAGTGAATGGGCTCTGTACGCCATTATTTACCACACTCCTTTTAATTCCTTCAACAACTTAAACTCTACTGGAGTGTGTTCATGAATAAGCTGCTATGGATTATTTGGATCAGGCCTTACAGAAATAGGAAAAGTGCAAGGTCCTAAGGGCTCTCCAGCTATGGCAGCAGGGTGTAAAATTCTCTGTATTGGAGTCTCTATTTTTGCTACTGAAGGAGGCGGTACAGATGTTTCTGCTATTGGAGGAGGCGGTATAGGCCAATTTTTATTCTCCTTCTCTTGTTTTTTTATTTTCAATTGGAGCTGTGGGTGGGACAACAGATTCTTTCAGAACATCACTCCTGCTGTCCAGCAAGCTAAGAAGGAGATAATGGCAGAAGGACAGTATGGACTAAACTCCAAGTGGAGAAAACGGAAGGACCAACTTTGAGACCTTTTTGATGAGCCTGTTTTAATCTTTCTGCTCTGTCCCAATTTTCCATATCAAGAGTGCCTGTCTGTGGGAACCATGGGTTATGCATAATAACCTCCTGCAGCATCTTAGTTAATGTCTGAGATCTAACCTGAGCACCAGATTATTTCAACAAAACTTTAAGCAACTGCACATAATGTTTTTCTTCAATAGACAAATTCTGCCTCACGTTACCCTGATTCAGAAAACTTCCCGTTCCCAGTACTTCTTTAGAGCACTGACCTTATATTGCTCCCAGTACCTCTTTAGGGCACTGACCTTATATCAGCTGCCAGCAGACTCATCCTGGGGTCCCCATTCATCTTGTCAATTTCAATTCCTCTGCTCCAGCAGACCTTCTTTGTTCACATTCTCATGTCCCTGTGTTTAGAAACCACTATGGCGTCGCCCTGTCGCTGTTTGAACATCACTATGCCATGGACACTGTTGGACTGAACAAAGGAGGACGAATGTGGGAATAAAGACAAAAGAGTATATTTGGAAGAAGGGGTCAGGGGCACCTTGCTCTTTGTGAACAAGGGCCCTGAGCTTTGAGCTTCCTTCGTATTTACTGAAAAGAGATAGCAAGAAGGGAGTGGTTGTCGGTCTGCTGCTTGCTCCAGAGCAGCCTTGCAAGACTGCATTCCTCGAACAATAGGCTCTAGATGTCCCAGCAGATAACCTTAAGGAACCCGGCACCATGGAGTTATTGCCCTCAGCAAACCGTCTGGTGGCCAGCACAGAGGAGAGTTTGCCCCTATTCTGTACTCATGATAAACAGTTTGCTGTTTGATCATATTGCCGCAGTGGAAATGCTGAGTTGGTCATGATTCTCCGGACTCTGGCTCTCTACACTAAATGGATTCAACAAGAAAGTGGTTGAATTTATGCAACTGTCTAGTTATTTATAATGAAACAAACAAAAATTAACCATAAAGAAGTGAATTGGGTGGTGATTGTATAAAAGATGTGAGTCTAGGCCAGGCATAGTGGCTCACGCCTGTAATCCCAGCACTTTGGGAGGCCAAGGCAGGTGGATCACAAGGTCAGAAGATCGAGACCATCCTGGCTAACACGGTGAAACCTCATCTCTACTAAAAAAATACAAAAAATTAGCCAGGCGCGGTGTCAGGCACCTGTAGTCCCAGCTACTTGGGAGGCTGAGGCAGGAGAATGGCATGAACTCGGGAGGCGGAGCTTGCAGTGAGCCGAGATCGTGCCACTGCACTCCAGCCTGGGTGACAGAGCGAGACTCCGTCTCAAAAAAACAAAACAAAACAAAACAAAAAGAGGTAAGTCTACACTTTTCAGAAAGAGCACAGTGTGAACCAGTGCTCTCAGCCTCAGCACTACTGACATTTTGGACCAGGTAATTCTTTGTTGGTGATGGAGGCTGTTGTGTACATTGCAGGTTCTCTAGAAGTGTCCCTGGCTTCTACTCATTAAATATCAGAAGAAATCCCTGTTGTGACAACCAAAAATTCCTCCAAACATTGCCACATGTTCCCCAAGGGTGATGGGAGGGAAGGGAGGGGTGGTGAACTATCCCTGGGTAAGAACCATGGGTGTGAACCATCTGAAAAAATCTGTGTTGAACAAGCCACTATTAGTTATGGAGCAGCTGAGAATTACTTTGAAAAATATCTGTTGAAAATCTTGGTCCTACATAAAATGAAAATGTTGTAGAATTCTGGTCCCAGTACAGTGCTATGTTTCCAGAAAATGAACTTGTGGAGAACCAAGATTTACTGATTTCCTTGCCTTTATAATCAGTCATCAAATCATATCATTTATCTGTTATAGCATCTTCTTTCTTACTTTCTGTGCCACTGGTCCACCAATTATCTGTAGTAATGAATCACAACCACAGCCATTTTATTCCCATTTAATGCCCCAACTAACTCATTTCTCTCAGTCTCCCACTCCCAACAATACTAACAGGCATCAAATTTCCAGCCTTGGCCAGAGGCAGAACTGTTGGTTTTGTAATCAAGTCCCCTCAGAAAGGGAGAAACCAAAAAAATGACACTCTCATTCAGACAGTTTACAAAAAATGAGCAGGTCCCCAGACTTTGAGTACGACCTTCGTAAAGCTTCCTTTCCCCTTTAGAAATGATGCCGTGGATCAAAAATGTCTGTCTTTTTATTCTTAAATTATCTAAGCACTTTCTTTACAGAGAGGAAGTTAAAAAATAAACATGTGTGAAGTCGCTGTCACTGTGGTTTGCGTGACTAACACTGTAATCCATGCTCATGTGTCCCAGTTAGGGTTGAAAGGTTTGGCAAACAAACCAGAGGATGCCCACTTAAATTTGGATTTCCAGTAAATTACGGTGTGTATCTGAAATTCAGATTTAACTAAGAACCTGTATTTTATTTGGCAACCCCAGGCCAACTTGCTAGTCAAACCTCAGAACAAGGAGTGATTTAATACTTCCTTGTGTTCTTCAACACATGCCCAGGATAGACATATAGAACTTTTAAAATGATAAATGCAAAATGAATGAAAGTATAGTTCCACTATACATTGGAACTAGCAGCCCTTGCATCTCTGCTCCCACTTCAAGAAACAACCTGGTACATATGAATATCAGGAATTCTGTCAATAATTCAGACACAATCTGGTCACTAATCACTAATGATGGACAGACTCTCAATCTCCAGAATCAGAAAATCTGAATGGAAACATGATCTTTTCTGCTTGGGTCAATTTTTACTAACCATAAGCCTTTTTGTAATCTATCAAATGCATTTAATAACAGCATCATCTTCACAGGATTATTTTTAAGTGTAAAATTAAATAATGACTTCTTAGCACTGACCACATAATAAACACTCAAAAATATTTTCATTTTAATTTTTTATGATCCATTTAACTGCAGCTCACATTATTTTTCCTATTCCTTGATTCTAAAGCAATTAGTGTCTTCATCATGATTTTGCTATTGTCTTCTGTTTTATTAGTTTCATAAAGAATTGTCATTCTGAAAACATAGGGCAGAAACACTAGCTTATGTCTAACAATGCAGTATACCTAAACAAACCTCAGACAAAAGGCACCTGCTGACATAGGAGAAAGGGACTTTCTACATGCTCAGATTTAAACTACAATCTGATTTCTAGCACTACATTTGGGATACTGGGTTTTACTTATATCCTCTCAATTTTAGATTCCAGAGATGTATATATTTTTAAACACCACAGATACAATAGGATCATTATTGAAATTGCATACTGAAAATGATAGGCCTGGTACACAGTCACTGCAAAATGTTATATGGCATGTACTGATGGAGACCAGATTCATTTTATTCATCACTCCATTCTCATGACTTAGAGTAGTAGCTGGCATATTCTAAGTCACTAATAAACATGGGCTGTGTGAAATATTGGCTGTGTGACCTCTTCATGAGCAGTCACCACTGCACACAGGGGCCCTCTAATATTTCCTTGATAATAATGACCGAGCATCTCTGGTTCACAGGTCCTCCTGCTTCTCTTCAGCCTCTTTAGCCTTTTCCTTTAGATTCAGCTGGCTTCCTGAACCTAGAGCACAGTCCTTCCCTGAAGCTCTCTACTCAAAACAGTCAACCTTAACCTCATCCTCACTTCTTCTGCTGGCTCTTCAAATAGTCCAATCCAGTTTCCATCCTGGATACTCCATTGACTGCAAATACCAACCCCAGCAAACCCAGCACTTGCTTCTCTCTCACATTCTCACTTCACCCACTTAGTGATACTCATTGGCTTCTCCCTTCTTCTTGAAAAAAAATCTATTTTCCTTGACTTACAAGCATTGTGTTCTCTTGGTTTTTCTCCAACATCCCTGGGGCTCCCTCTCAGTCCCCTTTGCTGGCCTGGGCATTCTTCTTTTTTCTACACACAAGCTATTACCATATGTATCCTCTTCCACTCCCTGGAATTTAACAGAGTACATGTATTGATGCTGTCAACATAAACACCTCCAGCCCTGAACTCACCGTGAGTCTCTTAAATTCCCTTGGCCTTCTGATTGTTCCACATAAATGTCAATAAATCATTTCCAACCACTCACTTCAAATAATTTCCTCCCACAATTTTCCCTATCTCAATAAACACCACCACCATCCACTTATTTGTCAAGACAAAATCCTTAGGAATAAGCTTGATTATTCTATCCCCTTTACAGTAATCCATTAACAAGCTGAGCAAAATACATGCCGAGTCTGTCCACTTCATCTTTTTCACTGTCTTTATCACTAATACACACCAGGAAGCCACGAACTGTTTTCCCTGAGGATTCCCTGCGGTGCTCCTAATAGGCTTCCTGACCACTTGTGAATCCCAGCAGTCCAATCCCCCACAGAGTAGCTTGAATTAGTTTAAAAAATTGAATATAAATTGACTCTCCCTGTAACCATGCAGTAGCTTCCCATATCTGTTTAAATAAAATTAAAATTTCTTACTATGTGCATCAGGGCCTAATATGATGAGGCTCCTGACTTCCTCTCTGCATCCTACCTCATCTTCTGCCTCTCCATTTCCTTGCTTCCTATACATCAGTCCTTCTAGCCTTCTTTCTGTCCCTGCACATAATTTCCCCCACCAGGGTTTTCCCCCCATTGTGTCTCTCTGGAACATTCGACCCTTAGATCTTCACATGGCTGTTTACTTATTTTGTTGTCTCAGCTGAATGTCACTTTCTCAGGTACAGCTGCCTAAGCATATGAACCAAAGTTGGGTGGATCCAATTCTCTCTTTCCATAAACCTGATGTCTTTTCTTCAGTGCTGGTGCTGACATTTTACGAATTTGACTAAAGTGTAGAAACTTTACCTCCTTTATATCCCTTTCCACTTCTGCATGTGTAATATATATTTTTTATTTTCTCTACTTGCATCAAAACCACATCTGTCAATGTTGTAATTTTTGCCTCAACCATCAAATTAATTTACAAAACTGAAGAAGTCTGTTGTATCTAACCATATTTTTACTCATTTATTGTTTACTTTTTTCCCGATTGTCCAAGATTTCTTCCATTATCATTTCTATTCCAGTTCAAGCACTTCCTTTAGCCCTTGTTTTAACATAAATCTGCTAGCATGAAAGTCTCTTGATTTTCCTTCCTCTAAGTATGTCATGGCTAGGCGCGGTGGCTCACGCCTGTAAGCCCAGCAATTTGGAAGGCCAAGGCAGGCGGATCCCATGAGCTCAGGAATTCGAGACCAGCCTGGGCAACATGGCAAAACCCTGTCTCTGCCAAAAATACAAAAAATTAGCCAGGCGTTGGGGTGTGTGTCTGTAATTCCAGCTACTCAGGAGGCTGAGGTGTGATGATCACATAAGCCTGGGAGGCAGAGGCTGCAGTGAGCCGTGGTTGCGCCACTGCCCTCCAGCCTGGGTGACAGAGCAAGACTCCATCTGAAAAACAAAACAAAAAGAAAAAAGAAAAAAAAGAATGTCATGATAGAAGATTTTATAATAATGTTTTTACTGGATATACATTCTAGGTTAACGTTCCTTTCAGCCATTAAAACATCTTGTGCCACTTCTGTCTGGTCTGCATGATTTCTAATGAGCAATCCACTGTCATTTAATTTATTTTCTCCTGTGCATGAGATGTCATTTCTCTCTTGTTGCTTTCGAGATTTTTTTTGGCATAAATTTCTTTGGATTTCTTTTCTTTTGGGTTTGCACAGATTCTTGAATTTTTACATTTAAGTCTTTGTCCAGATTTGGAAAATAGTCAATCTTCCTTCAAACACTCTTTGGGCATCACCCATTTGTCATCTCCTTCTAAGACTCCAGTGACACAAATTTCATACCTTTTATTATAGTCTTACAGATTTATCAGCATGAAATAATACTAAATATTATGAATAACTTTACAAAAATAAATGTGCATGTAATACATTATTCAAAATGTACAATGTACTGTGCATGTAATGAATAAATTATTCAAAATGTACAATGTACTGTGCATGTAATGAATAAATTATTCAAAATGTACAATGTACTGAAGCTGACAAATAACATAAGACAGAAAGAGTTCCACATCTCATAGAGAAAGTAAGTCCATTCTATGAAGCTTTCCCAAGACAAAACCCCAGGTTCATCTAGCTTCTGTAACTATTTTTAAATATTTAAGAAGCAAACAACACTAACTTTATACAAACTTCAAACATATTTGAAAAAAGGAAAAGCACTTGCAATTATGTTTGATGAGACCTGTGTAAACTTTACTTCAAGACCTGAAGGGAACTCTACAACAAATAGGAATTAAGAGACCAATAACTCTTATAAGGTAAGTTCTTAAGAAAACATTAGCCAAGTGAATTCAGTGATATAAAAGATGGCTACTACATCATGACCAAGTGGAGGTTATTCCAGAAATGCAAGGTTGTTTGAGCATTTGAGAATCCATTAGTGTGATTCACGACATTAACTGAAGGAAGGAGAATACACATGCAACCACCTGGATAGAGTCGTGAAATACGATTTGACAGAATTGAGCACTTGGCCTTAATTTTGAAAAAACCTGTTTTCAAACTTGTATTAAAAAGATATTTCTCCAATCTGAGAAATGATAGCTACCCAATTGCACACATTAGTCTCAGCAGTGAAATATTGAAAACTATCTCCTTCATATCAGGAGTACTAGAGGAGTTAGGCAATAATAATGGCAAGAAAAATATATCAAAGAGATAATAATTGCATCCAGGTAAAATGGTCATTATTTACTCTTGACATAATCAGGTACTTAGAAAATAAAAACAATAGACAAGCTCACAGATTTAATAAGTGAATTTAAATAATGTTGCTGATTACAAAGTCAGTATACATTAAACCAATTATGTTACTGATATAGTTTGGATGCTTGTGCCCTCCAGATCTCATGTTAAAATGTAACCTCCATTGTTGGAGGTGAGGCCTGGTGAGAGGTATTTTGGTCGGGGGGCAGATCCTTCATCAATGGCTTGGTGCCATCCTAGCTGTAATGAGTGAGTTCTCACTCAGTTCACATGAGACCTGGTTTTTTAAAGGACTGCAACTGTTCCCCAACTTTCTCTGTGCTCCTGCTCTCACCATGTGATATGCAGGACCCCCTTTCCTTCCCCCATGATTGTTATTTTCCTGAGGCCCTCACCAGAAGCAATTGCCAGCACCACACCTCCTGTAGAGCCTGCAGAACCCTGAGCCAGTGAAACCTCCTTTCTTTATGAATTACCCAGCCTCAGGTATTTCTTTCTGGAAATGTAGGAATGGACTAACATAATTATGCTCTATCATAAACAAATAGAAAACAAAACCAAGAAAATAATTTTATCAATTTCTTCACCTCTTTGCTTTTTCTTCTACTTTTTTCAACTTAAATTTGCTTCTTTTTATTATTAAGTTAAAATTTTACCCCTTTGATTTTTACATATTTATCCTTTTATAATACAGGCATTTAAAACTAAATATTTTTCTCTAAGGACTGCCTTGGTTGCATCTCGAAAATTTTTAAAATTCATTTTAGTATTATTTTATTTAAAATTATTTTCTAATTTCCTTCTGATTTCCTCTTTGACAAGCCATAGATTATTTAGAAATGTATTATTTTACTTCCAAAAATTTAGGCCGTTTTCTCAATCCTACTAATTTGTAATTTCATAAGATTGTGTTCAGAGAATATACTCTGTATGATTTTATTCTTGTGAAAGTAATTGAGACTAGTTTTATAGTCACAGTATTTGTTCTATTTCATGGATTATCTTTGTGCAACGTAAATAAGTAAATATTCTGTAGTTATCAGATGTTGTCAATTTATGTTAATTATAAATGCCAACTAAGTCAAGAAGGTGGAAAGTATTGTTCCTATCTTGATTTCCTTCCTGATCTTTGCACGAAGCTACAGAGATATTTGTTGTCTTCCATCTACCTCCCTAGTTCCCACAGCACCAGCATGAAGTCAGAAAAAGTTCTGGAAGGAGAATCAGCTGACAGGGCAAAGTAGATATATATTATTCAGGGGGCCTCTATAGATTGTAATGCATCACACAAACCCACAGGGCTATTGACAACTCAGCTGGTTTATCCTTACTCCCTCACAATCTCCCTTTCTCAGCCAGGCTCAATCTTCTTCCCATGTTAAGATTCAGTAGATGACCAAAGAATAAGAGTGGACACTTGACCCTGCTCGCCTATGTGGAATTTGTTCATCTCTGGAATTTGGAATTTTTATACTTTTTGATCCACAGCTGGTTAAAATTTTTAAAATAAGATTATTTTCCAGTTTATCCATTTAGTTTAGTCTATATATCTGTTTGCTCTTATAGTAATAGTGACAATTCTCGTAATTTTCCACCTCCTAACTGGCATTATGGTTTATGATTTTTTTCCAATCCATGTTGATAGTCCTACATAATTTACTTAAAGCCCTGAATATTATTCCTTTCTGTGGTTATACCACAGTTTACCTTTTCTCTATCTAAATGTAGATAGTGTTTCTTTTCTCCCCTGTTACATTTTTTATATGTCATCATGGACATATGAGGAAAAATTCACCGAGACTGTAACAACCTAGAGTGGAAATACTGTATTATTCAAACTACTCAAAGGGTTACACCAATATATGCTCACAGTGCCCCACACAGCACCAAATGTCATCCTGCAGTGTGCTGTCACTTCACATGCTCCATAGTTTTTAGGATGTACAAAATTTTTATAATCAAGACAAATTAATCAGTTTTTCTTTTTGAATTTGGAAATGTTTTTGTTATTCCAAACCGTGGCTCAACAAACGACCAATTTTATGTCTCGTTGGGCTCATGTAGGATTGTTCTTTAAGACGGATGTTTACAACGGGATTTTTGTTGTTTTCATCAAGCGCGTAACAATTGTATTTTGAGTTTTAATAGATACTACTACACTGTTATAACTTAAAATCCTAATAATATGGGAGAGTCTATTCCCTTAGAATCTTCTAAATCCTTGAGGTTAAAACAAACTATTGTACTTGCCAATTTTGGAGTAGGAGAAATAGTTTATTACATTGCTGTTCGAATTTGGCTTTTTCTCTTCATTGGTGAGTTTGAGCAAATATATATATATTTATCGACTATTAGGATATTCTCTTCTATAGTGAGTCTATATCCTTTGCCCAATTGTCTATGGCATTTCCATGAATTTATTGATTGATTAGTTAACAATTTTTCATAAGAAAGCCCATTGTCTGCCTTATGTGATCAAAATTTTTCCTGAGCATCATATACTTCTTTTAATTTTGTTATTTTCTTCATGCAAAGAAATCAGTAATTTTCTTCAAATATTTTTTCATTTGTGTCTTCTGGATTTTGTCTTGCTTATGAAGTCTTATTTTTTTAAAAAGGATTATTTTAACAGATTTACTAAAGCATAACTTTCATACTACAAAATTCACTCATTGTACATGTAAAATTGAATAATTTGAGTAAATTAATAGATTTGTGCAATTATCACAACAATTTAGTTTTAGAACATTTCTGTCATGTCCCAAATTTCTCTATTTATAGTTAAGTCCCACTGAGACCCCAAACCCTAGGCACCCAATGATCTGCTTTTTGTGTCTATAAATTTACCTTTTCTAGATATTTCAAGTAAATGAAATCATACAACATGTAATCTTTTGTATCCAATTTCCTTCACTTAGTTAACACTATTGAAGTTCACTAGTTTTGTAGTATGTATCATCATTTTGTTTTCTTTTCATTTCTTTTTGTCTTTTTTCATTTGTGCAAATGCAAAAGGTACAAGTGTAGTTTTGGTACATGCATAGATTGCATAGTGGTGACGTTAGTGTTTCTACAGTATCCATTACCCAAATCACATGCATTGTACCCATTAAGTAATCTCATCATCTAGGGTGCAAGGGTTGAAATTTGCCTTGGGAAAACTACCCTCATGTTTATGGTATCTCCCCTGCCAGATAAGTCTATTTTTGTCCCCTTTTATTGTTGAATGATATTGCCTTGCCTGGATGTAGTTGAATTTTGTTTATCTATTTACTAGTTGAAGGATATCTGGATTGTTTTCAGTTTTGGCCTGCTATGGCTAAGGCTGTTCTGAACCCTTGAACACATATCTATGTGAGGACATATGTTTTTATGTCTCTTAGGTAGATTCCAAGGAGTGAAATTGCTAGGTCATAGGGCAAACATATGTTAAACTTTTTAAGAAATTGCCAAATTACCAGGTATTTGTAGACTCATACACTCCCACCAGCAACACATAAGGAATTAGAAAGTCTATTTGTCTTCAAACATAATTATAATGATGATGATAGTATTAGAAATAGCATCTGTCTTATGAACTTTATATTTTCTCTTTATGTTTCAAGTTTTATTTATCCAGGATCTATTTAGTGAAAGAAATGAATTTGGAATTCAACTTACCAAAAACTGAAACTAAATCTCAGCTCTTTCTGTTTCTATTTCTAGACTCTGTTTTGCTAGCATATATAATTTTAAAAAATCAGTAACAAATGCATTTTTAAAAGTAAATGTATGGTATGTTTTAGCACCTTATAGAGCTAATCATTCCTTATTCTACTTTTTTTCAATATTTTCCCTGGAAAATATATTTACCTCATAAAATAACATGTCAGCATACTTAACTGAGTTGTACAAACAATCAATCCTGTTTGCTTGCTTTTTTTTATTGTAATTGAGTTAATGGCTGACATTTAATAACTCTATGTGTGTGTATGTATACACACCTATATATACATATATGTATATATGTACATATATACGTGTGTGTGTGTGTATATATATATATGTATACATATAAAGACCCAAAACCCTGAATTGAGGGTGCCTATCAGGAATCTATAGGCTTTCATGTGGAAGTTAACTCAAATACTTACAACCTGATAGTACCACAATCTATCATTTCCCTACCCGGAAATCAATCTCTGCTACTCCATCCACCATTTCTTTATTTTTTAAAATACATGATTTTGCTCCTTTTCTTCCCATGTGCCTCAGGCCCACTCTGCAAAGGTTGAATCCTGGCTTGTCTGAGCCCATGTGATCCCACGGTCATTCCAATGTGTGAGAAAGTGGGTACTGGGAACACTCTGGAAACAGTTTAGTTGCTCCTTATAAAGGCACACAGGAGAAAGGAGTATCCTTTTCCTGCCTTTGGGAGTTGTTGTGAAAGAATAACAAACCTAAAGCTGCTGCAGGGGTCACCCTACCATCTCAGGAAAGCTGACATACTGTGTGTGATAGAGAGATGAGCTATGAAGTTCCAGGGTCGCTGGTGATGCCACTGGCCTGCTGAGTTGAGCAACTCTGGAGATGCCCAGCCTTGGATCTATCGGCTATGTGAGATAACGGGTTAAAGAAAAATAAAGCCACTAGATGGGATTTCCTGCTATTAGCAGCAGAACGCATCTTCATTGAAATATTCATTCCACACATTTTGGTTCTACCTTGAAATTCCACACCACAAGTCTCATATAAAATGAGAAAATCATTTCCTCAACTTAGGAAATGAGGCCTATTTGTTGCAACTCTGTGATCAAACAGAACAGACATAATTATCAGCTTAATATATTTCTATAGGATTTATACTCTTACAGGATTTATATGCACTTGTACTGCTACGTATGTACAAGTAACATATAACTAAAAATAAGATATGCATAAAAACAACTTTTAATTTGATTGAAAATAAAATAACAGTCGTCTCTGACAGTGGAGAAATTATGCTCAAATGATTATTAATTTGAAATAGACCTCTGAATTATGTACTTTTAGATTTGACATTTCATACTGACTCTCAGATAGAACATAACGGAGAACTCTCCATCTTCTAAATGTGTCTTTCTCTGAAATCTGTACAAGTCCTTTGATAACACTGTATTATTGAAGTCTCTGGAGTGAAACACTATACACTAATTTACAGTTATAAATACAAAATATTGTAGACGAGATGAAGAAAGAGTTCTGATTGACTTGCTGGCTGGTTTCTCATCTCATGTTTGCCCAGTTTGTTTCAGTTGTTATAGTCTGTTCTCAGTTTTTATGCATTGCCTTTTTAAATGTTAGGATTACTTTTTTAATTGACAAGTAAAAATTGTATAGTATATTTATGTTGTACAGCATGAAGTTTTGATATATGGCTATAGTGTGGAATGTCTAAATCCAGCTATTTAACATACGCATTACCTCACACACTCATGACATATACATGAAAATCATTATTCTATTGGAAAATAATCTTCCCTTTTTCTTTTCATTTTCTGTCTTTGGAGCCAAATGGACCAGATGATATTTAACTCCATCTTTGAGAAACATTTAATAATGTAATGTGTTTGTCATACAGGGTGAATACAGATGCACGGGAGGCCATACGGTTTAGGCAAAGGGGAGCACAAAAGTTGAAGATGAGGCGCTGCCATCAATGCTGGGACTTCAGGCCAAGGGCAGGAGCTGAGGAAGCCACAAGGGAGGACATTTTCTGCAGTTGCCGAACCAGTAGCAACCAGGTCCTGAGAAAGCCCTCTCTTGTGGAAGAATAACTGCCAAGCAGGAAAGCTTTTCATCCTGCAAAGCCGGGGCAGAAAGTTCTTCCTTGAATGTGGTCATCTGCATTTCAGCTCAGGAATCCTGCAAAAGACAGAGGAGAGTGTTGTTTTCAACCTGGCTCTACTAACAGTTTCTTTTCCCCTCTTTCAAGGGCTCAGATGAGAGCACTGCAGGAAGAAGAAAAAGAAGTTCCTGAGTCTCCCCTGAGCCAATAGTCCCGCAGAGCACACCTTTTCTAAGTGGAGAGGAGGAATTTTGGTGTAAATTGCCTGATCAGAAATTTGGATCCAAAGTCTTTCCTATTATTTCTGTCTCATGCCTTATCACCTCTACCATCATTCTGGTGTGTCCTGAGTTTGTTCCTTCCGGTGGGTTTGTGGTCTCGCTGACTTCCTGCAGACCTTCACAGTGAGTGTTACAGCTCTTAAAGGCGGCAGGGATCCAAAGAGTGGGCAGCAGCAAGATTTATTGTGAAGATCAAAAGAACAAAACTTCCACAGCAGGGAAGAGGACCTGAGTGGGTTGCCACTGCTGGTTGGGGTGGCCAGCTTTTATTCCTGTATTTGTCCCTGCCCATGTCCTGCAGATTGGTCCATTTTAAAGAGTGCTGATTGGTCCATTTTAAAGAGTGGTGATTGGCCCATTTTAAAAGTGCTGATTGGTCCATTTTAAAGAGTGCTGATTGGTCTATTTTACAGAGTGCGAATTGGTCCATTTTACAAACATCCAGCTAGCCACAGAGAACCTATTGGTGTGTTTTTACAAAGCACTGATTGGTGCATTTAGAAACCTCTTGTAGGCCGGGCGCGGTGGCTCACGCCTGTAATCCCAGCACTTTGGGAGGCCGAGGCGGGCGGATCACGAGGTCAGGAGATCGAGACCATCCTGGCTAAAACGGTGAAACCCCGTCTCTACTAAAAATACAAAAAATTAGCCGGGCGTAGTGGCGGGCGCCTGTAGTCCCAGCTACTTGGGAGGCTGAGGCAGGAGAATGGCGTGAACCCGGGAGGCGGAGCTTGCAGTGAGCCGAGATCCCGCCACTGCACTCCAGCCTGGGCGACAGAGCGAGACTCCGTCTCAAAAAAAAAAAAAAAAAAAAAAACAAAAAAAAACCTCTTGTAAGAAAAGTTCTCCAAGTCCCCACCCCACCCAGAAGTCCAGCTGGCTTCACCTCTCACTAGGGAAACTGTGTCTGTTTCTAAAAGAGGATTAAAAGGTATTACCTGTTGGCTGAAGTCCAGAGTGTCCTGGGAAAAAGAGGAAAAGATATACACTTAAAAGTTATTGAAGCAAATCTGTCCTCCAACACAATGTCCCAGCCCCAGATCTCCCACCTGAGATTTCTCTAACACCACAACCCACACCAACCAGGGCAGAAAGGAGCAGAAACAGACCATGTGACCCATGAAGCCTGAAGTGTCTGTCACAGGATCCAGTGTAATTCCATTAGCCTTAGTGGCTCTTCCTTAATTTGCTCCAGGATCTCAAACCAAAGGACCCCTACTTGTTAACCTTCCTCTCGTCTCTGCAGGCCACAAGCTATTATGCTTTCACATAGTAACCATGCACTGATGATTTCTGGATTAGCAGGACATTAGAGCCGTTTGGGGAAAGAAAGGCTTTATTCAGGGCCACTCATATACTGAGAACTAACCTCAGCAAAGCCATAGTTCCTCCTCCAGAAAAGCCTATGGAGAGAGCCAGCTCCCAAAGGCTCCTCACCTTTCTGATTCCTGAAGTAGATGAACAGCCCGGCCCCAAGGAAGAGCAGGCCCAGCACAAAGCCCCCGACTCCACTCAGCATCTTGCTCTGTGCAGATTCAGACCGTGCTCCTGAGAGAGGAAGCCAGGTTTAGTGATGTTTATTCCAAATTGAACCTTTTTACTTGAGACTCTAAGATTTAGAGCTTTGAAAATGGGGCAGAAAGCTGCCTCACAAGAACTAAAATAACTAGCCATTTCAGGAGAAAAAAAGGATTTCAAATTACACTGAACAGTTACGACGTTCAGACATCAAACTCATTCAAATATTACAGCCTTGATGTAAGGCACAAGTTCAACATCTGATCCACAGAAAGCCTGAGACTCAATGAGGATAAGTAGTTTGTCTAGAGTGACAAAGCTAATAAAAAGCAGGGCTGAGATTGGACTCCCCTCATGTCAGGTAGGCCCCTACACTTCTCCTCTTCCCAGATCACAAAAAATAACTCAGAGCAACAGCACCAGAAACTCAGTCTCAGACCCAGAGGCAGGGCCTGGAGCCTGGGAGAGTGGGTGACCCTGACCTGCAAAATCATGGGGAGGTTCAAAAGAGGGACAGTCTCTCCCGCCTGGCAGGCGAGACTGCTTCTCCAGGAGGTACAGGTGTTTCTAGAAACACCTACAGGGCTACCCCCAGTGACCTGTGCTGATGGAGATGAGAACATGGAGCAAATTAAAATAGGATGTGGGAGAGGAGGAACCTGACACTCAGGGATTAGCACGGTCCCCTTCTTAGTGGGTGAGAAATTTAGGAAGTCAGAAAGCTGCTCACTCCATTCCACTGTGAGAGGGCTTGTCACGCTTGGGTGCTCCACTTGGCAGGTGTAAACCTCTCCACTTCGAGGAACTGTTTCCAGCATCACCAGGGTCTGGAAGGTCCAGTCTCCATTCTGGATCAGGCCTGTGGACACCATCCCAGCCTTCTCTTCCTGGCCGTTCAGGAACCACCTGACTTCAATGCTGCCTGGATAGAAACCACTCACAGAGCAGACCAGGAGGTTGTGGTGCTGCAGGGGCTGGGTCTTTGAAGGATATACAGTCACCTTAGGTTGGACTAGGAGAAAAACAACGTAGAGGGAATGAGTCAGGAAGACAGAGTAAGTCTCCTGGTTTGGCTGTGTGTCTGCTTCTCTGCAAACCCAGGCTCTGGCCTTGACCAGGCCTATAGCACAGCTGGCCATGTGACCTTACAGTGTCATCAGCCTGGAATTTAATCTTGACAGTGAGGACCCATTAGATTTGAGAGGTGTTGTGAAAAATTGTGTTTGTTTCTTCATAGTTTTAAATCGGCATGCATTGTCAAACTGTTTACAAATCTTGGAAAGTACAGAGTGTAGTAATTAAAACTGATATTTGAGCCAGGTTGCCTGGTTCGAATCCAAGGTCTGCCTTTTACTGGTTGATCCTGGAAGAGTTTTTTGATTCTTCTGTGTCTCAACTTTGTCACCTACAATGAAGGATAATTATACTAATTTACCTCTTGGGGTTATATGAGGATTAATGCACGTAAAATATATAAAACAATGACTGAAGATAGCCTTCAGTTTATGAGGTCAGAAAGCTTCTCACTCCATTCCACTGTGAGGGCACTCATCACACTTGAGTGCTCCACTTGGCACCTATTTATCATCCTTGTACACCTTGACAGAAAAATATGATTTAAAGCAATATGCATAGATAAAGGGACAGAGTTGGGTACATGAGGAAACCAAGTATGAATTTTAGGAATACTACTCCCATGCACTCACACCTTAGAACACAACAGAAATTGTTCTGCCCCTGGGAAGGTGGGACAGACAGAAATGATTCTCCAAATTTTTACTTTCCTAGAAAAGCATGAGTCCTGAAGCAGAGAGAAGGATTAGGGAACGTCATTTAAGTTTTGAAAGTTCTTATATTTACATTTAGCTGATCAATGCATCTCCCGTGCAACACAAGCATAATTATTATTAGGCCTATCATTGTAAAATGATTTTTCTTTCCAGAATCACATTTGGATTAAGGCAGTGTCTGGGACTCGTTACTTGGGGTGCTTATGCCCAGGAAAATCCCCGACACTAGCATACTCTCAATAAATACAACTATTTTTTTAGAAGTAAGGAGAAACCTGGAGACAACAATGCCACAAAATGGCAGATTTCAGATGGATTGTAGATCATTAATAAAAATGTTGCAATATATTTTATTAAATAAAAATGTTCAAATTCTTAACATGGAAAAGAATTTTCAAAATCCACATACAAACCACAAACTGGAGCAAATGCTGGATCAAATATCAATAAAGTGTTAATAATCTTATAGTACAAAGAACGCAGAAAGTCACTGAGAAAAATACTAAGCCCTCAAGATATTAGACCGTAGATCATTGTCCATTACCTACCAAATACAATAGGGAATTCTTAGAGCAATAATTATAATCGGCCAATAAATAGGGCAAAATAATTCAAAGGAATTACAAATAAAAAATATAAATTAAAAATTAACCAGAAACACACAATTTCAACTTCTGGTGAATGTCATAATAAAGGTCAACAAACGGGAAAGTGAGGTGAGTTGTGTCACAAATATTATATATAAAAGAATAATATGTAACTACTAGAAAACTACCAGCATTATAATAAAATAGTAACCGTGTCAAAACTTTAATTCAAAAAGTTAGTTTCACAGTCATTTCTACTATGTAAAAATATACACACTGAAAAAAACAAAAAACTAGGAAGAAATTTAGATCTAAAGAAGCTTCAGAGGTGCCTCAGAGGTCTACTCAGTTCCTCTAGAAATTAATCTATTGCTTTTACAAACAAACAGCACACACTTTTAATTCAGAGATTACACGAAGGGTGTATGCCAGGGAGAGTCTGGAACTGGCCTCCTCACATTATCCCAAACCTGCCTTACCCCTCAGCAGTCCTCCCCTAAACCTTCACCCCAACCACACACACCTTACATTTCCCTTCCCTGCATCTCTAAGGACCGAGATAATCAAGGTCTCCTCTCTCTCCAGCCCCCAGCACCCACCTCCCTTGTCACCTCCCCACAGAGGTCTCCAAGGATAAGAAACAGCCCCCTCCTGCCTCCCCTCCCACAACAGACACACAGACACAGACAAATCCACACTTTACACACACACCTGTGCTCTCAGAACTGCTTGCTCCGGACTGAGAGGATTCTAAATGCTCACAGATGGCGCTCTCTCTCTCTCTTCCTCTCTCTGTCTCTCTCTGTCTCTCTCTCACACACACACACACACACACACACACACACACACACACACTCAGATTCCCAGCTCACGGGGACTCAGGCCCCGCCCGCGGCCATGCTCACCTCGCCGCTGCACTGTGAAGCTCTCCACAACCCCGTAGTTGTGTCTGCAGTAGGTGTCCACCGCGGCCCGCGCCTGCTCCAGGATGTCCTTCTGGCTGTTCCAGTACTCAGCGTCAGGCCGCCCCAGCTCCGTCACCGCCCGGAACTCCCCCACGTCGCTGTCGAAGCGCACGGACTCCTCCTGGTTATAGAAGTATCTGTCCAGGAACCGCACCCGCTCCGTCCCATTGAAGAAATGACACTCCCTCTTAGGCTGCCACAGGAAACGTGCTGTGGGGACACGAACCATCCGGTCACAGGGCGGCCTCCTGAGAAGACACGGACAGCGACGCCACCATCCGGGGCTCCCTGAGCGGGGTGCGGGCGCTGGAACCTTAACCGGCCCCACCCGCAACGCCCACCACCTGCAGCCCAGGAGCTCATCCTCCGTCTTCCTGAGGCGAACGGGGGCCTGGGGGACCATGCGGGAAAACCCCTTCTCATCCCCAGGCTTTTGGGACCCCCTCCCTGCCTCCAGCCTGTTCTGGAGACCTCCAAGCAGGAGCTGGAGGAGGATCCGCCCAGCACCGCAGCCCGCGCCGCCTCCTCCTGGGAGCCCCAAAGACACTCTCTGCTCCTCTCATCCCACACGCTTTACCGGTACCTTCAACAGCACCCACCGCGTTCACCCTGTGAACACTTCCTTAGTGATGACCTTGTGCCAGGCCTGCGCTGCCTCTAGGAATCCAAACGAGGGAAAACAGACCTCTCCACTCCTCTGGGGGAGCTTAAAGAGCAGTGAAAGCGATGGCCAAAAACCAAACACACAAGAGCTTAGACAGCAATGAGAAATATCAGAAGTGTGGCGTTCTAGAGCAGAGAATAATAGAAGATTCCCAGTTAAATTTGGATTTCCAATAAATTATGGTTGTGTATCTGAAATTCAGATTTCACTAGGAACCTGTATTTTATTTGTAACTCTAGCCCAACTTGCTAGTCAAACCTCAGAAGAAGGAGTGATTTAATACTTCCTTGTGTTCTTGAACACATGCCCAGATAGACATATACAACGTTTAAAATGATAAATGCAAAATGAATGAAAGTTTCTCCTATACATCAGAACTAGCAGCCCTTGCATTTCTGTCCCCACTCTAAGAAACAGCCTGGTACATATGAATATCAGAAATTGTGTCAATAATTCAGACACAATATAGTCACTACTCACTAATGATGGTCAAACTCTCAAACTCTATAATCAGAAAACCTGAATAAAAACACGATCTCTTCTACTTGGGTCAATTTTTACCAACCATAAGCCTTTTTGTAATCTATCAAATGCATTTAATAATAGCGTAATCCTCACAGGATTACCGTTAAGTGTAAAATTAAATGATGACACTTCTTAGCACTGATCACATAATAAACACTCGAATACATTCCCATTTTAACTTTTCTGATCCTATAACTGCAGCTCATATTATTTTTTGTATTCCTTAATTCTAAAGCAATTAGTATCTTCATCATGATTTTGCAATTGTCTTCTGTTCTTCTATTAGTTTCATAAAGAATTGTCATTCTGAAGACATAGGGCAGAAACACTGGTTTATGTCAAATAATGCAGTATACCTAAACCTCACACAAAAAGCATCTGCTGACATAGAAGAAACGGACTTTCTATATGCTCAGATTTAAACTGCAATCTGATTTCCAGCACTAAATTTGTAATACTGGGTGTTACTTATAACCTCTCAATTTTAGATTCCAGAGATGTATATGTTTTTAAATACCACAGATACAACAGGATCATTATTGAAATTGAATACTGAAATTCATAGGCCTGATACACAGTCATTGCAAAATGTTACATGGCATATAGTGATGGCGACTGGATTCATTTTATTTATCACTCCATTCTCATGACCTAGAGTAATAACTGGTATATGCTATGTCACTAATAAATATTGGCTGTGTGAAATACTGGCTGTGTTAAATATTGGCTGTGTGACATTTTGCATGAGTAGTCACCACTGCACACAGGGGCTCTCCGTATTTCCTCGCTAATAATGACTGAGCATCTCTGGTTCACAGGTCCTCCTCCTTCTCTTCAGCTTCTTTAGCCTTTTCCTTTAGGTTCAGCTGGCTCCCTGAACCCAGAGAACAATCCTTCCCTGAAGCTCTCTACTCAAAACAGTCAACCTTAACCTCGTCCTCACTTTTACTCACTCTTCAAATGGTCCAATCCAGTTTCCTACCTGGATGCTCCATTGACTGCAAATATCGACTCCACCAAACCCAGCACTTGCTTCTCTATCATATTCTCACTTGCCCCTCCTCTTAGTGGTACTCACCACAATTGGCCTCTCCCTTCTCCTTGAAAATAATCTATTTTCCTGGACTTACACACATGATGTTCTCTTGGTTTTTCTCCAGCATCCTTGGGCTCTTTCTCAGCCCCCTTTGCTGGCCTGTGCCCTGTTCTTTTTTCTTCACACAATCCATCTCCCTATGTATCCTCTTCCACGCCCTGGAATTTAACACACTACACGTATTGCTGCTGCCAACATAAATACCTGAAGCCCTGGCCTCACCATGAGTCTCTTAAATGCCATTGACCTTCGGATTTCTCCACATAAATGTCAATCAATCATCTCATATTTAAACAAAACTTTTATTTCAAACCACCCACTTCAAATCATTTCCTCCCATAGTTTTTCCTATCTCAATAAACAACACTACCACCCATTTATTTGTCAAAAGAAAATCCTTAGGAATAAGCTTGATTGTTCTACCCCCTTTACAGTAATTCATTAACAAGCTAAGCAAAAATACATGCCAAGTCTGTCCACTTTATCTTTTTCACCATCTTTATCACTAATGCACTCCATGAAGCCACAAACCTGTTTTCCCTGAAGAATTCCCTGCTGTGCTCCTAAATAGTCTTCCTAACCACTAGTGAACCCCAACAATCCAATCCCCACAGAGTAGCTAGAATTAGTTTTAAACATTGAATATAGGCCGGGCGCAGTGGCTCACGCCTGTAATCCCAGCACTTTGGGAGGCCAAGGCGGGCGGATCACGAGGTCAGGAGATCGAGACCATCCTGGCTAACACGGTGAAACCCTATCCCTACTAAAAATACAAAAAATTAGCCAGGTGTGGTGGCATGCGCCTGTGGCCCCAGCTAATCGGGAGGCTGAGGCAGGAGAATCGCTTGAACCCAGGAGGCGGAGGTTGCAGTGAGCCGAGATTGTGCCACAGCAATCTAGCCTGGGCAACAGAGAGAGACTCCATCACAAAATAAAATAAAATAAACAAACAAATAAATAAATAATAAAATTTAATTTTTTTTTACTGTGGACATCAGAGCCTATAATGATGAGGCTCCTGAATTCCTCTCTGTGTCCTACCCTCATCTTCTGCCTCTCCATTTCCTTGCTTTCTATACATCAGCCCCTCTAGCTTTCTTTCTCTCCCTCCACATAATTTAACACATCAGGGCTTTCCCCCGATTCGGTCTCCCTGGAACTTTCATCCCTTAGATCTTCACGACTGTCTACTTATTTTGTTGTCTCAGCTGAATGTCACTTTCTCAGGTGGAGCTCCCTAACATATGAACTAAAGTAGGTGAATCCATGTCTCTCTTTTTCACAAACCTGATGTCTTTTCTTCAGTGCACTATGACTCTCTAACATTATCTTCTTTGTTAAATGCTTATTGGGTTAGTGTCTGTCTCCTCTACTCTTGTGTAACTTCCATGAGAGTAGGGACGCTCTCTAACTTAATCAAATAGAATGATTTGAACCTAGAATGG
Organism: Homo sapiens; assembly: GCF_000001405.40. Taxonomy (NCBI): domain Eukaryota; kingdom Metazoa; phylum Chordata; class Mammalia; order Primates; family Hominidae; genus Homo; species Homo sapiens. Next base: position 32,587,899 of record NC_000006.12, read on the forward strand.
AGCCCAGTAAAGAGTAGCTGCTGAGAAAAATAAGTGTGGTTTACATGAATAAACCAGGGTATGGGAACTGATCACTGTAGGGATCCTGGAAAGCAAGAAGGGGCTCAAGCTCCAGCACTCTTTCATTTTAATGTCACACTAGACCCCTTCTCCTCCCAGTGATAAATACAGGCAAACTTCTTTTTTCTCCTCCTTCTAGTTGGAAGAAGAATTCACAGATAAAGAAACAGTGATTTAAGAAAAAGGAAATTTTTTTATTAAGAGTCATCTCTTTTGCCTGGGCACAGTGTCTCACATCTATAATCCTAGCATGTTGGGAGGCCAAGGCAGGAGGATTGCTTGAGTCCAGCAGTTCAAGACCAGCCTGGGCAACATGGCAAAATCTCATGTCTACCAAAATTACAAAAATTAGCTGGGCGTGGTTGCCTGCCTGTATTCCCAGCTACTCTGGAGCCTGAGGAGGGAGGATCACTTGAGCATAAGTGGCAGAGGTTGCAGTGAGCCTCGATCACACCACTGAGCTATAGACTGGGTGACAGAGCCAGGCCCTACCTCAAAAAGAGAAAAAAAGTCTCTTTCAATGAATCTCATAGTGCTAAGGTTCTGTGCAAGCTTTAGAGATTTCTGGAAATGATGACAACATAGCTGGGGAAAAATAGAAACTGGAGGAAGAGGTAAGCAGACATGGCTAGTTAAGGAAAGCTGAGGGCATGATGGGTGAACCTAGGAAATTTAGGACAAGACCCCAGTAAGACAATGAGTTCCCAAGACTTGCCCATTGACTTTCAGCCCTATGAGACGTGAACAATGTTCACATCATCTCGGTAACCCCACACAGAGTATATAGTTTGAACATTATTAAATTTCTGATAGTTGATTATTTTTGACTTAAAAAATAGAATTTCATATAATTTATACATTAGTTAAATCTCTTCTGTCATGTCTAGTTAGAGCACATAGGAGATGCAAGAGAAACAAGTACAGAAAGGTTAAAAAAGATTCATAATGAACACGAACCTGGGCTAGTTTTTCAGAGGATGCCTTAAGTTCTTTAGGCACCAAAGAATACCTCATAAATGCTCTGTATCTGTAAGGTGACTCCAAGTATTAACAATCTCAGCTTCAGTTCCAGGGACTTTTCCCCACAAGAAAGGAAGAGCACTAAGTATAACTTCTGTCAGAGAACCTACATACACTACAGGGATACAGGCCTTATAAACATTGGAGTTCAGCAAGAAAAGAAAGGAGATAATGGGGAGGCCACTGGGTCCATCCTCACATATGAGGACTATGGCCAACACCAAAGGTCCTGTGGGGAACCTAACACTGGATCGTCTAGGAGAGACCCTTTGAATTCCCTTGACTCCCACAAAATTTTCAGTAAGAACCTCCTTTTGTCTGACATAAGTCAACATAATAAAGGGAAGTGCTGTATGGGGAATTTATTTTAGAATCCTTATTTCTAAATCCTCTAAAGACCCTGAGGACATGTGATGCAAAGGTTTTATTGGTGGAGATTTGAAAAGAAATGATTTGTGCAAAGGCCCCTTACACAAGTCTCATGAAGAGGGCAAGTACCCAAGCTCCTTTTATGGAGGAAATAATTTGGGATCCAATGATAAAGATGGGCAATCTCTGAAGAAAACGTCACAATTTCTTAAGGGACATGGCCTGGGCACAATGTTAACAAAACTCCCTATTTTCCCCACCCCATAGTAGCTCAGCACCCGCAATGTGCACTTACGTCGGGTGTCCCCAGACAAAGCCAGTGGGGAGCTCAGCACCATCAGTGTCACTGTCAGCGCTGTCATGCAGGAGCCTCCAGGGAGCTTCAGACACACCATGCTGGAGAACAGGACAGGACCAGGGGCCAGAGAAGCAGGCAAGTCTCACTCAGGGAGAACTATGAACCCCTCCACCCACATTCCAAGTTATAGGGAGGAAGTTACTGATTTCCTTGCTCCTGGGTTGGGTAATCTCGTGTTGGAGAACCAATCAGCATCTGAGTTCAATAGCATCATCAGTTGCTGGTCAGAGATGCTGTATGAAGGTCCTCTTCTGAAACAGAATTTCCTTCTTTAAAGGATTGTTTTAATTTAGCACTTGGAAGGTTTGAACCAGTTGCATGTAAAACACCTTAATTGGGGAGCTATTGTAGCCAGCTCTGTGCTGGTCAGTGATGTGTTCACAAGTTTGAGCCTTGTAAGAGCATTCATTTCCCACTTGACAAGACAACTATTTGCAGGAGTGAGTGTGAGTGTGTTTAGGAGTAAAGGAGATGGAGGGAACATGGCCGCAAATCAGGAGACCTTTAATCTGGTCCTTATTGCACCATATCTTAATGTTGTAGATTTGGGAAAATTACGTCATGTCTCACAGTTGAAATGAAGGCACCATGATCTTTCAGGTCTTTCAACACTAGAAAATGTGATTCTGTGGATGCCTCAAGGAGCAGCAGCTCCGGGTATCTGATGATATGACAGAATGACAGCTGTTGACCGGAGAGCTTAATCTGTACCTATTTACAGGTAGAGATGTCTGTAATAAGTTAAAGGAAATTGAAAGTTAGTTAATAATTTAATCTGAGTAAAAAGAGTTTTTTCAAGTGTGTCTCCTGATGCTGCCCCCAAGTTTAGTGTCATCTCCAGAACACACACAGGCAAGGGGCTTGCAGGGGCCACCTATGTGCAATGGAGAGTCCGAAGTTGCTTTTGTATAGCACTTACCCTATCAATGTGTTAAGGTCAACTGTGTAATCAAAGTATGCAGGGGGCTGAGATGATCGATCAAGGACTCAAAGTCAGCTGTTGACAGAACAACTCTGTTTTACCATAATTAATATTTTATGTCGAGTGTTCAATCCCTCATTCTTGGCTCCCATTATGATTTCCTCCTTTGTTTAAGGCTATGGCCCTTTAGTATTCCACTTCTCTTGTTTTATCGTAAGGGAAGATATTAGAAGACTTTGCTGGCCGGGCGCGGTGGCTCCCGCCTGTAATCTCAGCACTTTAGGAGGCCAAGGTGGGCGGATCACTTGAGGTCAGGAGTACCAGACCAGCCTGGCCGACACGGTGAAATCCCATCTCTACTAAAAAAATACAAAAATCAGCTGGGCTTGGTGGTGCATGCCTGTAATCCCAGCTACTCGTGAGGCTGAGGCATGAGAATTGCTTGAACCTGGGAGGTGGAGGTTGCAGTGAGTCAGGAGCACACCACTGCACTCCAGTCTAGTCGACAGAGTGAGACTCAGTTTCAAAAACAAACAAAAAGGCTTTGCTAACTAGTACGTTACAGAATGTTCAGGAAACAGAACCCTAGGGAAAATCTATGAATTACATCAGTTGATGTAATCATCTAATTTTAAACATATAATTCTACATTTAGATAATTATTATGCTTTACATTTATATAAATGTAGCATCTAAGATTCAGAATGGACTTCAAAGTATAACTATGCAAATAAAGTTCTGCATTAATTCACACCCTACCACAGTTCTGACAGGCACTCCTTCCTTATGTGCCTTAGTGTTTCTAGGAATGAGATACTCACCATGCTGCAATAAAAATGACTAAAATTTCTTGAGCAATTTTTGAGCATTTTGCTTTGTACTCAGAATTGTATGAAGAGCTTTCCATACATCATATTTTTATTCAATTCTCACATTAGCTGAGTGAGGGAAATACCCTTTTCATCCTTACAAGTGGAGAGAATAAAATGATGGAGTTTAAACAACTTTTGCAAGGATGCAAGGCTAGTAAACAGTAACTCGGCCTCCCAAAGTGCTGGGATTATAGGTGTGAGCCACCACGTCTGGCCAGCAAAATCTTCTTATATCTTCCCTTACGATAAAACAAGAGAAGTGGATTAGTAAAGGGCCATAGCCTCAAACAAATGAGGAAATCATAATTGGAGCCAGGAATGAGGGATTGAACACTCTTCACATAAAATATTAATTATTTTAAAGCAGAGTTGTTCTGTCAACTCTATTGAACCAAGTTATTATATATGTGATTCCAAATACCTCAAGCTCTGCCATTGTATTACACTATCTCACATTCAATTTCTAAAGAGAATTATGTCCCTTATATTAAAATTATTTTTATCACTTTAATTCATGGCTGTGCAAATCAGTAAGACTACTTCTTTTAATGAATGGCAACATTTTATAGACTTTGGGGGTAGATACTGTGTAGCAATTCTGGTTCCTTCAAAAGATTCCCCTCATCACCATGGTTACTCCTCTCTGGAAATGACACAATTTGCGTTTATGTTACATAAGGACACCCATAGCTCCTGCACAAATCTCCTTCTTATTAAAGATAACAACAGCCTCAACATTCCTAACTCCATTCTATTACTCTCAATCATCATTTCCAATTTCTCAGCACGAAGTAGTGCAAGTTTGATCATTTCAGAATAGAATAAAAATAGTGTCTCGTTTACTTTGGAAAAATATATTTCTGTTAATGTGGAAAGTTGAAGATTTCTTGGAGAGGTTGGTTAGAAGTCACTATTGTCCCTGGATTTGAGAATAAACTGTGTTCCCACACTACAGTGATAATTCAGTACTATTGACAATTGTGCAATTGTAACCAGGAGAATATCACATTTAATTTGATAATAGGAAATTGTAATTTACTAATTAACTAACTGTGGTGTGGTAATCTAGGAAAGGAAGCTAAGGTTCACCTTAGTATTACAGGATAAAAGTGGAGGCAAAAATAAGTAATTCTACATCAAGAATGTACTAAAATACAGTTAAAGAGAAACTTTCAAAACTTGTTTATATAAATTTGACACACTATTTATAAATCATACAAATTTGTATTTAAAAAGATGGCCAGTGACAATGAACTAAATTCTGTATGTCTTATACATTTATGAGTAACAAAGATGTTGTCTTAGTTCATTTGTGCTGTGATAAAATACGGTAGACTGGGTAATTTATAAAGAACACATGGAGGCTGAAAAGTCCAAGATTAAGGCACCAGCAGGTTCAATGTCTGGCAAAGGGCATGGTCTCCACTTCCAAGATGGCGTCTTGCATCCTCCAGAGGGGATGAATGCTGTGTACTCACATGGTAGAATGTGGAAGGGCAAGAGGCTAAAAACTGTGTGAAGCGTTTTTTACGAGGGCCTTAATCCCATTCATGAGTGAGGAGCCCTACCTGAATTTTAAAGGAGACACACTTATACTACAACAGATGTGCTTCTTTAAATTACATATCTCACACTTTCCTTCAATATTCAATATAAGGATAGTTCAGGCTAAACAATGTAGCAACTCTCACCAAACCATCAATCACACAGGTGGTCTAATAGGCTGAACTTTTGCACTGAAAACAAGAGAAGAATCCTCTCAACTCAGCTGGATGTGAGAGGTGTCAAATACGAGAGATTATTTCCTGAGGAAATGGCAATAAAATTGGTTTCTGGAAGAAAGTGGTTTTCAGTACGGAACTTCCACGGTCTCTGGTCTTGATGTATGAAACCATAGGTTTGGTTTTACGGGAAATAAATCCCAACATTCCCAGGACTAAACAGGTAAAATCAGAAGCACAGACTTTTGTTGAACAACAGGCAGGTTGACATTGGTAGGACTACAGCATGTCTTGAGTCCTACCGGTTTTCACAGAATGGGGCTCACTTGCAGTAAGCCTGAAAGCTTGCAACACATTTTGGAAAAATAGGCTCTTTTGGCTATCAGCAAGCCCTGGTTATCATAGAATGTCTGCCACTTGTCCAAGCAGTCACAAAATGTTCTCAGGAGTTTTCAGAAAGCAACCACCACTAATCTGGAATTTAAAGTAAAAAGCAGGTTACTAATCCTTATATCTAAAGAAAAAATGCTAATAACAATAAATGGATAAACAGGACCAGTTTCTTCTTAGCATGGAAGATACGTTTCCTGAACAGAAAACTGTGCCATTTAAAGGCCTTATTAGTATTCATCACACTTGACAGGACCCTTTCCAGTAAGATTTCAGCAATGTCCTCCATTGAGGAACTTTGGTAGCGCCAATCATTACACCATGACACTATCTAGGTCAGTTGACAGGACTTCTTGAACTTCCAAATGTCATTCTTTGACTCAACTTAGCTGTTTTATAACAGAATCCTTGCCATTGCATAGTTATAGAGAGAACAACTAGAATTCCCATAGGCCTTTGTACTAATATTGTAAGTACAAAGAATTTTCTTTTTATTTCTGTTTCTAGATCTTATGTTAATTGTACTGTGGTAAGTATCCACCTATCTATCCAGTCCAAAATAGGCCAGATTATTTTTCTTTTTTTTTTTTTTTAATTTATTTTTTTATTGATAATTCTTGGGTGTTTCTCACAGAGGAGGATTTGGCAGGGTCATGGGACAATAGTGGAGGGAAGGTCAGCAGATAAACAAGTGAACAAAGGTCTCTGGTTTTCCTAGGCAGAGGACCCTGCGGCCTTCCGCAGTGTTTGTGTCCCTGATTACTTGAGATTAGGGAGTGGTGATGACTCTTAACGAGCATACTGCCTTCAAGCATCTGTTTAACAAAGCACATCTTGCACCGCCCTTAATCCATTTAACCCTGAGTGGACACAGCACATGTTTCAGAGAGCACAGGGTTGGGGGTAAGGATCCCAAGGCAGAGGAATTTTTCTTAGCGCAGAACAAAATGAAAAGTCTCCCATGTCTACTTCTTTCTACACAGACACGGCAACCATCCGATTTCTCAATCTTTTCCCCACCTTTCCCGCCTTTCTATTCCACAAAGCCGCCACTGTCATCCTGGCCCGTTCTCAATGAGCTGTTGGGCACACCTCCCAGACGGGGTGGTGTCCGGGCAGAGGGGCTCCTCACCTCCCAGCAGGGGCGGCCGGGCAGAGGCGCCCCTCACCTCCCGGACGGGGCGGCTGGCCGGGCAGGGGGGCTGACCCCCCCCCACCTCCCTCCCGGACGGGGCGGCTGGCCGGGCGGGGGGCTGACCCCCCCACCTCCCTCCCGGACGGGGCGGCTGGCCGGGCAGAGGGGCTCCTCACTTCCTAGTAGGGGCGGCCGGGCAGAGGTGCCCCTCACCTCCCGGACGGGGCGGCTGGCCGGGCGGGGGGGCTGACCCCCCCCCACCTCCCTCCCGGACGGGGCGGCTGGCCGGGCGGGGGGCTGACCCCCCCACCTCCCTCCCAGACGGGGCGGCTGGCCGGGCAGAGGGGCTCCTCACTTCCCAGTAGGGGCGGCCGGGCAGAGGCACCCCTCACCTCCCGGACGGGGCGGCTGGCCGGGCAGGGGGGCTGACCCCCCCTACCTCCCTCCCGGACGGGGAGGCTGGCCGGGCGGGGGGCTGACCCCCCCACCTCCCTCCCGGACGGGGCGGCTGGCCGGGCGGGAGGCTGACCCCCCCACCTCCCTCCCGGACGGGGCGGCTGGCCGGGCGGGGGGCTGACCCCCCCCCCACCTCCCTCCCGGACGGGGCGGCTGGCCGGGCAGAGGGGCTCCTCACTTCCCAGTAGGGGCGGCCGGGCAGAGGCACCCCTCACCTCCCGGACGGGGCGGCTGGCCGGGCAGGGGGGCTGACCCCCCCTACCTCCCTCCCGGACGGGGAGGCTGGCCGGGCGGGGGGCTGACCCCCCCACCTCCCTCCCGGACGGGGCGGCTGGCCGGGCGGGGGGCTGACCCCCCCACCTCCCTCCCGGACGGGGCGGCTGGCCGGGCGGGGGGCTGACCCCCCCCACTTCCCTCCCGGACGGGGCGGCTGGCCGGGCGGGGGGCTGACCCCCCCACCTCCCTCCCGGACGGGGCGGCTGGCCGGGCAGAGGGGCTCCTCACTTCCCAGTAGGGGCGGCCAGGCAGAGGTGCCCCTCACCTCCCGGACGGGGCGGCTGGCCGGGCGGGGGGCTGACCCCCCCACCTCCCTCCCAGACGGGGCGGCTGGCCGGGCAGAGGGGCTCCTCACTTCCCAGTAGGGGCGGCCGGGCAGAGGCACCCCTCACCTCCCGGACGGGGCGGCTGGCCGGGCAGGGGGGCTGACCCCCCCTACCTCCCTCCCAGACGGGGCGGCTGGCCGGGCGGGGGGCTGACCCCCCCACCTCCCTCCCGGACGGGGCGGCTGGCCGGGCGGGGGGCTGGCCCCCCCACCTCCCTCTCGGATGGGGCGGCTGGCCGGGCGGGGGGGCTGACCCCCCCATCTCCCTCCCGGACGGGGTGGCTGCCGGGCGGAGACGCTCCTCACTTCCCAGATGGGGTGGCTGCCGGGCGGAGAGGCTCCTCACTTCTCAGACGGGGCAGCTGCCGGGCGGAGGGGCTCCTCACTTCTCAGACTGGGTGGTTGCCAGGCAGAGGGTCTCCTCACTTCTCAGACGGGGCGGCCGGGCAGAGACGCTCCTCACCTCCCAGACGGGGTCTCGGCCGGGCTGAGGCGCTCCTCACATCCCAGATGGGGCGGCGGGGCAGAGGCGCTCCCCACATCTCAGACGATGGGCGGCCAGGCAGAGACGCTCCTCACTTCCCAGACGGGGTGGCGGCCGGGCAGAGGCTGCAATCTCGGCACTTTGGGAGGCCAAGGCAGGCGGCTGGGAGGTGTAGGTTGTAGTGAGCCGAGATCACACCACTGCACTCCAGCCTGGGCACCATTGAGCACTGAGTGAACGAGACTCCGTCTGCAATCCCGGCACCTCGGGAGGCCGAGGTTGGCGGATCACTCGCGGTTAGGGGCTGGAGACCGGCCCGGCCAACACAGCGAAACCCCGTCTCCACCAAAACCAGTCAGGCGTGGCGGCGCGTGCCTGCAATCGCAGGCATTTGGCAGACTGAGGCAGGAGAATCAGGCAGGGCGGTTGCAGTGAGCCGAGATGGCAGCAGTACAGTCCAGCTTCGGCTCCGCATGAGAGGGAGACCGTGGAGAGGTAGAGGTAGGGGTAGGAGTAGGGGTAGGGGTAGGGGTAGGGGTAGAGGTATTATTTTTCAAAATTTCATTTTGGTGCTCCACTAGCCCACTCCCCAGTGACTGCAGTGTGGACAGTGAAGAAATTGATGAACCTGTTGAACTGTACCAACTTCTCAATCTGTCCTATAAAGTGTGTGCCTGGTTTGTTGCTTATTTTATTTAAAATAAATAATAAAATCTTTTAGCAGTTATTTTTCTAATAGTTCATCCTTGTAGACAATTTATTATCTTGAAAAAGTAAACTTACTAGTACTTATTTATATTAACAACATTTTACCTAAATAAAATCAACTTATATATGTGCAAAAAAATTAATGATTCCTTTTGTCATGACATCTCTTCCTACCCTGTGTGCCTGTCAAACAAAGCAACTCTCAGTATCATACAGCAGTTTTGAGAAAAATAAAGCATAAGAACCACACTAACTATTGCTAGCATCCCTATTTTGGTCATCTGTTCATTCAAGGGGTTACACCAGCAAGATAAAGGTGGAAAACTTGGTACTATTATGTATCCATCTAGAGATGCTAAAGATGATCTGGGTGCAAACAATACCCTGTCAGTATCCACAGTTCAGAATTTTGGATTTGACTTTAAGGAGGTGTCTAGTCAATTGTTAGAATAAGAAAAAAGGTACCAGCTAATAAAAAATAATCTAAGCCATAGCTATATTATTAACCAGAGGAAAATACTTTATAATAACCACAGCAGAAGATAATATAAGGATTACTAGAAATTTTTGAGTTTTTCCAGAAGTGAGGAATCTTTATTGCTATTACAAGTTCTAAAGCTATGAAAAACAAAAAAGCATAAGAAGAATCAGTTCTAAAAGCAACTGCTTCTGCCATCGAGGCAAAATACATAGGCATGGGTTTATTTTCTCTCCAGAACAGGAGTTAAACACTAAATTCTTTTTTTTTGAGACAGAGTCTCGCTCTGTTGCCAGGCTGGAGTGCAGTGGCATGATCTTGTCTAACTGCAACCTCTGTCTCCTGGGTTCAAGCTATTCTCCTGCCTCAGCCTCCCAAGTAGCTGGGACTACAGGTGCACACCACCATGCCCGGCTAATTTTTTGTATTTTTAGTGGAGATGGGGTTTCACCATGTTGGCTAGGATGGTCTTGATCTCTTGACCTCGGCCTCCCAGAGTGCTGGGATTACAGGCGTGAGCCACTGTGCCAAGCCTCCTAAATTATTTTAACTGTCAAAGTTTCCTTCAGTGGTATTGCTGATACTAATTGCAATATCATTAATACTGACCATGGTTTTTTCACTTGTAGACTTACAGCCATGACCTAGATAGTGCCATGGTGCAAAGACTGGCTCCACCCAAAGTTCCTCGATGGATGACATTGCTGAAATCTTACAGGAAAGGGTCCTATCAACTCTGATGAATACTAATATGGCCTTTACATGGCACAGTCTTCTGTTGAGGATACATATCCTCCATGGTAAGAAGAAATTGATCCTGTTTATCCATTTATTGTTATTATTTTTCCTTAATAACTTTACACCATCAGAAACCAATTTGTGTTCCCATATGGGCAATTGATTGGAGTGTTTATCTAGATAGACTCTAGACCTAATTCCTTCCAAAGGGCCCACCTTCTAATCCTATAATATTGGGGCTTAGGATTTAACATATGATTAGGAGGGAACACAAACATTTAGTCTATAACATCTTTTTCGGAGACATATCTGTTCAAGTCATTTGCCCATTTTTTAATCAGGTTATTTGTTTGTTTGGTTGGTTGTTTTGCTCTTGAGTTGTATGAGTTCCTTATACATTTTTGAAATTAGCCCCTTATCAAATATATGGTTTGCAAATATTTTCTTCCATTCTGCAGGTTATCTTTTCATTCTGTTTATTGTTTTCTTTGCTATGCAAAAGCTTTTTAGTTTCGCTTATGCTGAGTGAAATAAGCCAGTTACAGAAAGACAAATATTGCATAATTCCTGTTATATGAGGTAACTAAAACACTCAAGCTCATAGAAGCAGCGAATACAATAGTATAGTTAACAAGAGTTGGGGGCTGGGGGAAATGGAGAGTTGTCATTAAAAGGGTATAAAGTGTTAGTTATGCTGGTTGAATAAGTTCTAGAGATCTGCTATTTAACATAGTGCCTATAGTTAACAAAATAATACTGTGCACTTCAAAATTTGTTTAGAGTTGTTTTGTGGCCTAACATCTCATCTGTCCTGGAGAAAGTTCAATGTGTGCTTGAGAAGAATGTGTATTATATCTAAAACATGCTAAAAAAATTCACCAAAGTGCTATTAGAATAAATGAATACAGTAAAGTTGCAGCAAATAAAATCAACACACAAAAATCAGTAGTATTTCTATACGCTAACAATGAACTATTCAAAAAAGAAATCAAGAAAACAATCCCATTTACAATATCTACAAACAATATAAAATTCACATGGAACCACACAAAAAGCCTGAATAGCTAAGACAATCTTGAGCAAAAAGAGCAAAACTGGAGACATTACACCACTTGACTTCAAACTATATTACAAAGCTATAGTACTTAAAACAGCATGGCTGGGCAAGGTGGCTCATGCTTGTAATCCCAGCACTTTGGGAGGCTGAGGCAGGTGGATCACAAGGTCAGGACTTCAAGACCAGCCTGGCCAAGATGGTGAAACCCCATCACTACTAAAAATACAAAAATTAGCTGGGCATGGTGGCAGGTGCCTGTAACTCCAGCTACTCAGGAGGATAAGGTAGAGAACTGCTTGAACCCGGAAAGCAGAGGTTGCAGTCAGCCAAAATCATGCCACTGCACTCCAGCCTGGGAAACAGAGCATGACTCCATCTAAAAACAATAACAACAACAACAACAACAAAACCCAGCATGGTACTGGCATAACAGTAGACACATCAACGGATGAAACAGAATACAGAGCCCAGAAATGAATCTACTTATTTATGACCAAGTTATTTTCAATAAAGTTACCAAGAACACACAATGGGAAAAGGAAAATCTCTTCAATTAACAGTGCTGAGAAAACTGGATATTCATATGCAGAGAATAAAATTGGATCTTTATCTCACACCATATACAAAAATCAACTAAAAATGGATTGGAGACTTAAATATAAGACCTGAAACTGTAAAAATACTAGAAGAAAACAGAGAGAACCTATACAACGTTGGTCTGGACAATGATTTTTATTTTATTTGACCCCAAAAGCTTAGGCAACAAAATTTAAAAATAGACAAGTGGGATTACATCACATTAAAAAGCTTCTGCACAACAAAGAAAACAACAGAACGAAGAGACAACCTATCGGCTGGGAGAAAATATTTTCAAGCAATACATCTGATGAAGGGTTAACATCCAAAATATATTAGGAACTCTCAATAGCAAAAAAATAAAAATAAAAAATAAGATTTAAAAATAAGCAAAGAACATGAATAAACATTTCTCAAAAGAAGACATTGAAGTGGCCAACAGGCATATGAAAAAATGCTTAACATTGGCTGGGTGTGGTGGCTCACACCTGTAATCCTAGCACTTTGGGAGGCTGAGGCGGGTGGATCACGAGGTCAAGAGATTGAGACTATCCTGGCTAACACAGTGAAACACCGTCTGTACAAAAAATGCAAAAATTAGCTGGGCATGGTGGCACACGCATGTAGTCCCAGCTACTTGGGAGGCTGAGGCAGGAGAATTACCTGGGCCCAGGAAGCAGAGGTTGCAGTGAGCCAAGATTGCACCATTGTACTCCAGCCTGGGCGACAGAGCAAGACTCTGTCTCAAAAAAAAAAAAAAAATGCTTAACATCACTAATCATTAGGGAAATGCAAATTAAAGCCACAACGAGATATCACCTCACACCGGAAAGAATGGTTCTTATTGAAAGGGTAAAAGATAAGTGTTGGTGAGGATGTGGAGAAAAGGGAACACTTGGCCGGGTGTGGTGGCTCACACCTGTAATCCTAGCACTTTGGGAGGCTGAGGTGGGCAGATTGCCTGAGCTCGAGTTTGAGACCAGCCTGGGCAACATGGTGAAACCCTGTCTCTACTAAAAAATAGAAAAAAAGGAAAAAAAAAATTAGCTGGGCATGGCAGCATGCACCTGTAAGCCCCAGCTATTTGGGAGTCTGAGGCAGGAGAATAGCTTGAACCTGGGAGGCAGAAGTTGCAGTGAGCCGAGATCGTACCATTGCACTCCAGCCTGGGTGACAGAGTGAGATGCCATCTGAAAAAAAAAAAAAAAAAAAAAAAAGAGGAAACACTTGTACACTGTTGGTGGGAATGTAAATTGGTATAGCCATTATAAAAAACTGTATGGAAGTTCTTGAAAAAATTAAAAGTAGAACTACTATATGACTCAGCAATCCCACTTCTAGGTGTATGGACTAAGGACTTAAAATCAGTATGTTGAAGAGATATCTGCACTGTCATGTTCATTGCAGTGTTACTTATTATAGCCAAGATATTAAGTGTCCATCAACTGACAAATTTTTTTAATGTGGTATATATACAGAATATATTCCGTATAACAGAATAACATACAGCCTTTTAAAAAAAAAGGCTGCTCTGGGCTGGGTGCGGTGGCTCACGCCTGTGATCCCAGCACTTTGGGAGGCCGAGGCGGGCGGATCACGAGGTCAGGAGGTCAAGACCATCCTGGCTAACACGGTGAAATCCCGTCTCTACTAAAAATACAAAAAATTAGCCGGGCATGGTGGCAGGCGCCTGTAGTCCCAGCTACTCAGGAGCTTGAGGCAGGAGAATGGTGTGAACCCAGGAGGCGGAGGTTGCAGTGAGCCAAAATAGTGCCACTGCACTCCAGCCCAGGCGACAGTGAGAGACTCCATCTCAAAAAAAAAAACAAAAAATAAACGCTGTTCTGCCATGTGTAACAACATGAATGAACCTAGAGGACAGTATGCTAAGTGAAATAAGCTAGACGTTTCTAAGTGAAATAAGACAAATACTGCTTATTCTCATTTATATGTGGAATCAAAAACAATCAAATTCATAGAAGCAGAGGGTAGAATAGTGATTATCAGAGGCTGCAGATTGGGAGGAATAGGAAGACATTAGTCAAAGAGTATAAAGTAGCAGACAGACAGGAGGAATAAATGAAAAGTTTTTAAGGTGATAGATATATTAATTAGCTTGAGTCAACTACTCCACATTGTGTATATATATCATAACATTACTTTGTACCCCATAATTATATGCAATTATAATTTGCCAAAAAAAATTACAATAATTTAAAAAATCATAGGATGGAACAAAGTTCTTATATTTATGGGAGTATCAGGATAAATCTTCAAATACCTTCTAGAGATATAGTTGAGGTGAGATATGTACTGAAAGCAAAAATGGAGGCTGGGAACTAAAACCTTGGTATTTCCTGTGCATGTGTCTATTCACCAATCATGCCAATCAATCGATGCTTCTCTCACTGCCTCCCACCCAAATGCAGACAGTTCATCTGTATTGTGACCAGAGAAGCGGGTGTAAAAAGTAGGGCTACCCTGACATTTATTCACCAATATCCATGAATACATAAATATGTATACATAAATTTATAGATATATACATCCATACTTACATGAACAATTTTAAAAGTGTCCATTTTTACTTCAAGAGAACTGAGGATATTTTTGTAGATATTAGGGCAGATAAAAGATGGTAGATACAGAAAAGGGAAATGGGAAGGAAACATTTCTGTAAGTGCAAGTGTTGGGGAGAAGGAGTAGGAGCTGGGGGGAAGCTGAGAATTGTGCTTTGTGACAAAGAGCATGGTTAACGGACAGTAGCACATGTGAGTCATGGAAGGACAATAAGATATGGAGAATCAGCCAAGATGGCGCTCCAGCCAGGGTTACCAGTGCCTAGACAGAAAGCAAAATAATAGCTCAGCAGCCGCATTGAATGGGAACAGTGAATAGTGTGAAAATAATGAGAAAATATTGGGGCAAGTCCACTGATTCCCACAGGATGTTCTAGAAAAGCTCTTGACTAGGCCTCCAAAGTAAACACATGGCTGAGGCTAGCCCCTTCTCACTCAATGGACTCCAGCATTTGGTGAGGAAATGAAGAAACGAGAAATGAATCTCAAGAGGTCCCGAAGCAAGTAATTGTATGAAGTATCAGGATCCAGTTTTGACAAGACTGTTTGTGGATATACCAGAAGAGCAGGAGAGAGCTCCAGAAGACCCAAACATCCGGCGTCCAGAAGATCTTTTGTAACTGGTAATTAAATTATGAAATGAGGACTGGTGGGCATCACTGAGAACATGATTTGGGAGCCGTTTAACCCCTTGTTCACTAGTCAGTTCATCCTCTTGTTTTCTACAAAAATGTAGTTATCTGCTTCTCATAGGAGAAGCTGTTGTGGGAGCCACACAGGGTGGTAACAGTCAGCGGTAATTTGGTGAAAAGAATTTTGTAGAAGGGATTGTCCCTCCTTCACGTATTTCCATATATAAATCCTCACAGTCAGAAAAAATATTCTTAATATCTATCTCATATCTTTTGCCGCACTTTAAATTCGGTAAATTTTAACTGAGGATCCACCATATGCATGTGCACATACACATGCAATCTAGGTGGGGATATTCAATCACAAAAGGTGTGTTCAGTGCTTCCTTTGTGCAGAAGATTCTTCTAATGCTGGGGATACAAAGATTCACATGAATTAGATCCTACTTTTAAGTAGATCCTACACAGACAAAAGAGCACATTGTAATGACAGACATATAAAATTCATATAAAAATGGGGCCAGGCATGGTGGCTCACGCCTGTAATCCTAGCACTTTGGGAGGCCGAGGCAGGTGGATCACGAGGTCAGGAGATGGAGACCATCCTAGCTAACATGGTGAAACCTATCTCTACTAAAAATAGAGTGGTGGGGCATGCCTGTAGTCCCAGCTACTCGGGAGGCTGAGGCAGGAGAATGTCGTGAACCCGGGAGGCGGAGGTTGCAGAGATCACGCCACTGCACTCCAGCCTGGGCGACACAGCAAGACTCGGTCTCAAAAAAAAAAAAAATTCATATAAAAATGTCACAAGATCTCCAACAGACATAGCTATAAAAACAATCAAACACAATTTGGTGTCATTAATTTTTAAGAGAAAAATTTTAAAACAAAATAGTTAAGTATAAACTTATATTTACAACAAGAAGGAAGCATTTGTATGGATGTGAGTTCCAGAGGCAGTGAAACTCAAAACACAGAGGAAGGGTTATGATTCAGTTAGGCTAGAGACTCGCCGGGGAACAGGAACTATCATGAATAACACGTATGCAGGAAGCAGGGGGAGTCAGGAAATGGAAATAGAGATAGAGGGGAGTCTGCTAACCTAGAATTGAAAGGCTCCCTTAAATAATACTGGGAGATCAGAGTGGATGTGCAGAGCTGAAGTACACTAAGAAAGGCATTGAAAATTTGGCAAAGATGTTACATCTTTTAGAAAGATGTGGATGGATGCAGGAAAAAATATCGAGTAGCAAAACTTTTACAATCCAAGGTTAGTTATGAGGGATTGGACACAGAGATCAGTGTGGTGACAACAGGAATGGATGATGGGAATACCATGCTCCTTTTAGATTTCCAGATGTGCATTAGAACTGGTATTTGATGAATAAGGGAAGAACAGAAGGTCTTTTAGAAGGAAAATATTTTCTTTCCTTTTGTAGGTAACACCCAAAGGGATCAGTATGCCTATCCGTCGGTGTGTTGGTTCTTTCCTTCCGGTTGAGACATTTTGTAGAAAAAAGAGAGAAATTTACTGGAAATCCCCATCCCTTCACAAATAGTTGTTGCTGTTTTTCCTGTAACCAATAGGGATAAAGACTGAAACCACATCACTTATCTCCAGCAGATACAGCTGACCAGAAGGTCTTATATAAAGTCTTGGAGAAAAGTTGCAGGAGAACAGGATGACTAAATTAGGTGTTGATAAGAAAGGCTGAAAACTTCCTTTGTGGAATAAATTAGGACATGACATAGGTGGTTAGCAAATAAAGAATATTTGCAGAGTAAAGCAAAATGTGCAGTGAGGATTGGAGGAGCTGGGCATTTAGACTGATAGAGACATAATGCCTGGTTTTCCATTCCTGTGCCTGGATAGTATTAAAAGCACAAATAAAAAGCTATCCTGCTGCTATCTGCCTGCTATTCATATTATAGAAGAGATGGAGACTGTCAGAGAGATCTATTATGCCAACTCTGGTTGCCATAGGTTTATGCACAGACAAATGAAGGGAAAATAAAATAGTGAGTTATTGTTTATTTTACACCAGGCACTGAATTTTCTACCTTCACTTTGTTTCATTTAATTCTCATCATAACCCTGCAGTGGATGTATGTATCAAACTGTGTTTTCAGTTAACTGCTACATTCCCAACACATTCAATAATGTCCATCACTTATAGTATTTAATAAATATTGATTATGACTGGGTGCAGTGGCTCACACCTGTAACCCCAACACTTTGGAAGGCTGAAGCAGGCAGATCACAAGGTCAGGAGTTCGAGACCAGCCTGACCAATATGGTGAAACCCCGTCTCTACTAAAAATACAAAAATTAGCTGGGTGTGGTGGCGGGCACCTGTAGTCCCAGCTACTCAGGAGGCTGAGGCAGCAGAATCCCTTGAACCCAGGAGGTGGAGGGTGCAGCGAGCTGAGATTGCGCCACTGCACTCCAGCCTGGGTGACAGAGCAAGACTCTGTCTCAAATAAATACAAATAAATAAATAAATAAATATTTATTTGTTTATTACTGGGATATGATTAGGAAACCAAATGTGTTACATTTTTAACATTGTATAGTGACATAGAACACACATATAGTAAGACACGTAAAGATTAAATGTACAACTTAATCAATCATTACAATGCCAACATCCATGAACCCACCACCCAAATCAAGAAACAGCATGAGGCCAGCACCAGAAGCTCTCCCGTGCCTCCTCCTGTCCACATTACTCTCCCTTCCCACCAAGACAACTCACCATCAGACTTTCATAGCAATCCCTTCATTGCTTCTCAATACACCTTCAAAATCTAATATTTATTCCTAAACATGCTTAGTAACATTATACAAATTAAACTATACAGTATGTTCTCTTTTGTGCCTCTTTTGTGATCTAATAATTGTCAATTTAGTGACCCAGAAAGTATCAGCCTGTCAATAAATGCTGCTGAATCAGTTGTATATCCTTACTGAAAAAAAAAAGAAAGAAATTTGACACCTATCTCACTTTATACACAAAATTAATTCCAGTAGAAAACATATCTATCTATAAAAATCAATACAATAAAACTTCTAGAAGCCGATATTAGAGAATATCTTCCTAACCTTGAAATAGAAAAAGATTTTTAAAATAGAATCCAAAATTCAGAATCATAAAAAAATGTTCATCAGTGGTCACAAATATAATGTATCTAAAATAGGGACAGTAAGAAATTACTGGGCATAACTAGAAGGTGCCATGGGATGTGCCTGGAAAGCTTCTCATGACGACCTACCATGAGCCTATCACACTCGTGCTAGAAGCCTCTCACCAGGGGCTTCAGTGTTTGTGGTTAGGAAAAGAGAAATAAGAACAACAGCAGAATGCACCGTCAGGTACTTTGGAAGTCACAGAAGGGAAAAGGGCAGGAAAATCGGAAATATCGGCACACATGTTAATGAATGTTTGTTGTAGTTAAATTGAAGTTGAAGGAGAGGACGGAGTGAAGGACACTGGAAGCGGGGGCTCCAGGAATAGTCCTGTGATTCGGCTGGTATTTCTTGTGTATAATTCCAGTTCTTGTCAAACTTTTTGGTCACTAAACTGTTCCTTTCTATATGTTAAGGCAGGTTTCACCTCCTTTCTGACTTTAGAATAAGTTGGTAGAGGGCTTCACAGAGTGAAAAATACCCATCGTCTAAAACATGCACATACTTCTATAAGAAGCACAAAGTATAACTGATGATATTCAAAGAGCAAATGCTTATTGGACGTCTACCATTTCAAAGAGTGTGGTAGGAGCTAAGGTTCCAGGATGAGGATCTCATGAAGATCAATATCTATCAGGAAAAAAAGACACATATACAACATACACTCCATACACCAGAAACTTTGTGCACTATTCTCTCCTCAGTTCCTAGAAAAATGCCTGGTTCAAAATAGATAGTTATTTAATAGCTGTTGAATTAATAAACAATGTATTAAGTATAAATATAAATGTTTATAAATTGCAATGAAAATACAAATGGGGTTTGGGGGTGGTGGCTCACACCTGTAATCCTAGCACTTTAGAAGGCCAAGGCAGGTGGATTGCCTGAGCTCAGGAGTTCAAGACCACCCTGGGCAACATGGTGAAATCCCATCTTTACTAAAAATACAAAAAATTAGCCAGGCGTGGTGGTGCATGCCTGAAATCCCAGCTACTTGGGAGGCTGAGGCATAAGAATCGCTTGAACCTGAAAGGCAGAGGTTGTTGTGAACTGAGATCACGCCACTGCCCTCCAGCCTGGGCAACAGAGTGAGGCTATCTCTGAAAAAAAAAAAAAAAAAAAAAAAAAAAAAAAGAAAGAGAGAGAGAAAAACAGAAAAAAAGAGAAAGGAAAAGAAAAGAAAGAAGGAAGGAAGGAAAGAAAGAAAGAGTGGGTATAATTTAAAAGTAACAAAATTCAAGAATAGTAGATAAAGGGTATATTCATACAGATTGGAGTATTTGGAGAAAATTTGAAAATACAGTTCATTTGCAGAAGTAAGACTTGAAGCAGAGAAGAGGAGGAAATGATGCCGAGGAATAGCAGTGGGAAAGGAACCATCATGAACAGCATGAGTGAGAGCAGTACTGGCAGCGGGGGTGGGACAGGGAGTGGGTTGATTTAGGGAAAAGCCCAGATTGACTGGAGTGAACATCTAGATTAAAGAATAGTATACGATAAGAGAAGATGCACAGAGAGGACCTGTATTTATGAGAGGCCTTAGAAGCTGAGCAGTCTCTTCTTAGAAAGGTGATGAACTGAAATGTGCAAATGTAAAACACCAAAATCATCTATTGGTAAGGCAAGTGTCATATAGGTAGAGGAGGAGCATCAAGCCTGGGGAGGTGACAGTGAGACTAGGAGACTGGTTTTACTGAGTGCCTTGTGTCCTTCCAAACTTGTGCAAAGTACTACTATCTAATGGGTAGAAAGAGAAAATGTGGAATTTTTTTAGACCTCTTTTCGTCTTTCAGAGATAGCATCCAAAGACTGAGTTCTCAAACCCCCAGGGTGATTATCTATCCTGGTTCCCAGGCTCTGTGCTTTAAGATGAAGCAGGTCAGTTTTCTGGACAAAGGGACTTTATGAAAACCTCCATTACTTATCAGTTTTCTTCCTATGCAACCACTGAGTGAAGTAACATCATTTGTCTCCAGCAAATAACACTACTTCAATAGTCCTAGCATTAGTCTGGTTTCGAGACCCTGTGAAAAGGTGGAGTAGGGGCAAATTATTAGCTATGTGATGTGAGAAAGATATAATATCTGAAATTTGTAGAAAGAAACAGGTGATAGCTGTGTGGATTGCCAAGAATTCTCCCCTTTTCTAGTACGATCAATCATGCTTAATGAATGTAGAGCGTGAATCAGGATACTTGTTCTTTTTCAGACATAGGTGGAAAGTCCCTGTCCAGGACTAAATGAAAAGAAAATTGCTGTAATGCTGGATCTCATCACTAGTAGAAAACTAAAATCTGTGGTAGGGACAAAATTGAAAGGAAAGGAGAAAGAGATTGATTAAGGGTCATCTCCCCACCTGCTGGTTATAAGAAGAACGTGCAGGGACAATGATGGAAAAGAGAATCAATAGTTCCAGGGTCTCTTTAGCCATTTTTCAATTATCTCATTTAATCTTTATAATAACTCTGAAAATAACCTTTTGTACCCCTTTTGGAGGTGATGGTAGAAACATGGGAATTATATCCTGACTTGAAAAAGATAACGTTTATTCCTTTGGGGTAACATTAAAAAGTTAATGCTGCTGCAATTGTGCAAATCATTCTTCAAGGTTATGCGTTATTAGGATAAATAGGATCTGCAGATCTTGTTTCCTAGGAGTTCAAAGCCAATGTAAACTTGCTGTAATACACTGCAACAAGTGCTGCAATCGATTCGTTTATAAAATACAATAAGAGCACAAATTTGTTGGTTTTCAAACATGAGCCAAATTGTTAAAACAGTTTACACACTGGCCGGGCACGGTGGCTCACGACTGTAATCCCGGCACTCTGGGAGGCAGAGACAGGTGGATCACCGGAGGTCAGGAGTTCAAGACCAGCCTGGCCAACATGGCGAAACCCAGTCTTTACTAAAAATACAAAAATTAGCTGGGTGTGGTGGCACATGCCTGTAGTCCCAGCTACTTGGGAGGCTAAGGCAGGAGAATTGCTTGAACCCGGGAGGCAGATGTTGCAGTGGGCTGAGATCTCGCCACTGCACTCCAGCCTGGGTGACAGAGCGAGACTCTGTCTCTAAAATAATAATAATAATAAAAAAATGTTTTACACACCTACATGAACCTTAAAAATTAAAGATTGGAGCTATGTGTATGAGATAGTAACACTCATTAAAAAGGGCAAGTTTTGGTTAATTAAGACAGTAGGAGGCGTAGAGAAAATATAATGAAACGATATGTAAGGGAAACGAAGGATGAAAGATGCAGGCAGGGAGAGGAGTACTGTCTGATGGGAGTGAAGATTCTTCCTTCAGGAATGGAAGGGGATGCACAGAGTGAAGCCACCCAACAAAAACAAGACTTGTATAGCTATAGATGGAAGGGAAATCAACCAGGAAATTATTTTGGAAATCCCAGTGTAGTTACAAGTCTAGGAAGTAATAGTTAGAATGAAGAGTTTGTATTTACTGAGCACTAATATTCTCATAATCATGCTAGGAAATATCACTTGATAAAGATAGAAAGATGAGTCGTTTAAGAAGGAATACATGTCTCTTTTCAGAGGCAGTACCCGCAGGCAGTTCTCAAACCCAGAATCTGCCTCATCAGTCTCAGTTCAGGTTACTTCGTTTCAGGGAAGGCATTCCAGCTTCTTGCACTAGGCATTTCAAGAAAGAAAAGCATTCCTGGAAATCCCCAATCGGTCACAGGCATGTTTCTCCAACCAATAGGAATAGAGAATGAGGCAGCATCACTTGTCTCCAGCAGATACATCTGCTAAGAAGGTCTGATCTGATCCCAGGTCTTGGGGAGGAGGCAGGGAAGGAGCAGGATGACTCATGAGTGGTGAGAAGAATGGCTGACGATGTAGTTTCATGGAAAGAAATAAGATACCCCATGTGGAGAGACAAGATACCATATTTTGTAGTTGTGAAGCAGAGTAAAGACTGAGACTCTTAGTACTTAGTATTGGTGGGGGAGAAGAGGTTACCTGATATTTTTCATGCCTCTGTGGGAAGTCCCTGGTCAGTTTTAAAAGGGAAGGGCATGACTATGACGCTGGATTCTCCCTGCTAGTGATGCATGAGCACCTGTGGTGAACGAGATGGAAATGATGAAGAAGCCCATGATCCCACCTGCTGATTGTCATAGGACAATTTGAGGGAAAGTCACATTATCATGTGCTGATTATTTTGCTCTAGCAAAGTAGTACTTCCAGGTGTATTATCTCAATTAATCATTATTTTTGTTAACTGCTGAATGTTCAGTTCCAGGCACTCAATAAATATTTGTAAAATTAATAAATACATAAGTAGGTTACTAAGAATTAGCAATTTTAAGAGACCACTAAGAATTCGTGATTTTAAAGAGTGATTTTAAGAAATTGTAGTGATTTAAGAGATAATTATGAGGATTAAAATCCCGTTCTGCCTAAATTCAAAGCCCAGGAATTAAAATTATTAGTTTATTTGAGATCAGCAGGGTATCTAAAGTAAAATTCCAATACCCCTCTCATACAAAGTCATATTTTACTTTATCAGAGCTCCTTGGGGTTCAGTTAGTGAATATAGTTACATAGTAGAATGGGAATAAAAACACTGTATTCATGGTCATGAGGTCAGAATTCTGGCACCCAACCCACACCTTGGTCAAGTAATTTACTCTTTTGAGTGTCTGTTTCTTCATCACTAAAATTAAAGGGTTGAATTGCATGATCTCTCAAGTTAATACTTAACTCATTCCCGGACCATGATAAATACTAAAAAACATTTCATTTTTATTTCACTGTCATTAGTCATTTCAGTCACTGAAAATACAGTTCACACTGTAAACCAAAAATAAAATTTAAGCCCTTCAACCAACTAAATGGGCTCTTCTGCTTGGCCAAGGACATTTTAAAGTAAACTTGAAACACTAGTTCAGGTCACGATGGGAAGGGGAGGTTGGACTTGCATCATTATACCTTCCTCCCTCTAGAATCGAGGCACATTTGACCCTCATTAACACTAGAACAAAGACCTTGAGACTGACAAAACAGACTCTTTGTAGCAATAAGACACCAACGCAACAGATAGCATGCCCTGAAAGAAATCAAAGTATTTTATCACAAAATATAATTTGACATATTTTGAAATGGCCCTGCAAAGCTGTCTCTTGTGGGGAAAATCTACATTCTGTAGAAAATCTTCTTTCCTTTCGAGGTCTTTCCCTTGATCCAGGAGAGAATTATCTAAGCATCTGGCACTTTCTTTCTTTCTTTCTTTCTTTTTTGAGACAGAGTCTCACTCTGTCGCCCAGGCTGGAGTGCAGTGGCGCAATCTCGGCTCACTGCAACCTCTGCCACCTCCTGGGCTCTAAATGATTCTCCTGCCTCAGCCTCCCTAGTAGCTGGAATTACAGGCGCTCACCACCATGCCCGGCTAATTTTGTATTTTTAGGAGAGATGGGGGTTTCACCTTGTTGGCCAAACTGGTCTTGAACTCCTGACCTCAGGTGATCCACAGCCCTGGCCTCCCAATTCTGGGATTACAGGCGTGAGCCACCACGCCTGGCCCATCTGGCACCTTTTTAAGTTTGATAAGAAACATTTACAATCTAGTCTGTCTGAAGCCTGCTACTTGGAGGCTTCATCCGCATGATAAATAACAACCTTAGTCTCCACAACCTCTTATCTTAACCTAGACACTTCCTTCTATTGAATCCACATCTTTAGATAAATTCTCAAACAATTGCCAACCAGAAAATCTTTGAATCCATCTGTGACCTGGAAGCCCCTACTTCAAGTTGTCTCCTTTCTGGACCAAACCAATGTACATCTTATATGTATTGATTGATGTCTTATGTCTCCCTAAAATGTGTAAAACCAAGCTGTAGCCCAACCACCTTGGGCACGTTCTCAGGATCTTCTAGAACTGTGCCAGAGGCCATTGGTCACTCACATTTGGCTCAAAATAAATCTCTTCAAATATTTTACAGAGTTTGACTCTTTTTGTCGACAACTTAATGCGGGGGTTAGGGACACCAATGCCCAACACAGTCAAAAATCTTCATATAACTTTTGACTCCCTAAAAACTACCAATAGCCTACTGTTGACCAGAAGTTTTACCAATAACATAAACAGTCTAGTCATACATATTTGTATGCTATATTTATTATATACTATATTCTTATAATAAAATGAGCTAGCAAAAAGGAAATATTAAGAAAATAATAAAGAAAAGAAAATACATTTACAGTACTGTACTGTGTTTATCGATACTGTAAGTTTACATGACCTGGTTTACAAGACAAACCATGTGTCTAAAATCATGAAGAACCGCAGCTGCAGACCCACTCTATGGTACATATCAAAGAATTCAACTTTTTCCTGTAATGCCAGGACTTTTCTCTGCTCCTTAGGAGCACTTCAGCATCACTAGTGGCACTTTGTGTGGATCCCATGGTGTTATTCAAGGTTTACAACATAACGCTAAACATGAAAAATATACGAGAAACATAAGAGATCACTTTTTACTGCAATACACAATTTATGATGATTAGCATCAGGAGGCATTTTACGCACATACTTGCAACACTCGGACTTACCACAGCAGCAACAGAAGGTGGCTATGAAGTTATTACAGCAATGTCCTATGTATTATAGTTATTCAATGCAGTTGTGACTCAATACTGTATCTTTATGTTTGTTTACATGTCTCTCCACTGTGAAGGGCATTATGTATGGTCTATAAGTGCATAACTTTTCATAAGTTTTAATTTTTTATAACAGATTTGTGTATATTTTATGGTAGTGAATTATAAAAACAGACTAGTATCTACATATGTTTTATGAGTTCATGACATACCTAACTTTAACAAAGTTTTCAGTATTTCTAGGCTATATGATTCGTCTGTGGGTTTTTGCAAACTGTCATATATCTCAAAAAAATTTCAAATATATTTATTTTAAAAAATCAAACCATAAGAGGACCCATGCAATTCAAATCTGTGTTGTTCAAAAGTAAACTGTAATTACAAAAAGGAGAAAATAATTTTCTGAAACTGACTTTAACAAAAATAAAGATAAAATATTTTAATTTTCCTAAAGAAAAATAATTCCCCAATATGACTAAACAATGTTAACTAATAAAAACAGTCCTTTGTGGATTCTTTTTCAAGTACTCCTTAGAGGCAAGATAAAAACATTATTTGTTGAAACCATTTTGGGGGTAATTATGCTTAGTGAAATTCAATTAGCCAATACATTAATAGTACCATTTGCACTTAACATAGAATTATGGAATGGGATCTTCACTCTTTGACTAAGAAATATAAGTCTCGCGAATTAGGCAAGAAATATTGTAGCTTAGTTTTTCATCATTATATACTCATGAACTTTCCAACTCACTTCCTGAAAAACTGGCCACATAGCTACAATTATTTGTCACCCCCTTGGTAACTCCATGGGAATACTTTGCTGAAAGCCTGGCATGGTCCCCGTGCTTCCAACGCACAACTTCCTGATATTCTGTGCTTGCCAATTCGTAAGTAAGGGTGAAAAAGTTGAAACTCCTTGTCTTTTGTATGAACCAGTAGTTGGAAAAGTGTGTCACACCTCATGCAGGAAGTTATAGACCTAAGTAGGGTTTATTGAAGCGTCCTATAAATCTCCCTAGAATATAGAAATTCACTTCAAGGGAGGAGAGGAATAACCAAGTGATCTGCCATTTTCATTGTTGGAAAAAAAATATCAGTATTCATTTAAAAGAGGTCTACTTTATGAGTCAAGCCTTGGTCCAAAAGGAAACCTCCATATACATGCAATGTAAGTAGGGATTGGTCAATACTTTCTCGGTGAATTCTCAAGTACAAGAGAATATTTTAACTGCAACACTGCCTCATTGGTGTCAATACCCAGCTATCTTTCAGCGGGGCTACTGGTTGTTGGAGCAGGTACAGGACTTCCAAAATCCAAGTGAAGAAAAAGTATAGTGAGTCATATTCTTTTTTGTTTAAAAAAATAAAAATTAACACACTACTTTTCTTATAATACTAGTAACACCTGCCCAATAAGGAAAGATTGGAAGTCTACAAAATTAATAGAGACAAATTAATCTGTCATTTCTTCATTGTGAGATAATCACTATGGGATCCACTCTCCAATGCAACTGATTTTTAAAAAATTAAAGCCTCTGAAGAGCCTCTTAAGGACAAACAGCAATAATGAGACATCTGTTCAAGAAAATCTCTGAAAATTGGCAAGAAAAGCAAGAGTCTGTGGTGTTTGAACCAAGACTATACCCTCCCTCTCTCCTGCATGCCAGCTCAGTGAGGTCAGTGAGGCATAGACTCCACTCTAGACTGCTACAGCCCAGAGCACAGGCCTCCCTCTCCCCACAGCTCCATATGAGAGGGCTTTATTTCTAGGAAGGGCAGGAATTCGGAATCCCTCATCCTGCCCACAGCTACCTGTTGCTGAGACTATGTCCCAGACAAGTGCAGTTGAGAAGTGAGAGGACCCTTCTTCTGCCCAACTCCCAGTTGTGGAATGGAGAATCTGCCTTGGGTGTGGTATGCTAAGACTACTGGGGCCCTAATAACCCTTTACCTGGCTCATGAGGGAATGGCTCCACTGCAGGAGAAGCAAGCCAATAGGACAGCAGGCTGCTGGCCACACCCCCTACTCAGTGCTCAGCTCCTAGAATTGAGGAGTCACTCAGAGAGAAGCTTGCCACAGTTACACCCAGCTCCAGAGCCCTGACTTAGAGAGTTTGCCTGGGAGGAAAGGCAATATATTAGGAATATATTTTAGGAACATAGAATATATTTTATATCTATTCTATATAAAATAGAATAGATATCCTAATGTATTCCCAAAGGAAGTGACTCCATTTGGAATAGAGCATGGAGAAGTTTAAACCTAAGGGCACTCTCAATTATAGTAGAGGTTGTGGTGAAAAGCAGTTGGGAGATTTGTGCATCTAATGCAGGTACAGCTTAGACTGTAGGCTGCTTAGTTTACAGAAGAGAACTAGAGAATAAAATAGGTGGGAAGAGCCCTCCCAAAGTAAAACAAATATCAAACACTGACCTCAGAAACTATTTCATAGAAGGACTCACTATTTTATTGGATTACTTTGTAGAGGAATTTTGCCCCAGGGCATTATTGAAAAGAGTGGTAATTAATGGACTTCAGTGGCTGGGTTGGTGAGGGAAAGAATGAAAAAGAGTCCTACAGGACCACTGTCATTCCAGGGTAACCCTGGATATACTCAAAGCTGGGCCTCCTTGAGGTAACATCAAAAGCTTAACACTGTGGGATGAGGAGATGAAGATAGACTTTATTAAAATAATCCAGACAATCATTGTTAATCACATAAACAAACAAGCAAATAAGAATAACAAGCACAATGTGGGGGTAGTACCCAGAGTTTCTATAATATAGTTCCTAAAATGTTCATTTTTCAACAAAAATCATGAGCTACGCAAAGAAACAAAAAAGTGTGACCAATACACCAGAAAAATAGAAGGCAGAAGAAATTGCTTGAGAAAACAAATTTAACACAAAAATATTTAAAGTAGCTACTATACATATGTTTAAATATATTCAGTATTTTCATCAGGATTCTCCAGAGAAACAGAGACAAAAAGATATGTATGATGATTGACTCGCTCAATTATGGATGCCAAGAAGTGCCACAATATGCCATCTGCAAGTAGGAGACCCAGGAAAGCAGGTGGTGTAATTCGGTGAGAGTCAGAAGGGTTGAGGATCAAGGGAGCCAATGGTACAACTCCCAGTCTGAGGCCAAAGGCCTGAGAACCAGGACATGGGCTAGAGTCATGGCAGGAGGAGGGGAAGAAGGACCTCTGGTGTCCAGGGGTAGAAGTAGATGTCCCAGCTCAAAGAGAAAGAGAATTCACCCTTCCTCCACCTTTTTGTTCTATTTGGGTCCTCAATGGACTGAATGATGCCCACCCATATTAGTGAGGGATATCTTCTTTATTCAGTCTTCTGATTTAAATACTAAAATATTCTGGAAACACCCTCACAGTCACACTCAGAAACAATGCTTTACCAGCTATCTGGGCATCTCTCAGCCAACCCAAGTTGACACATAACATTATCCATTACATTCATAGACCTAAAGGAAAGGATGGCTAAAGAAGTGAAGGAAGGTGTGATGGCAATGTTTCATCAGAGAGAATAACAATAAGAGGAGGTGCAGCTGGGCTTCCTGGGTCGAGTAGGGGCTCAGAAAGCTGTGAAACTCACTCATTTCCTGCATCAGGACTTACTTCAGTCCTGGATGAATAACACTGAAGCTATATACTTACAATATTCCTAACACCCGGATTTGTATATGTGTTTTCTTCCCCAAGAAAGCTATAAACAGCGAAAATTTTGCTGTAAGTTTCCCTGTGTCTTTCTCTCCCTCTCTCCCTTCCCCCTCCCCAAAACTAAAGATGAAAGGAATGTTAACTGTCCGTTTTTCTGTGACCAGCAAACCTTATCTAACTTCCCAATTCCAGTTCCTTGTGAACATACTTTATAAAGTCCTGGTAAGATCCTGTCTCTTTTGCTATGCCTCTACAAGGTCATAAAGTAAATAAAAACTAGGTTGCAATTCCAGTTTTCCTCAAGATCTAAGACATGGAACAAAATAATTTACTGCCTTTGTTTCTCACTCTGGTAACATCTTCCCACCGCATGTATTTCCCCCCTTAAAGAGTTTAAAAGGCAATTACCCAAAACCAGCAGTGGCTACCCGTTCGAGACCCCTTCCACACTGTGGAAGCTTTGTACTTTCACTCTGCTCAATAAAGCCTACAGCTTTTTCTCTCTATTGGTCCGTGTCTCTATCACTCGCGGCAGGCAGCCGCCACACCAATTCTTTGGCGTGGCTAAGGCAAGAACCTTTGGCATTACAACAACAGCGATAGTAGTTGTCTTAGTCCATTCAGCTGCTATAACAAAATGCCTTAGACTAGGTAATTTATAAACAACAGAAATGTATTCCTCTCAGTTCTGGAGGCTAGGAAATCCAAGATCGAAGAACAAACAGATTCAGTGTTTGGCAAGGGCTTACTGTCTGTTTCCCAGACAGTGCCTTCCACCTGTGTTTTCCTTTTTTTTTATTATTATTATACTTTAAGTTTTAGGGTACATGTGCACAATGTGCAGGTTAGTTACATATGTATACATATGCCGTGTTGGTGTGCTGCACCCAGTAACTCGTCATTTAACATTAGGTATATCTCCAAATGCTATCCCTCCCCCCTCACCCCACCCCACAACAGTCCCCTGTGTGTGATGTTCCCCTTCCTGTGTCCATGTGTTCTCATTGTTCAATTCCCACCTATGAGTGACAACATGCGGTGTTTGGTTTTTTGTGCTTGCGATAGTTTGCTGAGAGTGATGGTTTCCAGCTTCATCCATGTCCCTACAAAGGGCATGAACTCATCATTTTTCTGTTTTCATACAGTGGAAGTGGTGAATAAGCTCCCTCAGCTTCTTTTACAAGAGTACTAATTCCATTAATGAGGACTCTACCCTCATAACCTAATCACCTCCCAAAGACCCCACCTCTTAATACCACACACTAGAAAATGGGAATTGAGCTTCAAAATATAAATCTGGGGGCAGGGGACACAAATATTTAGACAATAGTATAATAAAAAGGAACCAAATAGAAATTATGGAGTTGAAAAGTACAATAATTGAAATAAAAATTCACTAGAGAGGCTTAACCATAGGTTTGTCCTAGCAGAAGAAAGAAATGTAGAATAAAGTTTAAACTATATTTCAAAAAAAGATTTTGGTAGGTCTATGCCATGCTTCTTCCTCATCATCTCTGCCTTTTAAAATCCAAAGACATTTTCAAAGTATATTTAATTGTAACATTTCCCTTGAAAGTACGCATTATTCTCCAAATGTACATTATTTTTTTTCTAAGAAACCACCTACTACTTAACATTATAAATAGGTGCTTCTTTTGTGTTCCATTAGACCATAAGCCCCTTAAATTTAAGCCTGTTTTCCACAAGTCTGCATCTCCCACCATGCCTAGAAAATGGCCTTGATTCAAAAAATATTTCTTGTGTCTTTAAACAAATTGAGTTGAATTCAACACAGAGGGGCGTTTCTCTACAACTCTACACTGACCCTACATTCTCTAGTGTTTTCATATTACACTTACCTCCAACACATTTATTTGTTCCTGGTCTCGCTCTTCTTCAGTCCTAAGTTACAACTAACAAATGAATTATATAAAAACAATAACTGGCCAGGCGTGGTGGCTCACAACTGTAATCCCAGTACTTTGGAAGGCCGAGGTGGGTGGATCATAATGTCAGGAGATTGAGACCATCCTGGCTAACACAGTGAAACCCTGTCTTTACTAAACATACAAAAAATTAGCCAGGCATGGTGGCGGGCGCCTGTAGTCCCAGCTACTCGGGAGGCTGAGGCAGGATAATGGCATGAACCTGGGAGGTGGAGCTTGCAGTGAGCCGAGATCGCGCCACTGCACTCCAGCCTGGGTGACAGAGCAAGACTCCATCTCAAAAAACAAACAAACGAACAAACAAAAATAACCACTGCTTCCTATATTACCTCATTCTCATGTGTGCTTTTTCAGGTACAAATTTCTAGAGATTAATTCAAACACAAGGAATTGCATCTGGAAATTTAGAAGCTGGAATTCTCTAATGATAGAGACTGCCTCTTAATTCTTGTGTGGCCAAGACTAGCATTGTCTTCAGTCAAGATGCAAATGTATACTTCCTCGCCCATTTGTCTATAAGCTCAATCACATGTAGATAAGTCAACTTATCACGTAATATAAATGGTTGCAAAAGGAGGGTACCAGGGCTTTGGAATTAGGCAGAACTTAGTTTAAATTTTACTCTGCTGTATCCTGGATGTCTGACTTTGGGCAGTTTTAATGGTCTCTCTGAATCTCAACATTTTAACCTACACAATATGTTAAGCAAGTCGTACATCAACAAATAATTGAACAACATTAAAATTAAAGTTAGGTATGCTGTCTATAAATCTAACAAGTTATAGAGGTCTGTTACATCAGGGTTTTACACTGAACTAAATGAAATTGATCAAGATTCTTTTTGATCAAAAACAGATGATTGTTGGTAATTTTAGGTAGTTTAATTTAATTTAACACTTCATTAAAAGACATTAGAGACTGGGCATGGTGGCTTATGCCTGTAATCCCAGCACTTCGGGAGGCCAAGGCGGTGGATCACTTGAGGCCAGGAGTTCAAGACCAGCCTGGCCAACATAGTGAAACCTTGTCTCTACTAAAATTACAAAAATTAGCCGGGCATGATGGTGTGAGCCTGTAATCCCAGCTACTCAGGTGGGTGAGACACAAGACTCGCTGGAACCTGGGAGTCAGAGGTTTCAGTGAGCCAAGATTGTGCCACTATGCTCCAGCCTCCAGAGAGTGTGAGATTCTGTCAAAAAAAAAAAAAAAAAGACATTAGAGATACCTATGCAAATGGAAAGATATACTATATTCATAAATAAAATATCCAAAATATAAACACAATTTTTCTCTGAGTTAATCTATAGAACCAATGCAGTTCTACTCAAAATCCCAACATAATATTGTGGAATCACTATGCTGATTATAAATAATTATAGAAGAGCAATTGTTTAAGACTAGCCTACAAGTTAGTTACACATGCAAATAAACAGTTTGGTTTCTTTACTAGTTATACATAGAAAGAAACAGGTTGGTAAGATTTTGCCCGGCTAGTCCTCAATCTATCATCAGACTTAAGTATAAATAGGAGAGTTGTATTGATGCATGGATAAACCTATAGACAAACGAACAAAAACAGTGGGCCCAGAACCAACTCACTCATATGTAAAATCATATGTATGTTGGAGTTGGCATTGGAATTTACTTATGAAATAGTGCAGTAAGTCATCCTGAGAGAATTTGTTATCCAGACGGAAAACTCAACATTGGATTCATACAACATAGTATCCACAAAAATCAATTCAATTCAGGCTAATCAAATGTGAACAGGAACCACAGTGAACTATCACCTTATCCCAGTTGGAATGCCTACTATCAAAAAGGCAAAAACAAAAAAATGCTGGTAAGGAGGAGGGTAAAAGGGAACTTTTATACACCATTAGTAGGAATGTAAATTAGTACAGCCATTATGGAAAACTGTATGGAGGTTTCTCAAAAAACTAAAAATAGAGCTATCATACCATCTAGCAATCCCATTACTGAATATTTAGCCAAAGGAAAAGTAATTTTTAAATTTTTAAAATAGAAAATTTAGAAGATTATTTTATGAACTGAAGTAGGGAAATATTTCTTAACAGGGATGAAATAGCAAAAAAAATTTAAAATTTTTAATAAATATACTTTAATACATATTTTAAAAAACTTAATCAAAATACACTTTAAAAACATGACACAAATTGGAAGAAGTTATTTTTAATACATATAATATAGGAAAATTAAGTTGTAAAAACTAAAATTTAAGTCTTATAAGCTTAAATCTATCTATACATATGACATTTTTATATTTATAAAAATAATAAGAAATTCAGTGCCACTCCAGGGATGACAGCTAGTTTGTGAAAAGGAAGCATAGCAGGTCAATACATAATGTGAAAAGATTTCCACCCTTATTAGTAATCAGATAAACACATTTCAAATCACTAGGAAGTATCATTTAATTCTCAAGAGATGGGCAAAATGAAGTCTGACAATAATTTATTGGCAAGAAAATTCATTAGTGTGAACAATTAAACACTTCTAGTGGGGGTATAAATTCATACAACTAGTTATGGTAAAGTTGTAAACACAAATATAGTGCATAGAACTTCTAGTCTTAGACACTGGTTCTAAAGAAACATTAGGTATGTGGACAAGGAAGCATGCACAGGGATGTTAACAGAGGTGTAGGTCATAATAGCAAACAGAAAGAAAAGAAATAACCAGAAGTCTATCATGGAAAGGTTCTCAGAAGCAAAATTCCTGCACCCTTGGTTATGGATCCACAGAGGCTTCATGTGAAGAAGGCATTCAGATCAAATGCTCAAAGTGGAGTAAGATATCATTGTCTTTCACAGAATCACTTAATAGACTGCAGCAGATCTCCCTTGACCAACCCCCCAAAACCAGTCAAATTCTTCATTTTCCCCAAAGTGAGGACTCCCACATTAAGAAGCCCTCAGTACTGAGATAACTAGCAGATAAACTCATCCATTGCAAGGGTGGTCTTGATGCAGGGCCAGCAAGCCTCAAAACTGGGGCTTCACCCGAGAGTGTTCTTGGCTTCACTCGGGAAAGATTCCAAGGATGAGACAGTGGTGTTAGACAGCAACTTTTATTGAACCAAGCTACTCCTTGCAGAGCAGGGTTACCCCATAGGCAGTGTGCCCAGAATAGTAGCTCAGAGGCAGTTCTGCAGTCATATTTATACTCACTTTTAATTATATGCAAATTAAGAGGTGGACTATGCAGAAATTTCTAGAAATACGGTAGAAATTTCTGCATAATCCACCCCTTAATTTATAGATGGTAACTCCAATTACCACTTCAATGACCCCAGTGGGTCATTATTGCCATAGAAAGAAGTGGTAACCTCTGGGTGTTGCCATAGCAATGGTAAACTGACATGGCACACTGGTAGGCATGTCTTATGGAGAGGTGCTTCTGCCCCATCCCTGTTTTAGTTAATTCTCAATTTGATCTGATGTCCGAGCCTCACCTACTACTTCAGTCTTATGACCCCCAGACTCCCCAGTTGATAAGAAGATGCATGAGTAAAGGAGGAAATTGAGAGATGCTTCCTTTCGGTGTCCAAGTGTCAAAAAGGATTCCTAGTCTTAATTAAGAAATCTACTGAAAGAAAGTGATTACAGAATTTACAAGTTGACTTGGTGATGCCTCGAAAAGAGTGAGAAAGCTACAACAAACTACAAGACAGAAAAACCACGAGAGCTAAAAATGAGCATTTTGTGGTACCAATCTTGCTGTAAAAGTCTTAATATTTTGTGTATCTTTCTCAGCACTAGACTAGAACATATATGCCAATGGGTAGTGATACACAACTGTCACTGGTAAAGTTGCATACCAATTCACAATCCTATTCTCATACCCAAGTTACTACTACACATTGCTCTTGAGTCAGTAGCTGCATTTGCCACCCTGGCTCAAAATATCAGCCATCACATTTAGTAAATTCTAACATACAAAGCAAATTAGCACTGATTTATCAGATTTACCATTGGGTGGGGTGAGGAGGAGGAGGATGCTGGCTGACTTAGCCCAGTCCCTTAAGAGCTCTGTTCCAGAGAATATACTTGTGCTCTTCCTCCATGGCCCAGCATATGCACAGGGCTCCAGTCATTTGCCTCCAGCAGGGGGCTCTTCCACACTCATTCACAGTCAGCTGGATTCCAATCTCTGCTCAAGTGTGAGCAATGTAGATCCAGCCCCCTGGTTAATGTATTCATCACTGTTCAAGCCCAGTCTCTTTCAGATGTTGAGACAGTGGCCCTAACTCTGTGTGGCTGGCCCAGAGCTGTGCACCTACCCTCACTTTCATACCACATTAATTTCAGATCCTTATTGTCATGGGTTTCCCAACTACTTTTTTTTCTTCAGGGGAAACCTCCACAATGTAGTTTCTAATATGTTGAATTCATACTCCAGAAAGTGTCCTGTAGAATAATGTCTTACTGAAAACGGCCATCACAGCCAGGAGTCCTTAACTATGTTCTTTGATACCCTTAGTTACAGTTTGTTGTCATGTTCTTCACATCTTGTGTGAAGATTGTTCAAGTATTGGCCAAAGGATATGTCACTATCTAAAATTCACATTGAGAACCTCAGAGTAACTAATAATAAGTGTGATGCTTGTAGGAAAAGAAGAGCTGTTTGGTCACAGGATGTGGTTATTAGAATAGGGTTGTGGTTGAAGGGGAAGGATGATGACATAAATCTTTGCATAAACCACATTAACATGAAACCTTGATATTATCATTACATACTTTTCTTTTTATCTAATAAGGCAAAGTAGAGAAGTCA
Source organism: Homo sapiens (assembly GCF_000001405.40). Classification (NCBI taxonomy): domain Eukaryota; kingdom Metazoa; phylum Chordata; class Mammalia; order Primates; family Hominidae; genus Homo; species Homo sapiens. Next base: position 32,623,300 of record NC_000006.12, read on the forward strand.
GCATCATTTGTCTCTGGCAGACTAAACTGTCAAGAAGGCATACCCAAGGTTGGTGGCAGGGGGAGCTTCATTAGCATTAGGAATAATAGAAAATATCAAAGAATAAGTTTTGTAAGAAATACATAGACTCAACAGAAAGTAAAAAATGTACTTTACTGAAAAGAAAACAAACTATAAATGAATCATGAAGTTGGATGGAGATATAATCTATAGATTTAAAACTGTTTTTATTCAAAATAATGAGATTTTAAAAAATAATAAATGTTCTGAAAGTCTAGGATAAGTATACTGTCCTGTATTGTTGATTTTTTAAAGAGTAGTAGAGTGTATTATATAGCATATTATATAAAGACATGGGCCTGAGTTAGGCAGTCTTTTTGTTTGTTGAGGTAAAATTCACATAACAAAATTAACCCATTTTAAGGTGCACAACTCAGTAGCATTTAGTGCATTCACCATGTTGTACAACCATCACTTCTATGTAGTTCCATAACATTTTCATCACCTCCAAAGGAGACCTTGTACCCATTAAACAGTCACTCCCCATTCCCACTTCCTCCTCAGCAACCACAATCTGATTTTAGACAGGCCTTGTTTTGCATCTATGGTAGTGCAATTTCTACATCAATCTATGCAGAAGGAGCTTAGGCCCAGAATTCTGCATGGTGGGTAGGAGCTGTGGCTTGTCTTGAAGCTGGATGTGCTTGCATAGCAAATGCTTTATCTTTATTTATGTGTGTTTGGGTTATTTAAAAAAGAATGTCTTATGAATATTATGGCTATATTGTTAATTTTCAAAGTGTTTTTGTTGTTTTACCTATGGAGAAAAGATTAATAGCAATTTGGTTTGTTTTACAAAGGGACTACCTTCTCCAATGTTTGTGAAAATAATAATTAAACTTTTGTTTGGCTTTGTTTTATGTATATATTTAAAGCTGTCTTGAATTTCTAATCTATCTGTTTTAAGTTTTTTTCTTTTTGTTTATCCTTATTGCTCTCTTAAAATGTTTTCTGTTTCTTCATATTATTTTACATATAACAGGGACTAAAAAATGGTCATGAGTTCAAAGAAATCAGATGAAATTTGGTAGGAATTTGGGGCTAATGTTTCAGGGTCTGATTCTTTCACTGGAGGACCATGAAGGCCATAGCGTGGAATTATTTTCTCTGGGCCCATTCAATTTCTTCTGAGAGGAAACTTCATGTATTTTGTTTGAGGGATAGATGCCAGCCACCTATGTGGCAGAGGTCAGAGTGGAAGAGAGGTGCGGTTAACTATTCCCCATATAATCTTTCAATTAATCTCTTGAAGTGTCCCCAAGGTTTTTTTTTTTTTTTTTTTGGATTTGTCTTTTTTTTTTATTATACTTTAAGTTTTAGGGTACATGTGCACATTGTGTAGGTTAGTTACATATGTATACATGTGCCATGCTGGTGCGCTGCACCCACTAACTCGTAAAAAATGTTTAAATAAATACTATTTCAAGTGTGTGGTGATGTTTTTATAGCCATTAAAGATAAGATTTTATGAAACTGTTTAGTGATGTAGAAGATTGTCTGATCTGTGGGAAATTATCCATAGATTAAGTAAAAAAAAAAGACTACAAAGACTAATATTACAATTCTGTAAATGTATCTATACTGTGATATTTATATTTATAAAAACAGGAAGGATCTTAATGACACTCAGAAGACTAGAATTAGATGATAGAAGAACGACTACATTTTTCTCCTCCCAACAGTCTTAATAGGGCCTCCAGGTCTAAGGTGAGTGGCCTTGAAAAATCTCTGTTCAGGGAAATTTGTATGGAACATTTTAATGTGGACATTGCATAGAAGTTCGCCTATACTGTCCCTGTAGTGTCTTTTTTCCCCTCCTGCAGGTCTTCATGGTCCTCTGGGATCATAACCACAAAGTTTCTCTTCTCAATTGCGCTCTCAGGTCTACTTTTCAATCCTTTTACATAACTTTACTCATCTCTACCTCTCCCTTCCCTCCAAAGAGTTCTTTTTTATCCGCTGTCCTCATGGAAGTAAAACAATGACCTCACCATACCTCACAAATAAACAGAAGAAGAAAGATGTGAATCCTCCCTAAATCTAATGTCTTAAACTTGAAACGTATGAACCCTGTGGTACTCAGTTGAGCAGAGATAGAAGAGCACTACGCAGGTTCACACTCTTTTCCCTGAAGAAGGAAAAACTCAGAAAAAAACTCCAGTCTGTAGTTTTAGAGCAACTTTTGTGTGGGACCCTCCCAGACTGGAAATTTCTGGTCCCCCTCTTCTGGGGTTGGGAGCAAGCCCTGACTCTTCGGTGCCATGTAGCCTGGTCTAAGCTCAGGGACATTTCTATGGTTTTTGACAAAGCTGCAAAATTTTATTAGCCATAACATGTTTGAACCTGTAAGATTTCTAAGTAAGTCTGACAGTAAAATTTCAGGTTCTTCAGCTGACCATGAAGACTTCAAAGTGCATTCACTATTTAAATCACCTGTAGATGAATTATGCTGGACTTGACCAAGAGTGTTTGTCTATGCATAAATCAAATGCAGTCGACTTTCCCTATCCAAGGTTCCACATCTGTGGATTCAACCTACCATGGATTTAAATCTACGGATATGGGTTATTACAGCTTTTTTTTTTTTTTTTTTGAGACGGAGTCTCACTCAGTCCCCCGGGCTGGAGTGCAGTGGCGTGATCTCGGCTCACTGCAAGCTCTGCCTCCTGGGTTCACGTCATTCTCCTGCCTCAACCTCCCAAGTAGCTGGGACTACAGGCGCCCACCACCATGCCTGGCTAATTTTTTGTATTTTTAGTAGAGATGGGGTTTCACCCTGTTAGTCAGGATGGTCTCAGTCTCGATCTCCTGACCTCGTGATCCGCCCGCCTCGGCCTCCCAAAGTGCTGGGATTACAGGCGTGAGCCACCGCGCCCGGCCTATTACAGCATTTTATAGAAGAGACTGAGCATCCACAGATTTTGATATCAGCTGGGGTCCTGGAACCAATCTCCTGGGGGTGCAGAGCCACAGTCAAGTATGAGAAACAAAGAGAAGAGGAAGGGCCCATTTCTGTCCATAAGGCATCTACAAAGGAGGGCTTAATCAGCTACATTAATGCAAATTTCCACCTCAGGGCTGGCCCTGGAGAAACACCTCTAGATGAAGACAGTTGGATGTGTAAGTGGCCAGATCCATGTGCAATTACTTCTTTAGAAGAATTAAGTTGTGGATTGACAAATGGTCCCTTGCCTGTGATAGGAGTTGTGGCATAAATTCCCTTCTGGGCTACAGTGTAGCACAATTGCCCTCTCTCTATGGTATCACTCTGAAGTTAGACTGCATGGGCTTGAATTCTGGCTCCATTTCTTACTATTGGTATAGCTTTAGTCAGGTATCCAACCCTTCCATGCTACAATTTCCTAATTGGTAAAATGGGGGAGGGAGATATAATAATATACCTACTTAATGGTATCATTCTAAAAGTTAAGTCAGTTAATACGAGTATGGTAAAAGCAATTAGAACATCTGGCATGTGGTAAGTACTCAATACATATCAGGCACTATTATCATCATTACTATCAATTATTATTATCATCATCATGACTGGGAGGTAACATGGCAATTTGTCGACATTTTCTTACCAGCCTGGCTGATAAACATCCAGTATATCTGAAGAGAAAGTTTCAGAGTCAAAAGCAAAAAGAGGCCTGGCTTTCTTTATATTGGGTGGGAATAAGGAGGGAAGGAATATGAGAGGAACAGGCAATTTGTTTTTGGTTTTATTTTAACTACCTCCAGGAAATTAACCTATTCTCACACATTTGGGGAAACAACCAAGTCCATTCCTTCACTTTAATTCTGATTTTTTTCCCACAATGTACACATCCCAGGATTTGTGGCTGACTTTAAAACTACAAACATCAGGTTCATACCAGTAAGCCAAACTCATAGATGATTTGGAGGTTCATTGTCAATTTAGTAAACAGTGCCTAGATCATAAGATGCAACTGGCACATCCTGAAACTCACTGGAGACTGCGTGGACTAAAGAAATGAAGCATCCTCTACCTTTTCACAAGTGCAAACACATTAAGATGCTGCTATTTACAGTTACTCTTTCCCTGTAGACCTGTGGGCATGAGCCATCCTTGGTTTAAGTCACTTGATAGTGACTCAAAGCACAAAGCACAGGGTAATGCCTGTTCTTTCCTTTTTTTTTTTTTCTTTTTTCTTTTTTCTTTTTTTTCCTTTTTGAGACAGAGTTTCGCTCTTGTTGCCCAGGCTGGAGCACAGTGGTGCGATCTTGGCTCACTGCAACCTCCACCTCCCAGGTTCAAGCAATTCTTCTGCTTCAGCCTCCCAAGTAGCTAGGATTACAGGCATGTGCCACTACACTCAGCTCATTTTGTACTTTTAGTAGAGATGGGGTTTCACCATGTTGGTCAGGCTGGTCTTGAACTCCTGACCTCAGGTGATCCACCCACCTTGGCCTCCCAAAGTGCTGGGATTACAGGCATGAGCCACCGCGCCCGGCCTACCTGTTCTTTAATCTGACTGTTGAACCCTTCACTTCTCTGGTTAGTTAATTTTCCAGACAGAGGGCGCTGAAAGGACACCCATGTATCATGTGTTATTTACAATTCCTCACCCCAATCCCCAATCTCCACAGCCTCACTCCCTTCTAGTCAGGTTTTGGTGACCATTGGCCCTTGCAGAAGCTGGGTTTAAGTGAAAGCAAAATAAGACATTAAATATTTTCCTCTTCAGCAAATCAGAACCCGGTGGGAAGCAGCATCATCTGTCTCTGGCAGACTAAGCCATGAAGACTGTAAGAAAAAATATTTAGTGATGGAGGAAGGAAAAAAGTATCCATTAGCAAGAGCAAAATAATATGAAAAGTATTTAACAAGGAATATAAAGAATCATCAAAGAAAATGTTATAAAACTTCTTTGAGACCACAAGAGATGAGTAAGTGGAGAAGAACATGGTGTTCACAGAGAGAGAAATATAGTAGATAGAATTAATACAGTTTCAAATTATGTACTTTCCTGCTGTTGGGTGGAGTGTTCTGTAAATGTAACTTAGTCAAGTTACTTGATAGCATTGTTCAGTTATTCTATATCCTTACTGACTTTCTGCTTATTTTTTCTATGAAATATTAAGAAATGAGTATAAAATCTCCAATGATAATTTTGGATTTTTCTATTTCTCCTTTCTTTTATGTCAACTCTGTCTCCTGTATTTTGAAGCTCTGTTTTTAGGTGCATATGCACTTAAGATTGTTATGTCTCTTTAGAGAAATAACCCTTTATCATTAAGTGATGTCTGTCTTTATCCCTATTAACATTTCTCGCTCCAATTTCTGCTTTGTCTAGTATTGACATAATCATTCTGACTTTCTTTTGATTTCTTTTGCATGGTATATATTTCCCTTCTTTTTACTTTTAATGAAGGTATGTCTTTATATTTAAAATGGGTTGCTGATAGGTTATAGTTCAATATTCCATTTTTATTCAATCTGTTCTTCTCTATCATTTAATTGGTCTGTCTGGACCAATTATATTTAATGTACTTATTAATATGGTTGAATTATTTTTACTAGATATTTCTATTAATTCTATGAAATATTTATTTTTATAATCATTTTTTGCTTTCTTTTGGATTAGTTGTTGCCCTAGAATTTTACATATATGAATAATCTATCTTCAAATCTACCTTAGATTAGCATACTCCAGATTTCTCTCTTATTCATTGTGCAATTGTTGTCATATAATTTCTTTCTCATATTCCATAAACACACAATACATTGCTACTATTTTTATTTTAGAGAGTCTGTTACCTTATAAAGCAATGATTCGTAAATGGGGGCAATTTTCCCCTCAAGTGACATTTGACAATGTCTGGAGATAGTTTTTGTTGTCACTAATGGGGAGGCTGCTACCGGCATGTATTGGGTAGAGGCCAGGGGTGCTGTTAAAAGTCCTGTAACACACATGACAGCCTCCCACAAAAAAAAAACATTATCCTCTGGCTCAAAATATTAATAGTTCTCAGGTTGAGAAACCTCATTTTAGAGCATTTTTTAAACTTTTGAGTTCAAGGGTACATGTTCAGGTCTGTTAGATAAACATGTAAATATGTGTCATAGGGGTTTGTTTTATAGATTATTTCATCACCCAGGTATTAAGCTTAGTAACCAATGGTAATTTTTCCTGATCCTCTCCCTCCTCCCATCCTCCACTCTTCAATAGGTCCTAGTGTGTGTGGTTCCCCTCTATGTGTCCATGTATGTGTTATTATAATTTCGCTCCCACTCATAAGTGAGAACATGCGGTATTTGGTTTTCTGTTCCTGTATTAGTCTGCTAAGGATAGTGGTCTCTAGTTCCATCCATGTCCCTGCAAAGAACATGATCTCATTCTTTTTTCTTTTTTTTGAGACAGAGTCTCTCTCTGTCGCCCAGGCTGGAGTGCAGTGGCACGATCTCGGCTCACTGCAAGCTCCGCCTCCTGGGTTCACACCATTCTCCTGCCTCAGTCTCCCGAGTAGCCATCATGCCTGGCTAATGTTTTGTATTTTTAGTAGAGACAGGGTTTCACCGTGTTAGCCAGGATGGTCTTGATCTCCTGACCTCATAATCTGCCCGCCTCGGCCTCCCAAAGTGCTGCGATTACAGGCGTGAGCCACCGTGCCGGCCGATCTCATTCTTTTTAATGGCTGCGTAGTATTCCATGGTGTATATGTACCAAATTTTCTTTATCCAGTCTATCATTGATGGGTATTTAGGTTGATTCCATGTCTTTGCTATTGTGAATAGTGCTACAATGAGCATACGTGTACACGTATCTTTATAATAGAACAATTTACATTCCTTTGGGTATATAGCCAGTAATTGGATTGCTGGGTCAAATGACATGTCTGCCTTTGGGTCTTTGAGGTATTGCCACACTGTCTTCCACAATGGTTGAACTAATTTACACTCCCGCCAACAGTGTATAAACGTTCCTTTTTCTCCACAACCTCATCAGCATCTGTTAGTTTTTGACTTTTTAATAATAGCCATTCTGACTGGTGTGGGATGGTCATTGTGGTCTTGATTTGCATTTCTCTAATGATCAGTGATGTTGAGCTGTTTTTCATATGACTGTTGGCTACATGTATGTCTTCTTTTGAGAAGTGTCCGTTCATGCCCTTTGCCCACTTTTTTATGGAGTTGTTCGTTTTTTTCTTGTACATTTGTTTAAGTTTCTTATAGATGCTGGATATCAGACCTTTGTTGGATGCATAGTTTACAAAACTTTTCTCCCATTCTGTATGTTGTCTGTCCACTCTGCTGATAGTTTCTTTTGCTGTGCAGAAGCTCTTTAGTTTAATTAGATCTCATTTGTCAATTTTTGCTTTTGTTGCAATTACTTTTGCCGATGCCTATGTCCTGAGTAGTATTGCCTAAGTTGTCTTCCAGGGTTTTTATAGTTTTGCATTTTACATTTAAGTCTTTAATCCATCTTAAGTTAATTTTTGTATATGGTGTAAGGAAGAGTTCCAGTTTCAACCTTCTGCATATGGCTAGCCAGTTCTCCCAGCACCATTTATTGAATAGGAAATCCTTTCCCCATTGCTTGTTTTCCTCAGGCTTGTTGAAGATCAGATAGTTGTAGGTATGAGGTCTTATTTCTGGTGGGTTCTCTATTCTGCTCCATTGCTGTATGTGTCTGTTCTTGTACCAGTACCATGCTGTTCTGGTTACTGTAGCCCTGTAGTGTAGTTTGAAGTTGGGTAGTGTGATGCCTCCAGCTTTGTTCTTTTTGGTTAGGATTGCCTTGACTGTTCAGGCTCTATCTAGTTCTGTGAAGAATCTCAATGGTATTTTTTAATAGGAATAGCATTGAATCTATAAATTGCTTTGGGCAGCACTTGCTTTTAAAGCTTTTATTAAAAATTATTTGTCATTTGTTTAATGATGAATGCTAAGGAAAGGTATCTGTATAGCCGGGTGGGGTGGTGTGCCCCTGTAGTCCCAGCTACTTGGAAGACGGAGGTGGGGCCTGGGAGTTTGAGGCCAGCCTGAGCAACACAGTGAGACCCCATCTCTAAAATTAAGTAAGTAAATTAAAAGATCTATACAAAGAATGTTTACAATATGTACATTAGGACTGGGGAGTTCCTGGGAGGAGAATCAATCACTGCTGGACATGAGGAATATCAGTCTCCAGACAGTCAGCTCTGTAAACTGATTCAGATGATTAAGAATTTCAGTCCAAGTCAACAAGTATTTATTGATTACATACCATAGTCTCTGCAAAGTCTTCATGAAATAACCTCTTAGGTTTAGCTGTAGAATACTCTGGAGCTATGGAGAAGGTAGATCTGGACATGGAGGTAATTTTGCATGTTTTTCAGTAGAATAGCATTACAAAGCAATCTTTCCTCATATTATTATTATTATTATTATTATTATTATTATTATTTTGAGACGAAGTCTCACTCTGTCACCCAGGCTGGAGTGCAGTGGCACGATTTCGGCTCACTGCAAGCTCTGTCTCCCAGGTTTACACCATTCTCCTGCCTCAGCCTCTTGAGTAGCTGGGACTACAGGCGCCCGCCATCACCCCTGGCTAATTTTGTTTTTGTATTTTTAGTAGAGATGGGGTTTCACTGTGTTAGCGAGGATGGTCTTGATCTCCTGACCTCGTGATCCGCCTGCTTCTGCCTCCCAAAGTGCTGGGATTACAGTCGTGAGCCACCGCGCCTGGCCTCCTCATATTATTTTTTATTGTGCAGTTTATTCAAGTGAGTTATTTAAAACAACTAGTTCACACACATAGGAGTTGTTGCTGATAAAGAATTGGTGGAAATGATATTAAATAACAATTGTTTTTATAAGTTTCCTCTGCTTCATTAATTTTATGATTGTGAGAGGCCATGTGACTGGATATCAGCATACAGGACTTTGTATCAGAATATGAGCTTGGCAGTCATAAGAGATTACTTACAATTCTTCACAATTCTGTATTTTCATTTGTAAAACTCCATAAAGTTTTTTATAAGAATAAATTGTAGCACCTTATTCATACTGGAATTCAACAGTTCTTAGTTCAAGTCTCCCTTGAGAAAGCTTCACTGTGTTTTTAGTGCAGATTAGTAAAGATAAGATCTTGACTGGTAGGTGAGTGGGTGGAATTTATTTCAAATATGGGGGCTCTCCAATCCTTGCACACCAAATTCATTTACATATTGTCAAAAGCCAGAGGATATTTATGATAAGTTGCAAAAATAGCTACAAATTCTTTGTAGCTCATTCTGTCAAGAAATGCAATCTATTAATCCACCTCTTGATGTGAGCTAGTACTATGACTTGCTTTGAATAACAGAATGTAATGGAAGTGATGTTGTGAGTTTTAAGTTTCAGCTCAAGACACCTACTGTTTCTATCTTGCACAGGAGAGCTTTCCAGCACCTGTGATAAGCCTCAGCCCGCCTGCCGGATAATGAGCCCACATGGATTGAGAGAGGCCTCCTATCCCTGCCAAACCTATTGATGCTACAGAGATGTGAGGGAGCCCACCTGAGAAAAGCTGAACCTGCCCAGTACATAAAAACCACTCAGGTGGGTTGAGCACAATTTCCTGTCTTACAGAATCATGAGGAGACACTAAACAATTATTTGAAGTCATTAAGTTTTGGAGTACTTTGTTACATAAAAAAATCTGACAGATACAAGAGTCTTCAAAAAAATTTTGTTTTTCAGCAATGTCTTAGTGCTTCTGTGGCTCACAGGCTCCCACATGCCTGGAGTGCTACAGGGAGAAGGTTAAATGAATGAGGAAAAATTGATAGGCTTTCCCAGCCCAAAGCATGATGTTATTATCATTATCATTATTAATATTTGTCTTTATATAGGAGCTACCACTTGGGAATAGTTGCTATGTGTCAGACACTGGATTGTATTTAACTTTATAATTGTACTTATCTATCATTTCATTTTACCATATTAACTATCATCTAATAATTTTCCTTCTGTTTTATAGAAAATAACCTTAAGGCTCAGGAGTTTTGAGTAGCTTGCCCAAGGTGATGCAGCTGATAAAATGAAAAGCAGCATGGAATACATATTTATCTTATTACAAAATCTGTATTCTTTTTACTTTGCTACTCTAGACTCTCTTATTATTGTGAAGCAGCTTTAACTACTGCAAGACAGAAGTCTTGGCCTTCAGAGTAAAACTTCACCAGTGCATAAAGTCAGACTAAAGCAATTTGAAAATATACAGTCTTAGAGAATGTTATAACTGTTTATTAGAACTAACATAAATTCTACCTAATTTCTTAGAGGGCTCTTAATGATGTCAATTATAATGGCACATCCCATTGTTATTTTAGTCATGGAATCAATGGCATGTCAATAAGTGCTTTCTGAGAAAATTGTTGGACAAAGTACTATTTTGAACTCCAAATTTTATTCCCACTATTAATTTATGAAGAGGGCCTTTTCTCTTTCTACTAGACAAAGGTAACAAATTAGCTCTTGTTAAAATGGTATGCTGTTCTTCTGAGTCTCATTTACTTATTACTTTACCTTACATTAAAATTATGACCTGAAGACATAAGCAACTGGAACAACGTTCACTGTGTTATGGCCGGATGAAGCAGGAAGAGGAAAGAGACAAAACTAGGTTAAAGATAGAAATGGCATCTATTGGGCCAGTCGTGGCCTCACGCCTGTAATTCCAGCACTTTGGGAGGCCAAGGCAGGCAGATCACGAGGTCAGGAGATCGAGACCATCCTGGTTAACACAGTGAAACCCCATCTCTACTAAAAATACAAAAAATTAGCCGGGCGTGGTGGCAGGTGCCTGTAGTCCCAGCTACTTGCAGTGAGCCGAGATTACGCCACTGCACTCCAGCCTGGGCGACAGAGCAAGACTGTCTCAAAAAAAGAAAAAAAGAAATGGCGTCTATTATCTCTTCAATGACTTTGCCTTGCTTGGACTTTCCCTTCACCCCACAGGATGTGAGGTCTGAAACGGCACCCTCAACTTCCCATCCAAGATACAATTCTAATCCTACATTTAACACCCTAACTTCTTAACTGGAGTTGAGTTATTTAAACTGTAATTTTAATAGGTGAAATTCTGGACTACCATCCCAAAACATTTTGCTCATTTGCCAAAGTCCTAAGGAATTTCCATGAGATACAAAGCAGGTAAGTCTGGATACAGGAAAAAAGATAAAAACATGTTATTTGCTACACAGCCAGAAGGGTATTGAGTGGCAAAGGGAGCACATCTCAAAGGGGACCTCAAAAACCCTCTTCATCCACAATGGCAGGAGCTAGAAAGAATAAAGCCACCTATAGGGTCAAATATCTCTCCTAATCATGTTAAGGCACTGGATTCTGAATTTGCACAGAAGGAGACTCTCACCCATCACTCCTCACAAGGACTCATGGCTTGCCCCATAGCATCACATCTGTGCTGCTTACCAGCTGCGTGACCCTGGGAAAAGTCCTTCAACTCTCTGGGCTTTAATGTCCTCCTCGGAAAATGAGAACGATATTAAAATATGACAAGTATATGTAAAGAGTCCAGGAATTTTTCATTCCAAGTGCAGTGTATGTACATTTCTCACAACTGCCTAATGAGGTACCTCAATGCCTCCAGCCAAAGACCAGCAGGAGCATACAAGCAATGAACAAGTCAGCTTTATTGTTTATTGCAATGATGGATAAAACTCACCATGAGAATCATGCAGCCCCTCAGTAAGAGATTGTTGGAACCAAAGAAGTAGAACCACGAGAATACATATATTAAGAGAATGATGCAAGGAATTAATTTTTGCATCTGTGGGGGTGGGCTAGGCAAGTCAGAGATCCTCTGGGAGGTAGTTATCAGGAAGGGCAGGCTGGAACTCTCAGCACAGGCTGACACACTGTCCAGAGTGGAATTTCTGTTTCCTCAGAGAAACCTCAGCTCTGCTCTTAAGGCTTTTCAACAGCTTAGATTAAGCTCACCCAGTTTTCCTAGGATAAATTCTTAAAGTCAACTGATTATGAACTTCAATGACATCTACAAAATATCTTCACAGCAACATCTAGATTATTAGTGTTTGACTGAATAACTGGGGATCACAGTCTAGCTGACACATAAAATTGACCATTAATCAGTTGTAAGGTTTGTGCTTGTTTTAGGTGATTTTGGGGAGGATTTAAGAAAGAGGGATTTTGCTTTTAATTGGATTCTGACAGAAAGTGGAGGGTTGGGGTGGCAATGTTATGATTGGGTAGCTTCATAAATCCTACCTAGAGGGACAGAAGACTATCCTGAGGCTACAGACGTGGTTGGTAAAGAAGCAGTAATCACTCCCAAGAGAGAGATGTGCCTGGTCATTTTTGTGGTTTGGACAATATTTATGTTTTGTCTGGGTTCAGACATGATGACTGAGCATTCAGGTGTTCTGTCTCAATCCACTGTGCTCACAGAGTACCTGTCTGATTCTGATGTTCTATGAAATCCTTTATCTCCAACAGGAGAACCAAAACCACCTGGGAGTGCCAGGCTAGCTGCTAGCAACCCCAAGCCTTTGTTAATTACATCCAGACAGCTCTCAGGTGTCAGGACATTTTTTTTTTTGTTTTACTTTTTTTTTTTACAGTCTCTGCCAGTAGGAGGTAAAACATAGTGCTGAGAATCTCAGAAGGCCATTTATCAAGGACAGAGTGATTCTAAATAGAAGCTCCATTAACTTACGGTTTCTATCACATACAGAAAATAGATGCATCTGAAAAAACATAATAAGTTTCCCTCTAAGGACTAACTTTAGCTCAATCTCTAGTCCCTTGCAAATATTTGGAATTTTAATGGGGTAGGATAACAAGTTTTAAAAGATCTGATAGTTTAAGAAAAGAAAACCATTTTTCTAAGGCAGTGCAATTCTTATTCTACCCTCAACTTTTGACTTCATATTCTTAATTAAAAAAAAAATTCTTAGAGTAATTGAGCCAGCCAAATTTTAAATGTAATCAATGTCCCTAAATTTCCTTTAAACGTACTCAAGAAGCACCAAAACACAGAACATAAGGATTACTCAATGCAAAGAAAAACTGTATAAAGTCTCATATAGTTACTATAGACAGCCCCATCTGACATTATAACCCCTTTTTATTGCCCTGGCCAAAACCACCTGGAGCTTTTGAGCACTTGAGAAGAACTTACCCAGCTGGATTTATACAAGTAGAAAAGGCAAAGGTATTGCTTGGGCTACCACCAGCAGAGATCCCTAGGTAGGTGGGGTCAGCTTAACATTTGGAGAATTCCATACGCACTGTGGAAGCTAAAAGAAAAACAGCTAACCCACATACAGAAGCCAGAGAAAGGGCAGGGGATGGGGACTGCCAGGGAGGGAAATCAACTCAGGGAAAAATTCCTGGAGGTTGTAAGCCAGAACATCCTGAAGGATGCCGTATAACTGATGACCTCATCTATCCACGAGGCTGCTCAGAAATGCCCACCCCTGGCCAGGCGCGGTGGCTCATGCCTGTAATCTGAGTACTTTGGGAGGCTGAGACGGGCAGATCATGAGGTCAGGAGTTCAAGACCAGCGTGGCCAACATAGTGAAACCCCGTCTCTACTAAAAATACAAAAATTAGCTGGGCGTGGTGGCAGGTGCCTGCAGTCCCAGCTACTTGGGAGGGTGAGGGAGGAGAATCGCTTGAATCCGGGAGGCAAAGGTTGCAGTGAGCCGAGACCTTGCCATTGTACCTCAGCCTGGGTGACAGAGTGAGACTACGTCTCAAAAAAAAAGAAAAAGAAAAGAAAAAGGAAAAAAAAGAAAAACACCCATCCCTCTTGCGACTGGCAGACATGCACACACCAGAGAAGATTCCAATTTAATGTCCTCCCTTTATTCATAGAACAATTCCTCAAGTCCACTCTGAGTAGAGGCTGCATCACAAGGGGATTGCCCCGTCTCCTTCCAGGGCTCTTAATACAAACTCTTCAACTAGTAACTGAGATGTCACCATAGGGGATTTTTCTAATTGGCCAAAACCTGACTTGGCAGGGTTTGGTTTGGGTGTCTTCAGATTTCCTTGTCTTGAGGTCCTCACAATTACTCTACAGCTCAGAACACCAACTGCTGAGGCTGCCTTGGGAAGAGGATGATCCTAAACAAAGCTCTGCTGCTGGGGGCCCTCGCTCTGACCACCGTGATGAGCCCCTGTGGAGGTGAAGACATTGTGGGTGAGTGCATGAGTGAGGGATGTTCTCTGGAGCTGAAAAACAGTAAATTGAAGGAAAAGAGATAAAGCGATTTGCAGAGAAACTGTAGAGATTTCCTAAGGGCCCTTTCAGTATTAAGACAATTAAAAATTATAGCTGTTCCTCCTTCAGGAAACCAGAGCCCCAACCTACTCTTTTTGTTATCTATGCTGTTGTGTTCACTAAGGACGCTATTCTGTTTATATTATATTCAGTGACTACGGCCTGGAGGTCTCTATGTCGTTCCATCATGATTGCCTCAAAAATTAGTGAGGTTTCCATCAGTGGATAATTTTTTATTATTAAAAATTTATGAAGTGTCATTCTCAAATTTCCCTGAACAACTTTTGAAGCTTTTCGGATGTCTCCGGTGGTAGATCTTGGGGTCATTCCATCAATTATGTACTCTATAGATATTTAAAATGTTGCCCGTTTCTTTCTCTCAGACTTACTCACATTTCCACATGGGAACTGGCACAGGTGGGGAGTGGGTAAAGGAGTCCAGCAGGCTGAATGCCTTCAACAATCATTTTACCACATGGTCCTCACTTACTCTCAGCTGCCTCATATGTGTCACCTCACAAGTAATCAAATAAAATGGGCATGTGGCTAAGCTTTGTAAATAGTGAAAACATGAATGTCAATTTTTTTTACATATTTCTATTACAGATATAGCTTCACATTTCTTTTCTTTAGCAAAATAAGGGATCATTTTATTTTAAAATTGAGAAGTAGAAAAAATTGGTAAAATAAATCATTTTATTCTCAAATTATCAACCCAAATTACCTGTTCTTCACCTCATCTAATAAAGTCCTATAAAAAGAAAAGTGGGCCAGACAAGGTGGCTCATGCCTGTAATCCCAGCACTTTGGGAGGCCGAGGCAGGAGGATCATTTGAGCCTGGGAGCTTGAGACCAGCCTGGGCAACATAGCAAGACCTCATCTCTACAAAAAAAGAAAAATAAAAATTAGCCAGGCATGGTGGTGTGTGCCTGTGGTGCCAGCTACTCAGAAGGCTGCCGTGGGAGGACCACTTGAGTCCATGAGGCGGAAGCTGCAGTGAGCCATGGTGGCACCACTACACTCCAGCCAGGGCAACAGAGAGAGGCGCTGTCTCAAAAAGAAAGAGGAAAGAAAGCGAGGAAGGAAGGAAGGAAGGAGAAGGAAGGAAGGAAGGAAAAGAAAAGAAAAGGGAAGGGAGGAAGGAAGGGAAAAAGAAAGACAGAAAGAAAGAGGAAGGAAGGAAGAAAGGAAGCACAGATTAATTATTTGGTCTCTTACTCTCCTCTGCCTTTGTCGTCCATCTCTTTCCACCTCTCTTCATGCATCCCTTTCTCCCTCTTCCCTTTCAGGATCCATCTCTGACTCCCTGCTCCTTTATAGAGATGGACAGTGGGTTTGTAAAACAAAAGTTGAAAAGTCAGATAGTTAAAAGGGGAAGTGAACTGGAAGGTACTTTAAACTTTCACAACTTTATTAACCGTGGCTGCTCCCATTATGATTTTGTTCGGCAGTGGAAGTTTCACCTGCTTCTCCAGAGCGCTTGGCGTCTTTGTTCCAAATTTCCTTTCTTCAACCTCACACCAGAGTGCCCTGGTCAGGCTTGGCTCATTCATTAGGCACAATGTGGGCAGTGCAGGGGACCCTCCATACTGTAAAGCCACATGAGAAGGTTTTAACTCCTTTTAAAATTAGAAAAATAATGGAATATTAGAGCCTAAGAAAATGTTTTAACTTTTAATTCAGCCTAGATTATATTGTCTTTATACCAATTCAGTCATAAAATATAATTTTCCATATTTTTGTGGAGGAAGAGGCCCATACAAGCAAGAATGCTCGGGGCTCACATGTCAGAATGCAGCCTTGGTCATGACTGATCCTGGCCTTCGTATGGTTCTGCTACCTGTGTGCCTGCCCGTCTTCCCCAAAATCTATGTGGTCCTCGAATATAGCAACTGTCATTCAATACACATGTTTGAGCACACAGTGAGCTAAGTTTTAAGGATTCAAAGATGAAAAGTCATGCTGTCTTCCCTGCAGAGGGTGCTCAGATTAGTGATGGAAACAGTATGGGGTGCAGGAAAGCAGAAGGCCATTGCTGAGCAGGGCAGTGGACCCAGCAGAGGCTGAAACAATACAAGTGACTTGGTTCCAGGTGGGCCAGCAGGGTGACGTCCTCTAGCAAAATTTGGCACCCAAGACAAGTACCAGAAGAAAAGAAAGACTGCATGTATTCCACATATATTCATGTTTGAACAAGGAGTCAAGATTTATGGCAAGGATAAGGAGGCTTTGTTGGTGACCTGTTAAGACCAACCAGGGCAGTCATGCTGGATAGGGAAGAAGGTGAGCTGGAAGAGGAACAGACAACTTGGACAGCCAGATGTTGAGACGGAGGGGTTGGAGGTCATAATGTGGTCAAAAACATGTTGATGAGAGGACTCAGCTACAAAGTTGTTAACTTAAGCAGAAACCTCAAGGATGGATTTTAGAATTTCTCCAGGAAGTCCTAAAAGATAATTCCATTTCAGGGAGAAAAACAACAGACCACTGCAAAGACCAGGGAACATGAAAGGATAATGTAGTTTGTCTTGCTTGGCAGATACTTTTGAAGGATGTTGGACTGTAAGGCTGTCGATATCCTCCTCAGAGAACTTACTACAGTACATTGTATCTGTTCCCTTACCTACCTGACTCTTCCACTATTCAGTTTGTTCCTTAATAGTAGACCATGCCTGATTGGTGTTTTACACATCTCCGGCTATGTCTGACACTTGTGGATGCTCAGAAAGTGGGGAAGGAAGGAAAGATACGATGGTAAAAGGCTTACACATGTCTTGACAAAAAAGTCCAGTTTGGCTCATTTGGCTGGAGTCGTACTGCATGGCTGCCATTCTGCTCTGGCATCCTCAGACAAGCACACTGCCCATTAGAGGAAAAAGTGTGATATAAGTGTTGAGTCAGAATGCTGTAGACATTTAGTAATCTCCTTCACAGGAAAAAAAAAAAAAAGGTGGGGGGAATGACAGAAATCCAAAAACTAGTAGAGCTTCCACTTTTCATTTCAGAAGAAATCAGTTGCTCTCCTCTAAGGACCATTACTATTAACAAAACAGAGACCTTAGAAGGAGGCATTGTTTATTTATTATATATTTTGTAATGTTATTACCAATCTTGTTATACTCTTTCTTATACCCTACAATTGTTAGCAGAAATTATTTTAAATTAATAAGATCCTGCATGCTTTTCCTTTAAAAAAAAAAAAAAGAAAGATCTCTGTGTAGAGTGTCCTATTCTGAGCCAGTCCTGAGAGGAAAGGAAGTATAATCAATTTGTTATTAACCAATGAAAGAATTAAGTGAAAGATAAATCTCAGGAAGCAGAGGGAAGTAAACCTAATTTCTGACTAAGAAAGCTAAATACTATGATAACTCATTCATTCCTTCTTTTGTTCAATTACATTATTTAATCATAAGTCCATGACATGCCAGGCACTCAGGAAATAGTAAAAATTGGACATGCGATATTCTGCCCTTGTGTAGCGCACACTAGAGTGGGAAAGAAAGTGCACTTTTAACTGGACAACTACCAACATGAAGAGGGGAGGAAGCAGGGGCTGGAAATGTCCACAGACTGTGCCAAAAAATGAAGCCCATAATATTTGAAAGTCAGTTTCTTCCATCATTTTGTGTATTAAGGTTCTTTCTTCCCCTGTTCTCCGCCTTCCTGCTTGTCATCTTCACTCATCAGCTGACCACGTTGCCTCTTGTGGTGTAAACTTGTACCAGTTTTACGGTCCCTCTGGCCAGTACACCCATGAATTTGATGGAGATGAGCAGTTCTACGTGGACCTGGAGAGGAAGGAGACTGCCTGGCGGTGGCCTGAGTTCAGCAAATTTGGAGGTTTTGACCCGCAGGGTGCACTGAGAAACATGGCTGTGGCAAAACACAACTTGAACATCATGATTAAACGCTACAACTCTACCGCTGCTACCAATGGTATGCGTCCACCATTCTGCCTCTCTTTACTTAAGTTATCCCTCCATACCAGGGTTCATTATTTTCTTCCCAAGAGGTCCCCAGATCTTCTTATGGCAATTGCTGAAATTTTATCATCTCCCATCTCTAAAATCACATATTCCCATGTAATACAAGGGTCTTTCCATTATGCATTCAGCAAATCCTTCTAGGAGAGGTCTCATCAACCTCCTACTTTATTAAACATGCCCACAGAGAGAAGGGCACAGGAATAAAGCAGAGGCAATGTGTCGTTGCTCCCAAGCAGAAGGTAAATAAGACCTCTTTGACTATCAGGTGGTGAAATGCTGGTAGGAGGGCTCTTCCAGGATGTAATGCAGAACTTCAGGGCAGAGCTATTCACACTTCACACCAGTGCTGTTTCCTCACCACAGAGGTTCCTGAGGTCACAGTGTTTTCCAAGTCTCCCGTGACACTGGGTCAGCCCAACACCCTCATTTGTCTTGTGGACAACATCTTTCCTCCTGTGGTCAACATCACATGGCTGAGCAATGGGCAGTCAGTCACAGAAGGTGTTTCTGAGACCAGCTTCCTCTCCAAGAGTGATCATTCCTTCTTCAAGATCAGTTACCTCACCTTCCTCCCTTCTGCTGATGAGATTTATGACTGCAAGGTGGAGCACTGGGGCCTGGACCAGCCTCTTCTGAAACACTGGGGTAAGGATGAGTTTCATCATTTTTTGATTCTTTCTTGTCTGTCAAGTTCAGAACTTCCTGCCTTTTACTCCTATATCCAAAAACTTGTTTTCCACACTTCATGGGTTTCTTTTCTGTCTCTCTTTTTTTTTTGAAAGAATAAAGCAAAAAAAGCAGAGATTTATTGAAAATGAAAGTACACTCTACAGGATGGGAGTGGGCCTGCCACTTCATGGTTTTCTAATGATAGACTTCACTCTTCTCCCTAAGCCTGGGGCCTTGAGTCTTTGCAGAGCCAACCCTCTACCCCATCCCATCCCACACACATGCACATGAGCACACTCTGCATTCTGACCTCAACAACTTCACTTCCACAGAGCCTGAGATTCCAGCCCCTATGTCAGAGCTCACAGAGACTGTGGTCTGTGCCCTGGGGTTGTCTGTGGGCCTCATGGGCATTGTGGTGGGCACTGTCTTCATCATCCAAGGCCTGCGTTCAGTTGGTGCTTCCAGACACCAAGGGCCATTGTGAATCCCATCCTGGAAGGGAAGGTAAGATTGAGACTGGTTACAGTTGAAGCGGCAGTATGAAAGGAAGGAAAGTGGGAGGGCGTTGTGGACATGAATGTGGTTGAAAGTTGTAGGGGAATTGGGAAGTGGCATGATGATGACACAGGAGCCCCCTCGGACCCATTGATCTCATGTCTGCCCTGTTGCAGGTGCATCGCCATCTACAGGAGCAGAAGAATGGACTTGCTAAATGACCTAGCACTATTCTCTGGCCCGATTTATCATATCCCTTTTCTCCTCCAAATATTTCTCCTCTCACCTTTTCTCTGGGACTTAAGCTGCTATATCCCCTCAGAGCTCACAAATGCCTTTACATTCTTTCCCTGACCTCCTGATTTTTTTTTTCTTTTCTCAAATGTTACCTACAAAGACATGCCTGGGGTAAGCCACCCGGCTACCTAATTCCTCAGTAACCTCCATCTAAAATCTCCAAGGAAGCAATAAATTCCTTTTATGAGATCTATGTCAAATTTTTCCATCTTTCATCCAGGGCTGACTGAAACTATGGCTAATAATTGGGGTACTCTTATGTTTCAATCCAATTTAACCTCATTTCCCAGATCATTTTTCATGTCCAGTAACACAGAAGCCACCAAGTACAGTATAGCCTGATAATATGTTGATTTCTTAGCTGACATTAATATTTCTTGCTTCCTTGTGTTCCCACCCTTGGCACTGCCACCCACCCCTCAATTCAGGCAACAATGAAATTAATGGATACCGTCTGCCCTTGGCCCAGAATTGTTATAGCAAAAATTTTAGAACCAAAAAATAAGTCTGTACTAATTTCAATGTGGCTTTTAAAAGTATGACAGAGAAATAAGTTAGGATAAAGGAAATTTGAATCTCAAAAATATCAAAAGTAAAAATGTATTCTCAAAACTTTAAATTTATGAAGAATGATGACAGTAGAAGCCTTCCTCTTCCCTTGTCACCTTGAGATAAAAATTCTTTAGGCAGGAAAAGAAATGGAAGTCAGAAAAACATTAGAATAAGACAATAATGTGGGTGTCTGAAAAGGAACAAATACTTATTCCTCACATAGGGTTAGTGACAATGGGAAAAGGGACGGGAGTAGAAGCCACAGACATATCTAGGAGCCCTGAATAGAGGCGCAGTCTGCCTCACCTCCTGAATGAAGCTGTACTAGATAACCATGTAGCTTTCCCTGTGCCACTCTGGCATGAAGGAGACAGTATAGTGAATATGGCTACAGGATGTTTCTTGGAAACATGCCAATATCTTCAGAAATCCCCAGCCCTTTCCCCTAACCCCTCCTGACTAAGGAAAGCATGAGCTTATGAGAGAAACCCTAGGAAGAACAACACAGTTGAGACAATGTAGCAGCAGCAGTGGGTGCTGTGTCCTCCACTGGATTCGCCATCTCCGAGGAGAAACTCTCACAGAGGAAATGGGTCAGCAGCGACCTCATGGCTCTAAACAGCTATGAAATCCATGAGGATATTTCTAACCATGCTACCTGCATCAGTGAGTTTAAATTTTAATTGGAGAAAAAATACAAAACATTAATGCAATAATTGATACAGTATAGTTTGGTGCAAAGAACCCTAAATCCAAATCCAGGACTCAGTACTTTGAAGCTAGTATTTTAAACTTTATAAATGTGTGAAGTCTCTAACATTTCTGGCCTTACTTTTCTCATCCACAATGTAGGAGTAATAATACTTTCCTTGCAGAGTTATTGATAAAATTTGAATAATTTTGATATTTAGTCAATGCCTTACACATAGTACATGAACACATAAGAAAACATTGTGGTTATATTTATAATTAATTTATTTAAAAGAATGGATCATATTATATGAAAAGCACTTTTGTTTTTCTCAGCCTCTTAATGATTTAGGAGATTCAAATGTAGAGCTATGGGTGAATTTCTTTTCATATGATAATTGAAGGATATTTTTCTTTTTCCAGAATGAGAGAGGCTGAGATTGGATTGGTAAGAGAACTCTTAGCACTAGAAGTTGTAATATTTGACTTTGGTTTTCAACTCTCTAAGAGGGAATATATTCCCTCCTTATGGCCCATAAGTGTTTATTCAAGGTATATCATATACAACAGATCTTTATGCCTGTTTACTTTGGGGAAGAAGTGAAGATAGTTCAAGGAGAAAATAATTTAAAACACAGACTGGGAATCAGTAAGCACAGGAAATCTGAACCAGTGATGATCATGAAAATGTCCATCACAGAGCACAGATGATTTTCAGGGCAATAAAACTATTCTGTTTGATACCACAATGGTGAAAAATGTCATTATACATTTGCTCAAATCCACAGAATATATAACACCAAGAGTTAGACTTAATGTAAACTATGGACTTTGGGTGATAATGATGTGCCAATGTAAGTTCATAAATTATAGCAAATGTACCACTCAGATGGGAGATGTTGCTAATGGGGGAGGCTATGCATGTGTGGGAGCAGAGTGTATCTGGCAGCAGTCCCCAGCCTTTTTGGCAGCAGGGACCAGTTTTATGGAAGACAATTTTTCCACAGATAGTTGGGGGAATGGGGGTATGATCTGGGGATGAAACTGTGAAACTATTCCACCTCAGATCAACAAGCATTAGTTAGATTCTCATAAGGAACATGCAACCTAGATCTCTTGCATGCACAGTTAAAAATAGGGTTCGCACTCCTATGAGAATCTAATGCCACCACTGATCTGACGGAAGGCGGGGCTCAGTTGGTAATGCTGGCTCACCCACTGCGTGGTCCAGTTTCTAACAGGCCACCAACTGGTACTGGTCCATGGCCCGGGGGTTGGGGACCTCTGGGATACCTCTGCACCTTCTGCTCAGTTTTTCTGTGAACCTACAACCGCTTTAAAATAAGGTCTATTTTTAAAAAGGAAAAGAGAAGGTAACCAATTATGATCCTAAATGTGTAAAATAAAAATTTTAGTATGAAAAACAGTCACATTAAAATGCACAACGTGCTAAGAAGCTTTTAGCAATAGGGTTTCAAATATATTTCATATACATTTCAATGATTCGTGAGGCAAGAACCCAGCATTTTGGAGTTGTGTGCATTTGTGTGTGTGTGTGTGTGTGTGTGTGTGTGTCTGTAATATAAGGGGTATACTGAATGGCATAATGACCAGAGTCATGCAGAAATCTACAAATGCTGCCCAACTCAGACTCCTTCCTCAAGCAGCACTGTGGAAAGCAAATTTAATGATAGCAGTATTTTATTAAAAGGATGTATTCAAAAAATATTTACGTAATGTTAAAATAGCAGAATTAAAACTAATTCTAAAAAATAAGAGTAAATAGTTCTTTTTATCAGCTAAAAATGTAGGGCCTACTATCAATAGGGTTACAGATCTACCTGCCTGATTTAAAATCATGCAATTCTTAAACAATTATTTGAGCTATTTGAATTATTTCAGATTACACACATAAAGTGTGACTTCATTAATACTTAATATCACACTATTTAAAATTTACAAAATTAGTGGGTCACAGAGGCTCGTGCTTGTGATCTTAGCACTTTGGAGGCCAATAGGGGAGGATTGCTTGAAGCCAGGAGTTCAACAGCTGCCTGGGCAACAAAGCAAGACCTTGTCTCTACAACACAAAAATAAATTAATGCATGGCGGCACTCCTGTAGTCCCAGCTACTCTAGAGGCTGAGGCAAGAGGAGTGCTTGAGCCCAGGAGTTCAATACTTCAGTGGGCTAAGATTGTGCCACTGTGCTCACTCCAGCCTAGGCAGCAGAGCAGGACTCCATCTCTAAAAGTAAATAAATAAATAAAACTTACAAAATTTTAAAAATCAAATGAAATATGTCAGGTTTGTACCTACCACATTTAAACTAGGGACTTGAAGAATTAAACATTTTATTACAAATGAAGCACTTCATGCACAGACTGGCACATAGTAAGTAGTCGATAGGTGTTAACAATTTGTGTTATTGTTATTTTCTGGAGTCCAACTAACAAATCCCACAGTGAATGACATCACAGGGATGCAACCAACAAGATCCAGAATATGGAAACTTCTACTAGATAAACAACTCCATTTCTTCAGCAACAATTCAAGAGAGAGAGAGAAGAGAAGCTATACATTTTAAAAGGCTGAAGAAATATATGAACCAAATTTGTATGAGGCAATCAGAAAAACTGACACCGACTGTATTAAGGAATTATCTAATTTTAGTGTGGTAATGAGATTGCTGTTATGTTTTCTAAAAAGTCATTATACTTTAGATTTTCATAATAAAATAATTATGAATGAAATATGAGATCTGAAAGTATCTTCAAAATAAGCCAGTGTGCACGTATGATTAATTGGGTGGGTTTACAAAATTGCCCATGAATTGAGTATTGTTAAAGCTGGCCTTTTAAAACATGGTACTCAGCCAGGCGCGGTGCCTCATGCCTGTAATCCCAGCACTTTGGGAGGCCAAGGCGGGCAGAACGCCTGAGGTCAGGAGTTCGAGACCATCCTGGCCAACATGGCGAAACCCTGTCTCTTCTAAAAATATAAAAAATTAGCTGGGCGTGGTGGTGGGCACCTGTAATGCCAGCTACTTGGGAGGCTGAGGCAGGATAATTGCTTGAACCCAGGAGGCAGAGGTTGCAGTGAACTGAGATCATGCTGTTGCACTCCAGCCTGGGCAACAGGGCAAGACTCTGTGAAAAAACAAACAAAAAAACCATGGTACTCTTCTCTCTACTACTGTACACAGTTGAAGTTTTCTACAATGCAAAGTTTTTTAAAAATGCATTCCAGGAAAGTCCCATAAACATAGGCAGAGAAGCATTCTGTTTGAAGTTATGTTAGTTTTTAGGCTCTTCTCATTTTTATCACAGTTAGGAAACCCTGAGTATCCAAATCCTTCCTAAGTCTATGGGAACCTCTCAGAAATGCAACTCTAAAGAATGTGTATGCAAGAACTAATAACAGCAAAGGAGAGCAAATTACTTTTTCCTTTATTATTGGCTATACTAAGCCCCCAGACTTGTTTATATGTTCATTAATTCATCAAAAATGCAAAAATGGTCATGGAGTACCATTATAGCAATAAGTACAATACTTTGTTATGAGTATCATTAAAATAAGGTGAAAAGAGATACATTCATTGTCTTCATAGAAATTACACTGTAGTGGGAAGAAATATACATATATTACATAATTCCACAAACATGTAATTACAAACTCTGAATAATTTATAAAGGAAAAGAATGAGGTAAAACGAGAAAGTGTCACGCAGGAACCAGGTATAATTTGGGGGCGTTTAGAGATGGCTTGAAGAAATGTATCTTGAGATAAAATAAGATGGTATACAGTAGGTAAAGGACAAGGTTGAGGAGGGCAGAGCAATGTTTGAGAAACTCTAACAATATGAAAGAGAAGATGAGAATTTAATAACATGAAAATTATTACAGATTTAATAGAGAAAGCTCATGTAACAGCAAACAAGTTTAAAATCTTTCTAATTAGAATTTTATGAGGCCAACATCACCCTGATACCAAAGCCTGGCAGAGACACAACAAAAAAAAGAGCATTTTAGGCCAATATGCCTGATGAACATCAATGTGAAAATCCTCAATAAAATACTGGCAAACCAAATCCAGCAGCACATCAAAAAGCTTATCCACCACGATCAAGTTGGCTTCATCCCTGGGATGCAAGGCTGGTTCAACATACGCAAATCAATAAATGTAATCCACCACATAAACAGAACCAATGACAAAAACCACATGATTATCTCAATAGATGCAGAAAAGGACTTCGAAAAAATTCAACAGCCCTTCATGCTAAAAACTCTCAATAAACTAGGTATTGATGGAACATATCTCAAAATAATAAGAGCTATTTATGACAAACCCACAGCCAATATCTTACTGAATGGGCAAAAACTGGAAGCATTGCCTTTGAAAACCAGCACGAGACAAGGATGCCCTCTCTCACCACTCTTATTCAACATATTATTGGAAGTTCTGGCCAGGGCAATCAGGCAAAAGAAAGAAATAAAGGGTATTCAATTAGGAAAAGAGGAAGTCAAATTGTCACTGTTTGCAGATGACATGATTGTATATTTAGAAAAGCCCATCGTCTCAGCCCAAAATCTCCTTTAGCTGATAAGCAACTTCAGCAAAGTCTCAGGATACAAAATCAAAGTGAAAAAATCACAAGCATTCCTATACAGCAATAATAGACAAAAAGAGAACCAAATCATGAGTGAACTCCCATTCTCAATTACTACAAAGAGAATAAAATACCTAGGAATCCAACTTACAAGGGATGTGAAGGACCTCTTCAAGGAGAACTACAAACCACTGCTCAATGAAATAAAAGAGGACACAAACAAACAGAAGAACATTCAATGCTCGTGGATAGGAAGAATCAATATCATGAAAATGGCCATACTGCCCAAGGTAATTTATGGATTCAATGCTATCCCCATCAAGCTACCAGTGACTTTCTTCACAGAATTGGAAAAAACTACTTTAAATTTCACATGGAACTAAAAAAGAGCCCACATAGCCAAGACAAGCCTAAGCTTAAAGCTTAGCAAAAAGAACAAAGCAAAAAGAACAAAGCAAAGAAACCTAAGCAAAAAGAACAAAGCTGGAGGCATCACGCTACCTGACTTCAAACTATACTACAAGGCTACAGTAACCAAAACAGCATGGTACTGGTACCAAAACAGATATATAGACTGATGGAACAGAACAGAGTCCTCAGAAATAACACCAGACATCTACGAACATCTGATTTTTGACAAACCTGACAAAAACAAGCACTGGGGAAAGGATTCCCTATTTAATAAATGGTGCTGGGAAAACTGGCTAGCCATATGTAGAAAGCTGAAACTCGATCCCTTCCTTACACCTTATATAAACATGAACTCAAGATGCATTAAAGACTTAAACATAAAACCTAAAACCATAAAAACCCCAGAAGAAAACCTAGGCAATACCATTCAGGACATAGGCATGGGCAAAGACTTCATGACTAAAACACCAAAAGCAATGGCAACAAAAGCCAAAATTGACAAATGGGATCTAATTAAATGAAAGAGCTTCTGCACAGCAAAAGAAACTATCATCAGAGTCAACAGGCAACCTACAGAATGGGAGAAAATTTTTGCAATCTACCCATCTGACAAAGGGCTAATATCCAGAACCTACAAAGAACTTAAACAAATTTACAAGAAAAAACAAACATCATCAAAAAACCCTCATCAAAAGGTGGACAAAGGATGTGAACAGACACTTCTCAAAAGAAGACATCTATGCAGCCAACAGACACATAAAAAATGCTCATCATCACTGGTCACCAGAGAAATGCAAATCAAAATCACAATGACATACCATCTCACACCAGTTAGAACAGTGATCATTAAAAAGTCAGGAAACAACAGATGCTGGAGAGGATGTGGAGAAATAGGAATGCTTTTACACTGTTGGTGGGAGTGTAAATTAGTTCAACCATTGTGGAAAACAATGTGGCGATTCCTCAAGGAATTTTTAGTTCTAGAAATACCATTTCACCCAGCGATCCCATTCCTGGGTATATACCCAAAGGATTATACATCATGCTACTATAAAGACACATGCACATGTATGTTTATTGCGGCACTATTCACAATAGCAAAGACTTGGATCCAACCCAGATGTCCATCAATAATAGACTGGATAAAGAAAATGTGGCACATATACACCATGGAATACTATGCAGCCATATAAAAGGATGAGTTCATGTCCTTTGCAGGGACATGGATGAAGCTGGAAACCATCATTCTGAGCAAACTATCACAAGGACAGAAAACCAAACACCGCATGTTCTCGCTCATAAGTGGGAGTTGAACAATGAGAACACATGGACACAGGGAGGTGAACATTACACACAGGGGCCTGTCGGGGAGTCGGGGGTTGGGGGAGGGATAGCATTAGGAGAAATACCTAATGTAAATTACGAGTTGATGGGTGCAGCAAACCAATATGGCACATGTATACCTATGTAACAAACCTGCACGTTGTGCACATGTACCCTAGAGCTTAAAGTATAATAATAATAATAATAATAATAATAATAATAATAATAATAATAAAGAATTCTTTTTTTTTTTTTTGAGACAGAGTCTCGCTTTGTTGCCCAGGCTGTAGTGCAGTGGTGCGATCTTGGCTCACTGCAAGCTCCCTGGGTTCATGCCATTCTCCTGCCTCAGCCTCCCAAGTAGCTGGGCCTATAGGCGCCCGCCATCACGTCTGGCTAATTTTTTGTATTTTTAGTAGAGACGGGGTTTCACCATGTTAGCCAGGATGGTCTCTGCCTCCTGACCTCGTGGTCTCCCTGCTCGGCCTCCCAAAGTGTTGGGATTACAGGCCTGAGCCACCACACCCGGCCAAAAAAGAATTCTTAATCTGTAAAAGTAATAATAGAATGGTACAAAAAATTGGAAAATTTAATAGAAAGGTTGAAAAATGTAATCAAGAAAATCTCACTGACATTTAAAAAGACATGGCCAGGCGTGGTGGCCCAAGCCTGTAATCCCAGCACTTTGGGAGGCCAAGGCGGGCAGATCATTAGGTCAGGAGATCAAGACCATCCTGGCTAACACGGTGAAACCCTGTCTCTACTAAAAGTACAAAAAATTAGCCGGGCATGGTGGCGGGCGCCTGTAGTCCCAGCTGCTCGGGAGGCTGAGGCAGGAGAATGGCGTGAACGCGGGAGGTGGAGCTTGCAGTGAGCCGAGATCGAGCCACTGCACTCCAGCCTGGGTGTCAGAGCGCGATTCCGTCTCAAAGCAAAAAAAAAAAAAAAAAGACAATGAAATGTAATATGTGGTAGAAAAGCTAAAACAGAGAATAGACCAAGGAAGTCCAACCTCAGGTTACAGAGCTAGAGAGACCAACAGAGAAGATGAAGGGAGAAAATTATCAAAACAAATAATAAGGGAAAAATTTCCAAATATGAAGGACCCAATTCTTTAAATAGAAAGATATTGCCAGGTATTCATCAAAATTAATACTCATCTTGAAATATATCATTTTCAAAATTTCAGAGCCTCAAGGGTTAAAGAAACATCATAAAATATTCCAGTAAGGGAAACCAAAATGAAACTGACAACAGACAGAAAGTCGGACTCCTAGATGCTTCTATTAAGATAATAAGAAAGGCCTTGAAGTTCTAATGGAAAATTATTTTTATTAATAAATGTAGACCTTTTCGGCCTGGCACGGTGGCTCACGCCTGTAATCCCAGCACTTTGGGAGGCCGAGGCTTGCGGATCATGAGCTCAGGAGATCGAGACCATGGTGAAACCCCGTCTCTACTAAAAATACAAAAAAAATTAGCTGGGCACGGTGGCGGGTGCCTGTAGTCCCAGCTACTCGGGAGACTGAGGCAGGAGAAAGGCTGAACCCGGGAGGCGGAGTTTGCAGTGAGCCGAGATCATGCCACTGCACTCCAGCCTGGGGACAGAGGGAGACTCCATCTCAAAAAAAAAAAAAAAATGTAGACCTTTTCAAAATCACAATCAGGCACAGAGAAAGAATAAAAATACTGTTGGATATGAAAGGACATAAATTTTACCTACCACACAGTTTTATTAGAAATTGACTAAGGATATTACTTAGTAAAGTGAAACTGTTAATCAGGAAATGGGAAGGTAAAGAATCCAGGAAACTGAATTTAATGCAGGACCTCACTGAAAAGGGATCCTACTATAGCAGTTCCTTGGCAAGCAAAGAATGTCTGATACATGAGTGATATTTAGAAAATGATGAACAATTTTTTCAACTTTTAGAATTAAGCTACGAGCAAAGCCCAAGGATGCTTAGTGTTACAGCAGAATGTCAAAATGGTCAGCTTTGACGATATTGAAAAAAGGGTGCATGTACCTCATTTTGTCAAGTGGAAGCATAAAGTGGAGGGGAAAGGAAGGGTAACAATGTCAATAACTTTCATCTTCTAAGACGGAGGAAAGAGACATTGCCCATAGTTAAGGAAGAAGTCACAAAGATCACTACATTTAAATTACATTTGTAACCAAAAGAATTATGAAAGATGGCTCATGAATTAAAGCAGGGTTTTAGAAACTGTATTATTATTCAGTCACAAAAAGTCTTCAGCCTAACCCCCAGGGAGTTCTGAAGCTGTAAGAGCCTTTCAGAGTTGGCCCAAATTAGGGAAAGGGTTTAGGACATTTATACCCCCACACTGACCAGTCATTATAGGTGGATTCTTCCTGGGAAGTGGAGTAAAATCCGATGAGGCAGGTTTCATCACCTAAGGCAATTCCAGGGGATGGCTGACAGCTAAGGGCAGTCAGCCAGCAACATTCCCAGCAATGAGAGAATAAATCCTTCAGTCCCAAAGGGAGGCAGGTAGAACAGAACAGCATCCACAACAGAAACAGTGTTCTAGTTCCTGAGAATACATATATATTCATGTGGAAGAAAACAAACAAATAAATGTATGTTTGTTGTTGTTGTTGTTGTTGTTTGAGACAGAGTCTCACTCTGTCACCCAGGCTGCAGTGCAATGGTGTGGTCTCAGCTCACTGCAACCTCTGCCTCCCAGGTGATTCTCCCACCTCAGCCACCTGAGTAGCTGGGACTACAGGTGTGTGCCACCACACCCAGCTAATTTTTGTATTTCTAGTAGAGATGGGGCTTCACTATGTTGGCCAGGCTGGTCTCAAACTCTTGACCTCATGATCCACCCACCTCGGCCTCCCACGTGCTGGGATTACAGGCGTGAACCACTGTGGCCGGCCCAGATAAATGTTTTTTTTAAATTCATCATCTCTTTAAAAATTAAAAATAGAACTACCACATGATCTGGCAATTCCACTCCTGGGTACATCTGCAAAGAAAATGCAATCAGTATATCAAAGAGATATCTGCACTCCCATGTTCATCGCAGCACTACTCACAATGGGCAAGAGATGGAATCAACCTAAGTGTCCATCAGCAGATGAGTGGATAAAGAAACTGGTCTATATACACAATGGAATACTATTCAGTCTTATAAAAGAAGGAAATCTTTTACATCATTATGTTAAAGAACCTGGGGGACATTATGTTAAGGGAAATAAGCCAGGCACAGAAAGACAAATACCACATGACCTCACTTACATGTGGAATCTAAAAAAGTCAAAATCACAGCAGGTGGGGAAATGGGGGTAGTAGGGAGGGCGACAAGGAGGAATGAGAAAATGTTGGTCAAAAGGTACAAAGAAGGGCAGGTTGTGGTGGCTCATGCCTGTAATCCCACCACTTTGGGAGGCTGAGGCAGGTGGATTGGTTGAGCCTCGTTCAAGACCAACTGGACAGCATGCTGAAACTCTGTCTTTACAAAAATACAGAAATTAGCCAGGCATGGTGGGGCATGCCAGTAGTCCCAGCTACTCCAGAGATTGAGGTGGGAGGATGGACTGAGCCCAGGAAGTCAAGGCTGCAGTGAGCTGTGATCATACCACTGCATTCCAGCCAGAACTAGGCCCTGTCTCAAAAAAAAAAAAGTACAAAGTTTCAGTTAGACAGGAGGAATAAGTACTGGAGATCGACTGTACAGCATGGTGACTACGGTTAATAATAATGCACTGTCATTTCTCAGCATCCATGAGAGATTGGTTCCAGGATCCTCTCTGTATACCAAAATCTGAGAATGCTCAAGTCCCTTATTAAAAATGGCTTAGTTTTTGCATATAACCTAAGCTTATCCTCCCATATACTTTAAGCCATCTCTAGATTACTTATAATACCCAATGCAATGTAAATGCTATGTAAATAGTTATTATACTGTATTGTTTTGGAATTGGAATTTTTTTATTGTTATATTGTTATTTTTCATTTTTTTCTATGTATTTTCAATCCACAGTTGAATGAATCAGAGGATGTGGAACCCACAGATACAGAGAGCCAACTGTATTGCCTATTTGAAAATTGCACTGGGCATGGTGGTTCACGCCTGTAATTCCAGCACTTTGGGAGGCCAAGGTGGGTGGATCACCTGAGGTCAGGAGTTCAAGATCAGCCTGGCCAACATGGTGAAACCCTGTCTCGGGAAACCCCTGTCTCTACTAAAAATACAAAAATTATCTGGGCATGGTAGTGCATGCCTGTAGTCCCAGCTATTTGGGAGGCTGAGGCAGGAGAATTGCTTGAATCCCAGAGGCGGAGGTTGCAGTGAGTGGAGACAGCACCAATGCACTCCAGTCTAAGTGACAGAGCAAGACTCTGTCCCAAAAAAAAAAAAAAAAAAGGAAATTGCTAAGAGAGATTTTAAATATTCATACCACAAAAAAAGTGAAGTGATGGATATGTTAATTAGCCTGGTTTAATCACATGTATCAAAAAGTCATGTAGTACCCTGTAAATGCAGTTATTTGTCAATTAAAAATGATTAACGAGTTTAAAATTTTTTCGAAGTGTAACATTTTTAACTTTTTCTTGTTCAAATAAAGTTTTCTGTTTTTTAAAATCACCTCTTAACTTCCATTAACTCAATTGATTCACCCTATTAACTTAAGAACTCTGTTCCTTAAGTTAAACATTTCATGATAATCAGGAAGGGCAAGGTTATGTTGCAACAAGATCTTAACCCACAGTAAAAAGTAGATCTCAGTGGCTTAACTCAATAAGGAGACTTAATTTCACAGTTATTCAAGTGACTCAGGTTATGGAGTTTCCAGCATCTCATACACCACCATGCACCTACTTGCAAGTTCCATTGGCTACTGTCAGTCAAATGACCCCAACTTAACAGCAGAAAAGACGGAAATATACAGGAGCTTTGGAATACTGGCAAGCACCACTGTCTCCAAAAGATATACTGTTATTATCTAAGGTAAGGACAAATGCTCAGGACTGGTAGGTTTTTCTCTAGAACACCTACACACTTTCCTCCAACTTATATGATGATTAAGACTCAGTTCTTTGTGTTAGCAAACTTATTTATTATCGGGGAACCTGCCCTGATAATCAAGTAGGTTCTTTTTTATTTTTCCTAAGAGTCGGTCGGCTTGAGAAATAAAGAGACAGAGTACAAAAGAGAGAAATTTTAAAGCTGGGCATCTGGGGGAGACATCACACATTGGTAGGATCCGTGATGCCCCACAAGCCACAAAAACCAGCAAGTTTTTATTAGGGATTTTCAAAAGGGGAGGGAGTGTGCGAATAGGTGTAGGTGACAGACATCAAGTACTTAACAGGGTAATAGAATATCACAAGGCAAGTGGAGGCAGGGCGAGATCACAGGACCACGGGACTGAGGCGAAATTAAAATTGCTAATGAAGTTTCAGGCACCATTGTCATTGATAACATCTTATCAGGAGACAGGGTTTTGAGATCAACCGGTCTGATCAAAATTTATTAGGCGGGAATTTCCTCTTCCTAATAAGCCTGGGAGCACTACGGGAGACTGGAGTTTATTTCATCTCTGCAGCCTCGACCATAAGAGACGGCTACACCTCGGGGGTCCAGTTCAGAGGCCTACCCCTAGCTGCGCATTCTCTTTCTCAGGGATGTTCCATGCTGAGAAAAAGAATTCAATGATATTTCTCCCATTTGCTTTTGAAAGAAGAGAAATATGACTCTGTTCCACCTGGCTCACTGGCAGTCAGAGTTTAAGGTTATCTCTCTTATTCCCTGAACGTTGCTGTTATCTTGTTCTTTTTTCAAGGTGCCCAGATTTCATATTGTTTAAACACACATGCTCTACAATTTGTGCAGTTATTGCAATTATCACATGGTCCTGAGGCGACATACATCCTCCTCAGCTGACAGGATTAAGAGATTAAAGTAAAGACAGGCATAGGAAATCACAAGGGTATTGATTGGGAAAGTGATAAGTGTCCATGAAATCTTCACAACTTATGTTTAGAGATTGCAGTAAAGACTGGCATAAGAAATTATAAAAGTATTAATTTGGAGAACTAATAAATGTCCATGAAATCTTCACAATCCACGTTCTTCTGCCATGGCTTCAGCCGGTCCCTCCGTTTGGGGTCCCTGACTTCCCGCAACAATTTATACAGGATGTACTTGTAATTCTAATGAAATTATCCATTAAAGATCATATTATCCAGTGAAATTTGGGTGCAAAAAAATAGTTGTTTCTATGAAACTGTCAATGGAAGAAAGAGAAGAAGATTTTGACCCTCTCATTAATAAAGAATCTCCAGCATGTGCTCAGTGTGACGATGTTGAACTGTAAGAATTATAGGGCTTATGCTTCAACTAGAAAAATCAGATCTCGATGTCTCCCTAAACTTTGAGTCTGGTTCAATCCCCAGCCCTGCCTCTTCCCTTTGCAGGGTCAAAAGCAAGAAGCCACATGAAGGGGTGGCCTGCCCCTCCACACCTGTGGGTGTTTCTTGTCGGGTGGGATGAGAAACTGAGAAAAGAAAGAGACACAGAGACAAAGTATAGAGAAAGAAAAGTGGGCCCAGGGGACCGGCGCTCAGCATACTGAGGACTCACGCCGGCCCCAGTCTCTGAGTTCCCTCAGTATTTATTGATCATTATCTCTACCCTCTCGGAGAGGGAGATGTGGCAGGACAATAGGGTAATAGTGGGGAGAGAGTCAGCAGGAAAACATGTGAACAAATGTCTCTGCATCATAAATGAGGTAAAGAAAAAGGCGCTGTGCTTTTTTGTGCACATACATAAACATCTCAATGCATTAAAGAGCAGTATTGCCACCAGCATGTCTCATTTCCAGCCCTAAGGCAGTTTTCTCCTATCTCAGTAGATAGAATATACAATCGGGTTTTAAACCGAGACATTCCATTGCCCAGGGACGAGCAGGAGACAGATGCCTTCCTCTTATCTCAACTGCAAAAAGGCCTTCCTCTTTTACTAATCCTCCTCAGCACAGACCCTTTACGGGTGTCAGGCTGGGGGACAGTCAGGTCTTTCCCTTCCCACGAGGCCATATTTCAGACTATCACATGGGGAGAAACCTTGGACAATATCCGGCTTTCCTAGGCAGAGGTCCCTGTGGACTTCCGCAGTGTTTTGTGTCCCTGGGTACTTGAGATTAGGGAGTGGTGATGACTTTTAACAAGCATGCTGCCTTCAAGCATTTGTTTAACAAAGCACATCCTGCTTTGTTAAACCTTGAGTTGACACAGCATATGTTTCTGCAAGCACAGGGTTGGGGATAGGGATACAGATTAACAGCATCTCAAGGCAGAAGAATTTTTCTTACTACAGAACAAAATGGAGTCTCTTATGTCTACTTCTTTCTACATAGACACAGTAACAGTCTGATCTCTCTTTCTTTTCCCCACAGCTACACATAGAGACTGAGGACACCCTGGACAACCCAGCACATGCTTTCCCCATTTCCCCAAAAGTGGCACTCCCTTTTGATCCCTATGGTCAATGACAATGCCCACCCTGAGGAAGAGGACAAAATCAGCACAAAACTTTTGACTCCATTCAGCATTCTGCTTGGGGAAAATTCAGACCATAACCCTGGGGAGCAGAATCTCAAGTGTTGGTGCCTCTTTGTGCGCCAGTGTCCCTGTCTGAGGACCTGCATGACAGCCTGGAGTACAGGAGATGAACGTCCCAAGGAGACCTAGTTCTCCACTCTGACCTCATCCATAAGAAGGAAGAGCCTGCCAAAGACTCCTCACGCCCAGTGTGTGGGTGAGGGAGAAAGGAAGATGGGATGTCTGCTTTCAGGGTCATGGCCTTCCATAACCTCGCAGAAGCTCCCAGACTCTGTCTTCATGATGAAACTCAGAGACTGAGATGTAGACCAGCTTCAGGGCTGGGCCCACATCAAAGGGGCCACAGTGTGTAGTGACCTCCCTCATAACCGGGAAAAGAGTGTCATCAGGAATCAACAGGTTACAACGTCAATGACAAAGGGAGCTCAGACAAGGAGTGGAATGACTGTGAACAGGTACCCCCAGTGAGGGACCCTAGAACCAGAGGGAGCTCTGCCATTTGTCCTGTGGGCTCCACAAGAAACAAACTGCCCCTTACACCCCTCCACTGTGAGGACAGGCTCTGGAGGCTGAAGTGCTCCACATGACTGGTGTAGACATCTGCACACTGGAAGTCATTTCCAGGACCACAAGGATCTGGAAAATCCAGTCCTCCTTCCTAATAAGAGCGATGGACACAATGCTGGCTGTCAGCATCCCGTGCACAGGACAATGTGTTTGAGAGGTGTGCATGTTACCCAGGCTTGGCCAATCAGAATGTTTCCTAAAGTTGTCAAAACTCTGGTAGACAAGTCTAGAAACATATATAACAGAGACAGACAAACAGACACACACACAAACACACACACACACACAGAGAGAGATGAGGTAAGATATGAAGTGATAAGGAAGACAAATACAGAAAAATAGATGCAAAAAGAAACATGAAGATAGAAAAAATGCAGATAAATAGTGACAATGGATTAGAAAAATAGAAAGAAAGGCAACAATGTAGTGAAAGACAACAAGGGCACAGAGACAAAGATGCAGAGAGACACGCAGAAAGAACTATACAAGGACAAAGAGACACAGAGAAAGTGAGACAGATGCCCAGATAGAGACATAACAGAAAGAGAGGTGAAGATCTCGTTGAATATCTGGAACTAGTAACTTGTGAAATCAACTTGACTCTAGGCTTCCTTTGTACCATGAACAAAATATATTTGGGCTTCTATCATTTAGACTCAAAAATAGTATTTTTATTGCTGGTTATGCTTTCTTAAAAATAAAAAATATTCTTGATCGATGTGACTTTCCAGAATGTTTGAAACACCAGTGACCAAGGATCACTATATATGTCTCCAAACAATTCTACCATGCTTATTTACACAGCACTCACCAAACCAGAAGAGAGGCTGGGATATTCTAAGGCCAATGCACTGAGCATCAGTATTAAAGAACCATGAATGATGCGACAATTGAATTATTTTCTACCTCCTCTGCCCACCCTTACTTCACACCCCAAAATGCTTTCAGTGTCTTTTCAAGGTACAATCCTCCTTCTGGCCACAGGTTTGCTGGGTCACCTCAAGGGATGTTCCTTCATTCTGCAGTGATTTCCTGCCTCTTCTCAATTAAGAAAGTTCAGAATACAGATAACTCAGGATCATGTTTAATTATGTAAAAAAGCTCTAAAGTCAGGTAATGTTTTTCATGTGCTTCTCTTGAGCAGTCTGAGGAAAGAATAGAAACAGAAACCCCTTGGGACCTGAGTAGACGCAGCTGGCCATGCACAGGCAGAGGCTCTGGGTCAGTGCAGGAAGCAGAGTCACAGCCAGCGCCTTGGGGTGGGGATGAAAGGAGATGACCTGGTGGCTGCGTGACAGCCACTGTAGGACTTTGATCTCAGGGGGACAAGCTGACACAGGCAGCTGGGAATTCTGGGCAGGCATAAGCAGGCATCACAGAAGAGTGATAACCAATCCTAGTTAAAATAGTCTCAGGAGTCAGTGCAGAAGCCCTGGAGAAGAGAGAAGAGCATTGATCAGCACAGGGTATCCTGGTGGGCCTGCCATCTCCCCCACCCTTCAGGGGCCCCCTGCAGCTTCAGACAGAGAAAGTTGAGGTCCAGGGTGTATTGTCATCACCTCCCCCAAGATCTGTGCAAAGGTGAAATCAGCTCATGAGGACACAGAACTTCAGCTTGATGCAGATGTGTGGGAGGTGGGGAACAGCTGTTATTCTTCTGGGGAATATGAAGGGTTCAGTCTTTTTAGGAAATTGGATGATATCTCTTCCCGACCACTAGCAGCCTCTTTCAGTCACTGGAAAATGCTTACAGGCAGTAGCCACCATCATGTGGCACAAAGTGGGCATCATCCTAGTGTCTAACATTTAAGCTGTGGTTCTGGCTCCACATTTCACAAGAAGATGCCACCAAAGTTAAGGCTTGGTTCTGGGGAACAATGTCTGGAGATTCCTAGAAACTGGCAAACTTCTCCCCTAAGTCTTGATCCTCATAGCAGCAAATAGGCCATGAACATGGACCACTGTGGTCAGGTACACTCAGCTCATGCTCTTCCCTCTTATACCTGTGCCTCCCCACACTGGATCATGGCTGAAATATTACCTGCTGGTGGAGGCCCTTGAGGTCTTACAAAAGGAAGTTATGCAGAGAAAGGTCTCATTACACAAACAGCCACTCTCTCACCCCAAAGGAAAATGACACACATGACTTAGAGTTACATTCTCTTCCCACCCATGTTCTTCCAGGCCTTCAGCACCCTAATTTAAAATCCCCTAAAACAAAGGAAATTGTCACTAGAAAGAAAGGAAGCTGAGGCTCTGACCCTCTTAATGGAGGAAGCTTTTGGAAAGGAGCCAGTGAGACAATGATGAATGGTAAGGATGCCCTGGAATAAGCTCTATCAGTCAGCTCTGTGACAGCGCTACCTTTCAACCAGTAAAATCAGATTCCAATGCCTCCTCCCATCTTGTCCTGTCTCCTCGCACTTCTTCTCAGGGTCAGGAGGAAAGAGCTAATCTACAGACAGGACCACTCTGAACAGAGGGTCTGGGTCACAGCCCATCTTCCCCTTTTCCCCTGGGGTTCCTCACCTTTCTGACTCCTTTGACGGATGATAAGGCCCAGCCCAAGGAAGATCAGCCCCAGCACGAAGCCTCCAACGCCACTCAGCATCTTGCTCTGGGCAGATTCAGACTGAGCCCCTAAAGAGCAGAACTGAGTGTCTGTGTTTGTCCCCACACCCCATAGCATCCCTGCTGAGGAGTTGAAGTCCAGTCTGAGGTGCAGAAGGTGAAGGCATCAAAGGAACCTAGTTCTCCATTCAGACCACCCCTAAGGAGGGGAAAGACCAGCCAATAGGTCCTTGGATACAGTGAATAGGTGAGAGAGTGGGGAAGCAAATCTCTGCTCTTCAAGAACTCATCCATAACCTTAGACCCTAAGATCCCAGTCACCAGCCCTAAGAATCAGTCCCTCAGAGCTATCAGGACTGGGATTCAGAGCAACAGTATGTAGAGTAATTTCCCTAGCATCTGGAAAGGTGATGAGACCAGGATTCTTCTGATGCACTTGCCATGGAGCAAGAGGTGCTCTAGTCTCCTGTGATTCCCAGCTCAGTAGTGACATCAGGGATAAGAGATGGGAAGGAATGGGTCAGAAGGAGCTCTTTGTCTTGTGGGCCCATAGTAACAGAAACTCAATATCCCCTTACGCCACTCCACGGTGATGGGGCTCTGGAGGCTGGGGTGCTCCACGTGGCAGGTGTAGACATCTCCACGCTGGGGAGTCATTTCCAGCATCACCAGGATCTGGAAAGTCCAGTCACCATTCCTAATAAGGGGGGTGGACACAACGCCGGCTGTCTCCTCCTGATCATTCCGAAACCACCGGACTTTGATCTGGCCTGGATAGAAATCTGTCACCGAGCAGACCAGCAGGTTGTGGTGGTTGAGGGCCTCTGTCCTGGATGGGGAGATGGTCACTGTGGGCTCCACTGAGGGCAGTAACAGACAGGAAAAGACATAGGAGTGAGATGTGAGAACACACACCACGTCTACCATGAGGAAGGATCCCTCCTTGGACCAGAGTGGAAAGATACCTGGAGTCGAAGTCTTGGATTAAGGTTCATTCAACAAATATAAATTTGACAATCACTGAGAATTCAAAGATAAATAACATACTATGGTCCCTGCATTTATAGAATGTGCAATCTAGTAACAGACAGCAAAAAACAAAAAGAATGTTATTTCAAAAGTTTGTAATATTTGAAAAAAAAGTAGAATGTTATTTCAAAAGTTTGTAATATTTGAAAAAAAAGTAGGCAGGCCTTCAAAACAAATAACCCTTGATCAAACATCATGTTTGTCCACAACTCAATTCCTTTATCTTCTCAGATTGCTGCTCATAGTAAAAAAAATGACACATCTTTCCCCGCCTCTTTTACACATCTCATCCTTTCCTTTTAGGCCACTTTATCACATTTCCTTTATTCTCTTAGTGTGAAACTATAGCAAATATTTAATGTGTGCTTTCTTTATTTAGTAATATGTTCTCTCATTTTCTTTTTTTCCTTAATTTCTTTTTAACGCACAAGTGAGTTTAATT
This sequence comes from Homo sapiens, assembly GCF_000001405.40. Lineage (NCBI taxonomy): Eukaryota > Metazoa > Chordata > Mammalia > Primates > Hominidae > Homo > Homo sapiens. The sequence goes on from NC_000006.12 coordinate 32,662,860, forward strand.
ACTAGCTGTCTACCCTACTCCATTTCCTTGCTATTGACAATTACTTTCTTGTTCTGAAATCAGACATTATCGTGTATGTTCTCCACAGAAAATATTCTGAGATCCGTGCAGAGGTCGGCCTGGGCTAATGAGCCTGTAATGTGAACATATACATATAACTGGGATTTGCTGAGGTCAGCAGGTGGCACCCCAATTAAATGGCACTCTTGAGCCATCATCCGGAAGGAATCATGGTTTCTGCTTGGACTTGAACTTTTCTTTAGGTTCTCCTTCCTGGAGGCCAACTGAAATCAGAGTCAGCTATGTGGCCTTATAAGATTTGTTCATCTTCAACAGACTGGGAGTAAAAATAGAGGGCACAAATTTATGAGAAAAGATGATAAAATAAATTTTATGGAAATAAAACTGAAATAGCAAAAATATAAGTACTTGCTGGCATTAGGATGTGAGTCAAAAGAAGGCAAGGGAGTGTAAAGCAAACTAAAAGTTTTGTGAACCTGCATAGATAACACCGGGGTCAGACTAGGGATTGATTAATCATGAATTTTCAATGCCGCATTAACACACAGAACAAACAGGAATAGACTCATTGCTGCTTCTGGTCAAAACTGGCTTTAACAAGGCCTTACATCCCTTAGACTCTACATATGTGTAGTGAGGAACATAAGAATGTTGTGTACTTTGGGAGGCTTAAGATCTTGGTGAGTAATTGTGGGCTGATTACTTAAAGTGTTTATCATGTACCAATATTAGGATATATAAAGTGGTGATGCTAATCTCTAATGCACAGGTAGCTGTGAGATTAAATGACATAACATAGATGGTATTTGATAAGGCAACTGTCTAGAAATAAGTGCTTCCTGAATGGGTAAAATTGACTTTCAGAATGTTTATTCCTGAAGTGGATAGTGATGGGGGGGAGGGGATAACCTAGGCCAAAAGCAACCTGAAACTATTTTTATCCAATAATTTAATAGCTTCAACCTATTTATTCCCAAACTTCTGATCTTTGCATAGTGCTATTTGTTCAGCTTTTCTAAGAAATTAAAACTCTGCCTTACAACATCATTCAAGCATTGTTTTTATTTTTAGCAAACACATTTTCCTCAGACTTTGTATTCACAAATTCTATTAAGATCCAAGTCAGTAAGAGTTTACTTGAAAGCATTAAGCAAAATGTTAGAAAATAATTGATAAAGTTCATTTGTAAGCCTCTGTTTTTTTCTTGAACCTAACTGGATTGGCAGCTGAGTACATTTATTCATGAATTTAACAGAAGATCATTGAGCTCACACCACATACCAGTCAATGTGTCAGGTACCAGGCATGCAATAATTAAACAGTCTCTCGCCTCAAAGATCTCCGCCATTAGTGGTAGCCATTTAAGAAAACAGAATTACGATGAATAATGATTTGAAGCCAAAAAGTCAAAATATCTTATTTCGCAACTGTAATTGCTGGATGCCCTGCGCGCAGCTGTGGGGCAGCCCTAACTCCACCAGGCCAAGCCTGAAGCTTCCTGCGGCGCAAGCTGCGCACGTGGGCCTTGCTGGGTGGGGCAGTGCTAGCGAGGCCGGCGGGCAGGGGAAGAGGGTGGGCACTGGGGGCAGAGAGAACTGCTTAGCGAAGGTAAGGTACGAGGAGGCAAACACATAAGGCACGAGGCGAGAAACGTGCAGAGCGGAGGACGAGGCCGACGGACGGGGAGGCTGGGGGGGACACTAGGCAGCCTGGCCAACTCTGCTTGTCCCCCTGCTCTGCCCTAGGTCCCCGCCCCTCCGATGCACCTGCCCCCACCACCCCGCCGCCGCCTCCTTTCCCCTGGGGTGGAATGAACTGGGCTCAGATTTCAGAGACCTCGCCCCCATCGCCCCTCCCGGCACAGAAACTCGGGGTCTCGGCCAAGGGTGGGCCTCACGGAGGGGCGACGACGCTCACCTCTCCTCTGCAAGATCCCGCGGAACGCCACCTCGTAGTTGTGTCTGCACACCGTGTCCAACTCCGCCCGGGTCCCCTCCAGGACTTCCTTCTGGCTGTTCCAGTACTCGGCATCAGGCCGCCCCTGCGGCGTCACCGCGCGGTACACCCCCACGTCGCTGTCGAAGCGCGCGTACTCCTCTCGGTTATAGATGTATCTGGTCACAAGACGCACGCGCTCCGTCCCGTTGGTGAAGTAGCACATGCCCTTAAACTGGAACACGAAATCCTCTGCGGGGAATCACCGGCCGGTCAGTCAGGCCCCAGCCCGGCCGCCCCCGCAGCCGCCGCCCTGACCCGGCCTGGAGCTGTGGAACCGCCCGCGCGACCTCCAGTTCCCGCCCGCCCGTGCCTGGCGCTCCAGACCTGGGATCCTCCCGGCGGCTCTGCCCAGCTCTGCCCGCCTTCTTTGCGGGCTTCTGGAATCTGCCTTCCTACATCCAGGAAAGGGAGGAAAGCCCTGTCCCTGCCTGAGCCTGTGAACCCAGCGAAGAGGCAGTCGGGCTGATTTTACATGCACCTCTGCACTTAGAGGGATCAGGGCGTTCTCGCATGAAATCCCATTTTTCATGAAGCTCCTGGATACCTCAGAGATAAAGTTATCCACATAAATCTGAGAGTTCAACGGAATGACGAGATAGGTCCAGGAATTAAGCCTGGCCTCGTTCTGACACGCGTATTCTCTTGGTCCCTGGGTAAAATACCTTCCTTCCCATGCCTAGATTTACCCTCCCAAGTCCCGTTGAGGTTCACTCCCTTCTATGTTGGAAAGGACCTACACCTCTGAGTCCTAGATAGAGACATTTATTCATGGAAAGAGCACAAGCTTTTGAATTTGATAAACTAGATTCCAATTAAACTGTGGCAGTCACCAGTTTGGGCAGGTTATGTAACAGAATATCCATATCACAAGTATAATTGTGTAAAAGAAAATCATGATATCTACACACAGGATGTTAGAAGGAGTGAGAGAGAAGTTATATAAAGTATTGTTCTGTCTGAAGTGAGTGGTTTCACAATATGTGTTATTTCCCTTCTTTACATCCTCCTTCCTACTAAATTCAGTCCACCATTAACTCGGGTCTCTGAATCCCACTCAAGTCACCATTTGCCCATAAATCAGTGAAACCCGAAGACTCCCTCTCTGTGGTCAGCCAGTCAGCTTCCCTCAGCACCAAGATTTTGCCTCCACAAATGCTCCACTCGGTCAGGAATAGAGACAAATTTTCCTCAAATACAGAGACTACAGACACCATTGCTGCCTCACATTTTCCAATGCAGGATCTCATAATCCTAAGTCCAGGCAGTCTTGGGGCACGCCTAAATGACAAATCCTGCTGTGTCTTTGGAGAAATTCATATCTTCAAAAATAACCCCATGCTCACTTTGTCCTATCGCTGGTAGTAAATGTACACTTTATCTCCTCTTTCTCTCCTCTCTCCTCCTCTTCCAGGCTTAAGCCTGTAGGATGGGGATTGGATTGTCCTCATCTCATCACTAAAAGATAAATGGGAATGCAACATAGCTTTCTTTCCCAAGAGAGAGGAAATGTTGATGAAAGATTGTGTCCAAGATCATAGAGATCACCATCCCCCATACCCCAGCCCAAGGAGAGCCTGTTCCCAGAGTGGCGGCTCTGGAGAGCAGCTGCCCTGCACTTACCGGGAGAGTCTCTGCCCTCAGCCAGTAGGGAGCTCAGCATCGCCAGCATCAAGGTGACAGTTGCTACCCGAAGGTCTCCGGGGATCCGCAAAGCCTTCTTCCAAGACATAACTGAGACGAAGGGAAAAGCAGTGGTAGTCAACACAGCTCGGACCTGATGGATCTGATGTACCTGGCAGAAAGAATAAAAACCTGTGGATGTTTCCGTGAGTGGCAGGATTGGATGGTCCCTCGGAAAAGAACCAATCAGCACTGGAGCTGAAGGACCTCATCTGTCTCTGGGCAGACATTTTTTTTGTGAAGGTTCTCAATCCAGTGCCTGGCACTGTGACGTCTTCAAATTGTACTGGATGAACATCTGAGGTGAAAATTTCCTCTCGATTATAGAAGAGCTGAAGAACGAATGCCTCGGGGATTTTGAGAGGCAAAAGAAAAAAATGCGATTCAACAGTAAACATCTCTGTAATATTGTTAAAAACCAGTTGTTATTATACTTGGGATTTTTAATAAAGCAAATTAGGTGGGGATCATATTTCAGGGGAGAGAAAATTGCTGTCACAGAAATTTTTACTGCTGTTGTCTTAGACACGCTGAAGAGCCTTAAGTCCTGGGGAGAAGAGCAAAGTTCTTAGAAGGAAATAATGGTAAGTTGCAGTTCCACCACTAATGTGCTTTAGAAGAGTCAACAAATTACTGAATTTATTTTTGCCCCAGGCTTCTCTTTATAAAATGTGGGTCATGTTTCATGCATTTTACATCTAGATCTTCACATGTACAAATTTAAGATTAATTTGTCTTGTTTAATATTACAAAAGTCTCCTCAACTGTTATGTGTAACTATCAGGTTAATATGTGGAACAAGAAAACAAGCCAAAAAAAAAAAATTGATACCCACCCCTGCTGGTAAATGATTCTTCATTATGCAAGAACATATTGTATTTATGCTCTTCTAGTGAAAGTATTTGAAAAGTTAATTAAGTTGACATTTCTTTTTTAAGTTCTTCAGCTGTTTAAATCCTCCCTGAACCATGAAATGATGCATCTGATATCAGCAAAGGCACAATACACAGAATTTTACAGTATTCGGATGCAGTCATGTTTCGTTTTGAAGAGAGAGCACAAAACCTGTGGAGAAGCATTTCCTGGGTCCTGAATAGTACTAATGATGGAGAAAGTGTTTAGAGTCACAGAGTGTACTGTGCCAGCCCTAAACATTAAATCCCAAATGGCAGAGGTATCAATGTGTTTTTTTTTCAATTCTATTTTTTTAACAGTTCCTCATGGACATATCTACATCAATGTGTTTTTATAAATAAACATAACTTATCAGGCTCCTCTTGACAGTGACTAGGGGCAATACTAATGGTTATAAAGCAATTAGAACAACGCCTGGCAAACATTACTTCTGACCTCAACCAAGACAATAAATATCTCCACTTCTCTTCTTCTCTCCCTTTCTCTCTTTCTTTTCCCAAAATGTTAGGTTCTGCTTTTAAAGTAGAGAATACAATCTAAAATCAGAATATAAGTTTATCAGATAAAAAGAAGCAGGGAAGAGGCAACAGCAAGACGTTTGCAATAGTGGCACATGAAAGCGTTGAGCCACTCCAATATTCTGTATTATTCAGTGCATAATTCTAGAGCACCTGAGACTGGGAAAGTTGCCACTGGGCGTCCAGCAGCAGTGGTGTACTCAGGATCAGGGTAAACCCAGTCTAAGGAGGGTCTCCACTGCTGTGATGGACGCATAAAGGAGGAACCAAATGCACACCTGGAATGGAGTTGGGGCAAGGAAGAATAGGCAGAGAGACCTGAAGGTGCCCTCAATGTCCTTCCTCAGCCCCTACATCAGTGCGCCTCAAAATAGAGGTCTCTAATCCATCCTCTCCTTCCTGTCTAAGGGAAAAACTTCCCGCAGGTTTATTCTGAGGCAAAGGCTGCGTCATACCTGGGGATTCCCCAGTCTCACAGGCCTCTTTGCACAGACTTTTCAGCTAGCAACAAGTGTCACTTTAGAGCCTTTTTCTGATTGGCTAAAACCTCACTGGAAAGGTTTTGCTTTGGGCTTCTGCCAGTTGTGTCTGCCTGGCCCAGCCTTCTCTACAGTTGACTACCCTGGCCCTATCCCTGCTGCATTATTCAGGGCATTCAGGCAGAAAAAGGCCAGAGAAGAAAGAAACTAGGTCAAGCATCCTTATTCCGAGTGTCTCACCTGAATTGCCTGCCCAGCCTCTGTGGAGGCAGAGCAATTAAAGCATTTACTCCATATGGGTAAATGGGCTAAAAAGTCACTGCCATTAGTAGGGAGGGTCAGGATTACATTAGGGAGACTGTCTTTAGGGGACATCCTCTCTTCCTTCAGGTTGGAAGAAAAAGTTGTGGACTCCTTTGTGAAAATCAAGGGAGAAATCATCTTCTCTGGTCAACATCTCTTGGAATCTGTGCTTGGTCAGTGGAGTTGAATGTGAACATAGGAGCCATTCTGTCACCAGAAGGACCATCCAGGACCCTACCCTGCATTTACTTCAGGAATCAAGAATCACTGTATATTCTGAAAGGTTCTGTGGCTTCCTTAATGCCAATGGTAATAAAACTAGAAATGCTGCCCCCAGAATATTGTTTTCCTTTAATTAAAATTTATCAAGCAATTATCCTTAAATTTTTAAAAATCTTTGTGAAGCTTCTTACATATTTCTCTTATATCAACTTCTAGGTAACCAGCTATATATAAGAATTTTTCATGGCACATATAAACTAGGTCCTTTCTCTTGGCACAAAGTTATCTCTTTAAAATCTCAGTCTAGAGAATCTGAAGAAAGAGCCAAATCAGTAGCATTCAGGGGCTGTGTTCAGACAGTGCCTCCCACAAGCAAGTGGCCATGGTGAAACTCCAGGGTGGAAGTCATGTCAGAATTGGAGGATGATGGAGCGTGAAGGAGTAGGAGTATGGGAAAAGCTTTAGCAGGAAGGTAGAAAATCAGGTGATACAAAGCATTTGGAACATTTGAGGGCAAATGAGGAACGTGGGTGATCTTGGCACAGAAGCCCAGACCTCACCAGTCCCACGGCTCCTCATGCTCTATGAAAATAGCCCTTGAAGACCGAAGAAGACTGGGACAAAAACCCAAGCTGCCTGCTGTGGGTATGCTGTACAATGAAGCTTTGTTTCCTGATCTATCTTTTCAGGTTCCTTTTTCCTGTCAGTCTCCTCATCCACGCATTGCCTCAGTTGGACCACTGGTGATTAAACCTCCCAGAGCTAGCCTACACATGTCACTCTTTCCAACACACCTCTGCCTGTCTCTACTTCTGGTTCCCTAGTGATGCCTGGGATATTTCCAGAGACAGCTCTTCCCCCAGCCTCTAGATTAGTAGTCACCATGCTCCTTCATTCCCAGAAAAAATTTAAATATTTCTCTGTGAGATCTTTATAATGTCTCCTTTTTCTGTAAGTTCTTACCAGTAAAGAGAGGCCCTAATGTTCAGCCACATAAAAATATATGTAGTTCTTGAGTACTTAAATCCATATCCAAGTACTCAAGAACTCATGTGTCCAAGAACTCAGCTCAAGGCCATGGTTCATGCAAAACAGCAACATCAGCAGTAATATTTTGGGGAGAGTACTCTTATATCATCAAATAGGAAAACTTAAGATATTCCATTTAAACCACAATGACATATCACCTCACATCAGTCAGAATGGCTATTATCAAAAAGATAAAAGATAACAAGTGTTAAGGATGTAGACAAAAGGAAACATTTGTACACTGTTGGTGGGGATGCAGATTAGTACAACCATTATGGAAAACAGTATGGAAGTTCCTCAAAAAGTTAAAAATAGAACTATCATATGATGTAGTAATCCCATTTGCAGGATGTAGACAAAGTATTTAAAATTAGCATGTTGAAAATATACCTATACTCCTATGTTCCTTGCAGCATTATTCACAATAGTCAAGGTATAGAATCAACCTGTGTCATTCAGTGGATGAAAAGATAAAGAAAATGTGGTATATATACACAATTAAATCCTATTCAGGCTTTAAAAAGAAGGAAATCCTGTTGTAAGTCAAAAAGTGACTGAGGTAGGTCTCAATCAATTAAAGGTTTATTTTGCCAAGGTTGAGGAATACACCTGGGAAAAACACAAAACACAGGAGCATCTGTGATCCATGCTTTTGCCAAAGAGGGTTTTGAGAACTTCAGTATTTAAAAGAGAAAGAGCAAGCAGGAGGGGAAGGAGAAAAAAAAGGAGGAAGAGTAGGCCATGATACAAGTGGTTACATTCCTGAGTCTTTGATTAGCTTAAGTAAATCTACATTTTACCTGTGAAAAGAGAGTAGAAGAAAAAGTTAATTATAAATTATCTTATGCTCAGTAAATCTACATTTTACATAAAATTAAGGGAACTTGAAAAGGGGGAAGGAGTAGAGGAAACGAGGTTATGACACGGGGTTGTGAAATTACCGTTATCTGTTTGGGAACAAAAGGAAGACAGTATTGGTGCTTCAGTCCTCAAGATTAACTTTCCCTTGGCATAATGAGTTTGGGGTCCCAAGATTCTATTTTTCTTTCACACTGTTATTTGTGACAACATGCATGAACCTAGAGGACATTAAGCTAAGTGAAATAAGCCAGACATGGAAAGACAAGTAATGCATGATCTTACTTATATGAGGAATCTAAAAAATCCCATTTTTGAATTGAATTGTTTATTTTATTTTATTTTGTTTTATGTTCTAGCGTACATGTGTAGGACATGCAGGTTTGTTACATGGGTAAACGTGTGGCATGGCGGTTTGCTGCAGCTATCAACCCATCACCTAGGTATTAAGCCCAGCATGCATGAGCTATTTATCCTGATGCTGTCCCTGCCCCTACCCCTCACAGGCCCCAGTGTGTGTTGTTCCCCTCCCTGTGTCCATGTGTTCTCATTGTTCAGCTCCCAATTATTAGTGAGAACATGCAGTATTTGGTTTTCTGTTCCTTCATTATTTTGCTGAGGACAATGGCTTCCAGCTCCATCCATGTCCCTGCAAAAGACATAATCTCATTCCTTTTTATGGCTGCATAGTATTCCATGGTGTGTATGAACCATATTTTCTTTATCCAGCCTATCACTGATGGACATTTGGGTTGGTTCCATGCCTTTGGTATTGTGAATAATGCTTCAGTAAACATACACATGCATGTATCTTTATAATAGAATGATTTATATTCCTTTGGGTATATACCCAATGATATGGTTTGGCTGTGTCCCCACCCAAATCTCAACTTGAATTGTATCTCCCAGAATTCCCACATGTTGTGGGAGGGACCCAGGGGGAGGTAATTCGATCATGGGAGCCAGTCTTTCCCATGCTATTCTCATAATAGTGAATAAGCCTCACAATATCTGATGGGTTTATCAGGGGTTTCTGCTTTTGCTTCTTCCTCATTTTCTCTTGCCGCAGCCATGTAAAAAGTGCCTTTCACCTCCCACAATGATTCTGAGGCCTCCCCAGTCATGTGGAACTGTAAGTCCAATTAAACCTCTTATTCTTCCCAGTCTCCAGTATGTCTTTATCAGCAGTGTGAAAACGAACTCATATAGTAAATTGGTTCCAGGAGTGGGGTGTTATTGAAAAGATACCTAAAAATGTGGAAGCAACTTTGGACTGGGTAACAGACAGAGGTTGGAGCAGTTTGGAGGGCTCCAAAGAAGACAGGAAAATGTGGGAAAGTTTGGAACCTCCTAGAAATTTGTTGAATAGCTTTGACAAAAATGCTGATAGTGATATGAACAATAAGGTCCAGGCCAAGGTGGTCTCAGATGGAGATAAGAAACTTGTTGGGAACTGGAGCAAAGGTGACTCTTGCTATGTTTCAGCAAACAGACTGGAGGCATTTTGCCCTTGCCCTAGAGATTCGTGGAACTTTGAACTTGAGAGAGATGATTTAGAGTATCTGGCAGAAGAAATTTCTAAGCAGCAAAACATTCAAGAGGTGACTTGGGTACTGTTAAAAGCATTCCGTTTTAAAAGGGAAACAGAGCATAACAGTTCAGAAAAACTGCAGTCTGGTGATGCAGTAGAAAAGAAAAACCCATTTTTTAGGAAAAATTCAAGCCAGCTGCAGAAATCTGCATAAGTAGCAAGGAGCCTAGTATTAATCCCCAAGACCATGGGAAAATGTCTCCAGGCCATGTCAGAGACCTTCACAGCAGCCCCTCCCATCACGGAACCAGAGGCCCAGGAGGAAAAAGTGGTTTTGTGGACCAGGCCCAGCGTCCCCTTGCTGTGTGCAGCCTAGGGACTTGGTGCCCTGTGTTCCAGCTCCTCCAGCCATGGCTGAAAGAGGCCAATGTACAGCTCAGGCTGTGGCTTCAGAGAGTGGAAGCCCCAAGCCTTGGCAGCCTCCATGTGGTGTTGAGCCTGCAGGTGCACAGAAGTCAAGAATTGAGGTTTGGAAACCTCCACCTAGATTTCAGGAGATGTAGGGAAACGCCCAAATGCCCGGGCAAAAGTTTGCTTCAGGAACAGGGACCTCATGGAGAACCTCTGATAGGGCAGTGTGGAAGGGAAATGTGGGGTCATAGCCCCCAAATAAAGTCCCTACTGAGACACTGCCTAGTCGAGCTGTGAGAAGAGGGCCACCATCCTCCAGACCCCAGAATGGTAGATCCACTGACAGCTTGCACTGTGGGCCTGGAAAAGCCACAGACACTCAAAGCCAGCCCTTGAAAGCAGTCAGGAGAGAGGCTGTACCCTGCACAGCCACAGAGGCAGAGCTGCCCAAGACCATGGGAACACACCTCCTGTATTGGCGTGATCTAGATGTGAGACCTGGAGTCAAAGGAGATCATTTTGGAGCTTTAAAATTGACTGCAGCTGGGTGTGGTGGCTCATGCCTGTAATCCCAGCACTTTGAAAGACCAAGGTGGGCGGACCACGAGGTCAGGAGATTGAGACCATCCTGGCTAACACAGTGAAACCCTGTCTCTACTAAAAATACAAAAAAGTTAGCCAGGCATGGTGGCAGGCACCTGCAGTCCTAGCTACTTGGAAGGCTGAGGCAGGAGAATGGCGTGAACCCAGGAGGCAGAGCTTGCAGTGAGCAGAGATGGCGCCACTGCACTCCAGCCTGGACGACAGAGCGAGATTCTGTCTCAAAAAATAAATAAATAAAAATAAAAATAAATAAAATAATAAAATAAAAAAATTTGACTGCCCTGCTGGATTTCAGACTTGTGTGTGCCTTGTAACCCCTTTGTTCTGGCCAATTTCTCCTATTTGGAATGGCTGTATTTACCCAATACCTGTACCTCCATTGTATCTAAAAAGTAACTAGCTTGCTTTTGATTTTACAGGCTCATAGGTGGAAGGGACTTGCCTTGTCTCAGATGAGACTTTGGACTATGGACTTTTGGGTTAATGCTGAAATGAGTTAAGACTTTGGGGAACTGTTGGGAAGGCATGATTGGTTTTGAAATGTGAGGAAATGAGATTTGGAGTGGCCCAGGGGAAGAACAGTATGGTTTGTCTGTGTCCCCACCCAAATCTCAACTTGAATTATATCTCCCAGAAATCCCACGTGTTGTAGGAGGGACCCAATGGGAGGTAACTGAATCATGGGAGCCAGTCTTTCCCATGCTATTCTTATGATAGTGGATAAGTCGCACGAGATCTGATGGGTTTATCAGGGGTTTCTGCTTTTGCTTCTTCCTCATTTTCTCCTGCCACTGCCATGTAAGAAGTGCCTTTCGCCTCCCGCCATGATTCTGAGGCCTCCCCAGACATGTGGAACTGTAAGTCCAATGACACCTCTTTTTCTTCCCAGTCTCGGGTATGTCTTTATCAGCAGCATGAAAACGAACTAATACACTCAGTAATAGAATAGTTGGGTCAAATGGTATTTCTGGTTCTAGGTCTGTGAAGAATTGCCACACTGTCTTCCACAATGGTTGAACTAATTTACATTCCCGCCAACAGTATAAAAGTGTTTCTTTTTTCTCTGAAGCCTTGACAGCATCTGTGGTTTCTTGAGTTTTTAGTAATCACCATACTGACTGGCATGAGATGGTATCTCATTGTGATTTTAATTTGCATTTCTCTAATGATCAGTGATGTTAGGCTTTTTTCATATGTTTGGGTGCTACATAAATGTCTTCTTTTGGAAGTGTCTGTTAATGTCCTTTGCCCACTTTTTAATGTTCTTTTTTTCTTGCAAATTTGTTTAAGTTCCTTGTAGACTCTGGATATTAGACCTTTGTAAGATGGATAGGTTACAAAATTTTTCTCACATTCTGTGGGTTGTCTGCTCACTCTGATAATAGTTTATTTTGCTGTAGAGAAGCTCTTCAGTTTAATTAGATCCCATTTGTCAGCATTTGCTTTTGTTGCAATTGCTTTTGATGTTCTTGTCATGAAGTCTTTGCCCATGTCTATGTCCTGAGTGGTGTTGCCTAGATTTTCTTCTAGGGTCTTTATAGTTTTGGGTTTTACATTTAAGTCTTTAATCCATCTTGAGTTAATTTTTGTATAAGGTGTAAGGAAGGGGTCCAGTTTCAACTTTATGCATATGGCTAGCCAGTTCTCCCAGCACCATTTATTAAATAGGGAATCCTTTCCCCATTGCTTGTTTTTATCAGGTTTTTTGAAGATCAGTTGGTTGTAGATGTGTGGTCTTATTTCTGAGTTCTGTGTTCTGTTCCACTGGTCTGTTTTCGTACCAGTACCATGCTGTTTTGGTTACTTTAGCCTTGTAGTGTAGTTTGAAGTCAGGTAGCATGATGTCTCCAACTTTGTTCTTTTTGCTTAGGATGATTGTCTTGGCTAATGGGCTTTTGGTTCCGTGTGAATTTTTAAATAGTTTTCTTCTAATTCTGTGAAGAATGTCAGTGGTAGTTTGACGGGAATAGCATTGAATCCACAAATTACTTTGGGCAGTATGGCCATTTTCATGATATTGATTTTTTGTATTCATGAGCATGGGATATTTGTCCATTTGTTTGTGTCCTCTCTGATTTCCTTGAGCAGTGGTTTGTAAATCTCTTTGAAGAGGGTTTTCCCTTTCCTTGTTGGCTGTATTCCTAGGCATTTACTCTTTGTAGCAATTGTGAATGGGAGTTCATTCATGATTTGGCTCTCTGCTTGTCTGTTGTTGGCGTATAGGAATGCTTGTGATTTCTGCACATTGATTTTGCATCCTGAGACTGCTGAAGTTCCTTATGAGCTTAAGAAGTTTTGGACTGAGACAATGGGATTTTCTAGGATCTAGGATCATGTCATCTGTAAAGAAAGACAATTTGACTTCTTCTCTTCCTATTTAAATATGCTTTATTTCTTTTTCTTGCCTGATTGTCCTGGCCAGAAATTCCAATACCATGTTGAATAGGAGTGGTGAGAGTGGGCATTGTTGTTTTGTGCATGTGTTTAAGGGGAATGCTTTTGGCTTTTGCCCATTCAGTATGATATTGTCTGTGGGCTTGTCATAAGTGACTCTTATTATTATGAGGTATGTTCCTTCAATACCTAGTTTATTGAGAGTTTTTAACATGAAGGGATGTTGAATTTTATTGAAGGTCTTTCCTGTGTCTATTGAGACAATCATGTGGTTTTTGTCTTTAGTTCTGTTTATTTAATGAATTATGTTTATTGATTTGCATATGTTGAAACAGCCTGGCATCCTGGTGATGAAGCCAACTTGATCGTGGTGGATAAACTTTTTGATATGCTGGTGGATTCGGCTTGCCATTATTTTATTGAGGATTTTTTTTTATTAGTGTCCATCAGAGATATTGGCCTGAAGTTTTCTTTTTTTGTTGTATCTGTGTCAGGTTTTGTTATCAGGATGATGCTGGCCTCATAAAATAAGTTAGGGAGGAGTTCCTCCTTTTCAATTATTTGGAATAGCTTCAGAAGAAATGGTACCAGCTCTTCTTTGTACCTCTGGTGGAATTCAGCTGTAAATCTGTCTGGTCCTGGGCTTTTATTTTTGTTGGTAGGCTATTTATTATGCCTCAATTCCAGAACTCGTTATTCGTCTATTGAGGGATTCAACTTCCTGGTTCAATCTTGGGAAGGTGTATGTGTCTAGGAATTTCTTTTAGATTTTTTTAGTTTATGTGCATAAAGGTGTTTATAGTATTCTCTGATGGTTGTTTGTACTTCCATGGGGTCAGTGGTGATATCCCCTTTATCATTTTTTATTGTGTCTATTTGATTTTTCTCTCTATTATTCTTTATTAGTCTAGCTGGCAGTCTGTCTATATTATTAATATTTTCAAAAGACCAGATCCTGGATTCGTTGATTTTTTGAAGAGTTTTTTGGTGTCTCTGTCTTCTTCAGTTCCAGTCTGATTTTGGTTATTTCTTGTCTTCTGCTAGCTTTGGGGTTTGTTTGTTCTTGGTTCTGTAGTTCTTCCAGTTGTGATGTTACGATGTCGACTTGAAATCTTTCTAGCTTTTTGATGTGTGCATTTAGTACTATAAATTTCCCACTTAACACTGCTTTAGCTGCATCCCAGAGATTCTGATACATTGTCTCTTTCTTCTCATTGGTTTCAAAGAACTTCCTGATTTCTGCATTAATTTCATTATTTACCCAGGAGTCATACAGGAGTAGGTTGTTCAATTTCCATGTAGTTGTGTGGTTTTGAATGAATTTCTTAATCCTGAGTTCTAATTTGATTTCACTATGGTTTGAGAGACTGTTTGTTATGATTTCGGTTCTTTTGCATTTGCTGAGGAGTGTTTTACTTCCAAATATGTGATCAATTTTAGAATAAGTGCCATGTGGCACCAAGAAGAATGTATATTCCGTTTTTTTGGGCGGAGAGTTCTGTAGATATCTCTCAGGTCCACTTGATCCAGTGCTGAGTTCAAGTCCTGAATATCTTTGTTTTTTTTTTAATTTTATTATTATTATACTTTAAGTTTTAGGGTACATGTGCACAATGTGCAGGTTTGTTATGTATGTATACATGTGCCATGTTGGTGTGCTGCACCCATTAACTCGTCATTTAGCATTAGGTATATCTCCTAATGCTATCCCTCCCCTCTCTCCCCCACCCCACAACAGTCCCCGGTGTGTGATGTTCCCCTTCCTGTGTCCATGTGTTCTCATTGTTCAATTCCCACCTATGAATATCTTTGTTAATTTCCTGTCTCAATGATCTGTCTAATATTGATAGTGGGGTGTTAAAGTCTCCCACTATTATTGTGTGAGAATCTGAGTGTCTCTATAGGTCTCTAAGAATTTGTTTCATGAATCTGGGTGCTCTTGTGTTGGCGGATGTATATCTAGGTTAGTTAGCTCTTCTTGTTGAATTGAACCCTTTACCATTATATAATGCTCTTCTTTGTCTTTTATGATCTTTGTTGGTTTAAAGTCTGTTTTGTCAGTAACTAGGATTGCAACCCCTGCTTTTTTTTCTGCTGTCCATTTGCTTGGTAGATTTTCCTCCATTCCTTTATTTTGAATGTATGCGTGTCTTCGCACATGAGATGGGTCTCTTGCATACAACACACTGATGAGTCTTGACTCTTTATCCAGCTTGTCATTCTGTGTCTTTTAATTGGGGCATTTAGCCTATTTATATTTAAGGTTAATATTGTTATGTGTGAATTTGATCCTGTCATCATGATGCTAGCTGGTTGTTTTGCAGACTTGTTTATGTAGTTGCTTCATAGTGTCATTGGTCTGTGTACTTTAGTGTGTTTTTGTAGTGGCTGGTAATGGTTTTTCCTTTCCACATCCAGTGCTTCCTTCAGGAGCTCTTGCAAGGTAGATCTGGTGGTGACAAATTCCCTCAGCATTTGCTTGACTGAAAAGGATTGTATTTCTCCTTCGCTTATGAAGCTTAGTTTGGCCAGATATGAAATTCTAGATTGGAAATTATTTTCTTTAAGAATGTTGAATATTGGCCCCCAATCTCCTCTGGCTTGTAGGGTGTCTGCTGAGAGGTCTGCTGTTACTCTTACGGTCTTCCCTTTGCAGGTGACCTGGCCTTTCACTCTGGCTACCCTTAACATTTTTTCCTTCATTTCGACCTTGGAGAATCTGATGATTATGTGTCTTGGGGTTGATCTTCTCATGGAGTATCTTACTTGGTTTCTCTGAATTTCCTGAATTTGAATATTGGCCTGTCTTGCTGGTGACATCCTGAAGTATGTTTCTCAACTTAGGTAATTTTCCCCGTCTCTTTCAGGCACCCCAATCAGTCATAGCTTCAGTCTCTTTTACATAATCTCATAGTTCTTGGAGGTTTTGTTCATTCCTTTTCATTCTTTTTTTCTGTAATATTGTCTGCCTGTCTTATTTTGGTAAGATGGTCTTTAAGTTCTGAGATTCTTTCTACTGCTTGGTCTATTTGGCTACTGATACTTGTGGGTGGATTGCAAAGTTCTTGTGTTGTGTTTTTCAGCTCCATCAACCTATTTATGTTCCTCTCTAAACTGGTTATTCTGGTTAACTGGTTAACAGCTCCTGTAATGTCTTATCATGGCTCTTAGCTTCTTTGCATTGGGTTGGAACATACTCCTTTTGCTCAGTGAAGTTTATTATTACCCACCTTCTGAAGCCTACCTCTGTCAAGTCATCCATCTCAGCCTCAGCCCAGTTCTGTGTCATTGCTGGAGAGGTATTGTAATCATTTGGAGGAGAAGAGACACTATGGATTTTTGTATTTTCAGCATTTGTTGTTGACTTTTTCGCATCTTCATGGGTTTATCTACCTTCAATCTTTGAAAATGCTAACCTTTGGTTGGGGGTTTTGTGGGGTCTTTTGCTGTTGTTGTTGTTATTGTCATTGTTGCTTTCTGATTATTTTTCTTTTAAAAGCTAGGACCCTCTTCTACAGAGTGGCTGTGGCTTGCCGGGGGTCCACTCCAGATCCAACTCACCTGGGTCCCTCCTGCACCTGGAGGTGTCACCAGTGGAGGCTGCAGAACAGCAAAGGTGGCTGCCTGCTCCTTCCTCTGGCAGCTCCATCCCAGGGCACTGACCTGATGCTGGTCAGAACTGTCCTGTATGAACTGTCCAGCAACCCCTGTTGGAAGGTCTCACCTAGTCAGGAGGCATGGGATCATGGGATCAAGGATCTGCTTAAGGAAGCACTCTGGCTGCCCATTGGTGGAGCAGGTGCACCGTGCTGGGGGGAATCCCCCTCCTCTGGATTGCCAGGCTCTTCAGAGCCAACAGGCAGGAAAGAGGAAGTTTTCTGAACTGTGGAGATTGTGGCCACCCCTCCCTCTAGGGGATGGACAGCCACAGTTTCCACAGTTTATGAGCAGAGTTCTGTCCATAAACCCCTAGCTGGAGTTGCTGAAATTCCTGCAGAGAGGCCCCACCAAGCGAAGAAGGATGGATCCGGATCCCACCTACAGAAGCAGTCTGGCCACGATCTGCCACAGCTGCTGTGCTGCACTGTGGGGAGTTCCTGCCTGTCCAAACCATTCAGTCTCCCCAGCAGTGGGACGGGAAAATGGCCAACTGGAGCCACAGCAACGGCAGCCACCCCTCCCCCTAGAAACTCAGTTGTTTTAATCAGTCCCCAACATGCTGCCACTGGCCACAATCCCAGCAGCCATTAAGAGTGTGCACAGTTCTGTGCTTGGGACCCAAGGCTCTGGTGGCATGGGCTCACAAGAACATCTCCTGATCAGGAGTACAGATCAGCTTGTACAGATGCATGAAAAAAGCATGGTTTCCCTGGTGGGGTAGCATAATCATTCACCATCTCCCTTGGCTTGGGGTGGGAGTTCCCCTTACCCCTTGTGACTCCTGGGTGGGCTGTTGCTCCACTCTGCTTTTCTTCACTCTCTGTGAGTTGTGCCAACTGCCTAGTCAATACCAATGAGAAAACCTGGATACCTCAGCAGAAGGTACAGTGTTCATTCGCTGTTTCCATTCTCCTCAGTGGGAGCCACAGACCAGAGCTACTTCTAATCAACATTCTTGGCCTCTCCCTTGTTTTTTTATTGTTGGGTTTTAGAATTTCTTTACAAATCCTGGATTTTTTTTAAGAGACAGTGTCTTTCTTTCTTGCCTAC
Source organism: Homo sapiens (assembly GCF_000001405.40). Taxonomy (NCBI): domain Eukaryota; kingdom Metazoa; phylum Chordata; class Mammalia; order Primates; family Hominidae; genus Homo; species Homo sapiens. The sequence goes on from NC_000006.12 coordinate 32,680,532, forward strand.
TTGCCTAGGCTGGTCTTGAACTCCTGGGTCTAAGTAATGCTCCTGCCTTAGCCTACCAAGTAGCTGGGATTACAGGTATGAGGCACCATGCCTGACCATATTTTGGATATTGATCTCTTATGAGATATACTATTTGTCAACATCTTCTTTCATTCTGTTGATTACCATGTTTACTCTATTGGCACTGTCCTGTCGTGCACAGAACTTTTAAAGTTTTTATGTCACATTTATTAAAGAGAAAGTTCAAGACATGATATAGAAGAGTAATAGGAACATGTTATGTACATATAGTTGCCATTCAACTAAATTAATTGATTTCTGTAATGTGCCATTTGGGGCAAAAACAATAACATTGTAGAACCTTTCCAAGAGATTAACTTTCTATTTTCAAAGACCAACAATTCCACCCAGGTAAATTACTGCAAAGGCATCCTGACTGGTCTCCTTGCCTCTACTTTACAATGTAGACATTGCTCATAAATCCAAGTTAATCTCTCTGAATGTTAGTTCCTTCAACTGCAAAATGAGAATATCTATTCCATGGAGTAATGCTGGGGATTAAATGAAATGGCAAATATAAAGCATCAAAAATAGTGTTGAACACATAGTAGATAATAATAATTATTTTTAAATATTTTAAATATATTTTTATATCAATAGTTTCTGGGGTACAAATGACTTTTTGTTACATGGATAAATTGTATAGTTGTGAAACCTGAGATTTTAGTGCACCTGTCACCCAAGTAGCATAAATTGTACTCAATATGTAGTTTTTTATCCTTCACCCCCATCCCATCCTCCCCTCTTCTGAGTCTCCAATGTCCATTTTACCACTCTGCATGCCTTTGTGTACCCATAGCCTAGCTCCCACTTGTAAGTGAGAACATACGGTATTTGTTTTTCCTTTCCTGAGTTAGAAGTTTTAAATTTTGATGAAGTCCAATTCATCTATTTTTTCTTTTCTTGTCTATGTCTTTGGTGTTATGTCCAGGAAATCATAGCCTAATCAAATGTCATGAAGATTTTCCTTTATGTTTTTTTCTAATGGTTTGGTAGTTTTAAGTTTTACATTTAGGTTTTTGATTCATTTTGAGTTCATATTGTCTACGATCTAAGGTAAGAATCCAATTTCATTCTTTTGTATGTGGACTTCAGTTTTCCCAGCATCATTGTTGAAAAGGCTGTCCTTTCCTCAATTAATGGCCTTTGCACCCTTGTTGAAAATCGTTTGACAGTATATGTCAGGGTAATTTCCTGGTTTTGATATTGTGCTTTAGTTATATAAGATGTGACAATTGGGGAAAACTGGATGAAGGGTATAGAGAATCTTTCTGTACTATCTTGGTAACTTCCTCTGAATCTATAATGATTTCAAAATACAACATTGAAAAATAAAGTCAACCAAAATAATATGTTTATTTAAAAAGAAAACCAATTCAATAAGGTACCTAATAAAAATTATCCGAAGTGAAATACAAAGAGAAAAGAAGAGTGGGGGATAAAAGCAAAACAGAGCATCCACGAGCTGTAGTACCATATCAAATGGTACTATATTTTTGCCTGAAAAGTGTTAAACACTTATTTATTTGTTTTTAAACAAGGTCTCACTCTGTTGCCCAGACTAGAGTGCAGTGGTGCAGTCATGGCTCACTGCAGCCTTGACCTCCTGGGCTTAAGTGATCCTCCCACCTCATCCTCTCGAGTAGCTGGGACTACAGGTCTGTACCACCACACTCAGTTAATTTTTGTATTTTTTGTAAAGATGGTGTCTCCCCATGTTACCCAGACTGGTCTCAAACTCCTGGGCTCAAGCAATCCTCCAGCCCTGGCCTCCCAAACTGTTGGGATTGCCACACTTGACCTATTTTTAAAATTTACTTTTACTATTTGTTTCTCTTTGTGTTTCACTCTGAATAATTTTTATTGATCTATTTCAAATTCATTGATGCTTCCCAGGGCTGTGTCAAGTTTGCTGATGAGTTTGACAAATGTATTTTTAATTTCTGTTAATGTATTTTTATTTTATTTCAATTTTACTCTTTCTCAGATTTTCTATCTCTGCCGAAATTACCTATCTAATCTAGCATGTTGTCTACTTTTTCATAAGAGATTTTAGTATATTAATCATAGTTTATGAAGCAGGTTTACTAATTACCAACCCCAAAGGAGGACCCCCACTGTGTGGAGAATAGCAAAGATCACTACTATGCCAACCACTAGGAAAAGAAGTCCAGATACTTCTTTCCACTGCATCCTGAGCTACTGTTTAGGTCCACCACACACTGGTTACCTATTATCTGAGTCTGATGAAATAGAACATGCCCACACACAAGTTATGTAAAGCAGGTTTATTACTTACAGATCAGTAGCAAGGGACAGAAGAAGCCTCAGCTCCATTGTGAGTCAGTCCCCTAAAGCTCAAGAAAGTTGTCTGGGATATACAAAGTACTGACTACACCAATTATTATATCATGATCTAAAGTGTAAGTCACAAGTCAAACTCTTGATCACTTCATTCATATTACATGTTCCAGATTATAACCACTGGAAAACTTCTCTAACAGTAATTTTGCATGAACTCATGTGTTCTAAAACTACAACCAAGTGTGCATTTCTTCCTGATAGGCATTTAACACACTAAGTGACCATATGACTTAAATTGTCCATATGATGCTGAGAGTTATAAGATTCATAGACTCTTAAGTTTGGGCATACCAACCACAATCCATCATGCAATTAAAGCAGTACATTTGAAACCAGACTTCAGCAGGTTTAAAAACTAGGTGGTTGTTCTGGTTTGGTGATAGATACTACAATCCCAGAAGGGTTTATGCTCTTGTTTATCTTCTCCTTGATGGAGTATAATTGTTTTAGTGTCTACTGAATTTTCATCTAATTTGGTCTTGAGGTCTCTCTCATGAGAACAGCTATAAACTAGTTTTGCTCTGCTGGAGCTTTAGGGAATTTGGGTGTGGAGTTTACAATGTATCTTCATGGGATGCTTCTTTATTCTGGAAGATGGTCTAATGCCTAAGTGTCTGACCTGTAACCAAGCGCCCCTCTCACAGGAAACTTGTTTATACTGGAAGACACTTTTGTGGCTCTTGTCTGACCTGTGTCCAGTTTATTCCTGCCAAAATTTCACTCTCTGGGACAGCTCTGTCTGGGAAAGAAGTTAAATTTGAAGGTGTCAGGTAAGATAGAAAGAAGACAATTCAACAAACCACATGACTCAAAATTCCAAAATTCGTATATTAAAACCTAACCTTGTTGTCCTCAGTGTGATCATTTTAAGAGATGATTAAGTCATGAGGACATGAGCCTCAAAGATGGGATTAGGACCCTTATAAAAGGACTCAAGGTTGAAGGGAATGCTCCCTTGCCCCTCCACCTTCCACCATGTGATTCACTTTCCGCCATGTGAAGACACTGCAAGATGGCCCTTACTAGATGCCAGTACCTTGATCTTGGACTTTCCAGCCTCCAGGACTGTGAGAAAATAAAATTCTGGTCTTTGTAATTTATCCAGTCTGTGGTGTTTTGTTATAGCAACACAAACAGTCAAAGACAACATCCTAGAGGGCAATGTCTTCCAGCCAGCACCATTCAATTATTCTTTTGGACTGACTACATCTAGGTAATGGGTATATATCATTATCCCATTGCTACGTCTTGTTACTAAATGGGTTTTGTAGTCTTGAGCAATATTAAACATAGCATCCCATGAGTGTTTGAATGGCAATGGTTTTGGAGGCAATGTAGGTGAGAATAGCAAATCCATATCCAAAGTGTATACTAATTCCAGAAAGAATAAATCACTTCCCCTCCAAGGTGGAAGATTTTGATACAGTCAACCTGACACCAACTCGCTGGCTGATCTCCTCAAGTAATGGGGCCATATGGTGAGTTCAGTGTTATCCTCTACTGCTGGCAGGGTGGAACTCAGCAATGCTATTAAGAAGATAATCCTTGTTGACTGTAGTCCTGGTTGTTGAGACCATGCATATTACTTTTCCCTTCATTAGAGGAGGACTACAGTTGATAGCCATTATTACGAGAGATGCCTCAGGAACAAATTAGAGGAAATACAACGATATCTTTTAGTACTTTTATGCATGGTAATGACCATCAGTAGACACTAAAACAATCAATCCAGCAAGGACAGGGTAAATAACTGTATAGACCTTTCTGGAATAGTTGTCTCTGTCACTCAAACAGAAAAACAAACTATACTAAATTCAGAGGATGAGGGGAATCAGGAGCGGCTTGTGATGGAGGGAGATGAATATTAGTTACAGCCATAATGACAACGTAGTGGACACTGTTGTAAATTTCACTAACCGTCTTGCCTTAATCTTCTAGATCACAATTGGCCACTTTTCCTGACCTCCCTATTTGAAGAAAAATTAAAGTATGTTAATTTTCACAGGAAAAAAAATGAGAGGCACCATATTAGAGTATGGCAGCTTGGATCCCTGAATCACCAGCTTGAGAAGAGCTACTCACAAATCATCAGTATCTTCCTACTGTTACATTAGTGAGTTATAAAATTCTACTGTATTTCAGCCTTCATACACTTTCAAGTCTAGTTATTGTAGCAGTCTGGCCTATTCTAATTAATATAAAAAGAAGAAATAATAATTGTAGAAAAAATTAAACAGAGAATATAACAATTTTAATGGTTTCTCCTGAGCTAGACTTACTTGAAATGGTCCTCATTTTTTGTTTTAGTATTACCAGAGATGTAAGACAGAATCTCACGAAAATATTCAAGCTGGTGGATGAGGCCAAATTAGGCAACTAGGTTGTGTGTCTGGAATTCAAACCATATTAAGTACTCCCTGCCCGCCTTTCTCCTATCCTTTAGAGCAGAGCCTGATTCTCACATATTGTCCCATAAGTCTATATCAATCAAATCAATTTTTATTATCCTGAAAGCACCTATGGAAATACTACCTTTTTTGAAGTTAAATACGAGCACTCTGCTCCATGCTGTTTTACTGATATTTAGAACTGTACAAACTTATATTCTTTACATTTGTGGGAAATTATTATATTGTAGATGAGCCTAAAATATTCTGTGAATCAAAACTTACTATAACAAGTTGTAAAGAACAGCTTTAGTGGAAAGTGTGTACATGAAACTAGCAACCAAACACTCAAAGCAAGAAGAATAATAACTAAGTGACCACAAAGGAAATTTTTTTAATCACATGCCTGGCTCTTGCAGGTGGAGAAGGTTGTCTTGCCCAAAGGAAGTGGTTACTAGACCAGAGTGTAACCAAATACGGGATGCTGCTTTAAAAAAAAAAAAAAAAAAAAGATTCACAGAAGTTGTGCTTGAGTTAAACCACTAAGTACTTTCCTTGCCAGCCAATGAGAAGAAGTGAAGCAGCATCATTTGTCTCTGGCTGACTGAGCCAGTAAGTCTGTTACAGAAAAAAAAAAAATCACTTAAAAGAGCAATAAACATAGAAAATATCAAAGCGTCTACTAGTCATGTGTGCAATCCACAGAAAAGAATAGAAGAAGTTTACTGAAGAAAAGTTTGATAAATAAAAGTACCACATTCTTGAACAAGACAATTTGTGTCAATTTTCCAAACAAAATACATAGACTTTGTGATGCTTTAATCTAAATATCAATAAGATAGTTTTGTTAACAAAATGTTTCTAATTTTTTTCAAGAATAATAAATATAAAAATAGCTATTGATAAAAATGAGGGGGTGTTGCTCTAGTAGATGCTTACAAATAATTATAAAGCTAAACAATTAAAACATGTTTCTACTGCCACTAAAAAAAAAAGTCAACTGTGGAACAACATTGACTGCACAGAAGCAGATCCAAATTTATGTTATGATTAACGAGATCGAAATTGTATTTATAGTAGTCTCCCCTTATTCATGGGGGATACACTGCAAGATCCCACAGTAGATGCCTGAAGCCACGGATTGTACCAAACCCTATACGTACTATGTTTTCATACACATACAAACCTATGATAAAGTGTAATTTATAAATTATTCACAGTCATAGATAAACAAAAACTAATAATAAAATAGAACAATTTTAACAATATACGGTAATAAAACTTAAGTAAATGGGGTCCCCTCTCTTTCTCAAAATGTCTTACTGTACTATACACCCCTATTTTCAAACTGTGATTAACCACAGATAACTGAAACTATGGAAAGTGAAACCATGGATAAGGTGGGGCTACCGTATTTTATTTCTAGAAGTTACTAAACTTTTGAGAAAATTTTGGGATGGGACATAAACATATTTCGAAGAAGCTTCCAGTGTTATAGTTTATATTCTTCATTTCTTTGAGGCACAGAAGAACCCATTTCACTCTTTTGGAGTCAATCCAGGTTTGTGGGGTAAAGGACTGTAGCTGATGAGGATTGGAAGTCCGTGAGATATAAGGGGTTAGGAGGCAAGTTTTTGCAATATACTTGAACAACATGGCACCTATGTGGAATGGAAGAGAAAGCAGCGTAGTGGTGAGGAAATTCTGGTGGGTGAAGACATTCTCAGGTGAAATTTTTAGAAGAAAAAGTTATTTTAAGAGAATTTTAAATCATTTTCCTTGGTATTAGAAACACAATTCTAATTCAATGTTTTTCAAGAGATTGCAATAATGGTTTGGAGTGTTTTAAATGGTGCACTGGGAAGTTTACTCTTGCTTGTTAAAGAATGCCACATTAGAACTGCTTTCAAGAACAGAACAAGTTATCCTGAATTTATGTTGGATAAATTTTTAAAAATGTAGTACATAATAAAAGTGGACTTTTTATTCAGTGGAATGAGGGAAATTTACTAAAAATGATGTTGGGTCTATTGGTTATTTAGTAGGAAAATAAAAAGAGCTCATACATACACACATACAGAGATGATATTGAGTTAGATTAAAAGTTTAAATGTAAATCAAGAAGGAACTCAAAATACAGAAAAAGATACATGTTAATATTTATTTTATTAAAAAGTGTTGGAATGATTTAAATAAAACAAAAGAAAGAAACCATATAGAAAAATATTGTTAGACTATATTTTTAAATCATCATAAATACAACCACAACTTAAATGAAAAATCAAGAGTTAATATGTGAAATGTATATCAATTTTTAAGCATTGCGCTATATTAAAAGAAAGTGCTTATAGTGCAGTACGTGAACCTTAAATGAGCAAAATATATTGTATTAGTTTTCTAGCCACTGTCACAGAAAATTAGTACAAATGCAGAAGCTTAGAACAAAACCCATTTATTACATCAGCTTTCTAAGTCAGAAGTCTAGGCAGAGCTCACCTGGGCTTTCTGCTTAGGATGTCACAAGACTCAAGTCACAGAGACATTGTAATTCTCATCTGAGTTTGGGGTCCTCTTCCAAGCTCACTGCCTGTTGGCAGAATTCATTTCCACATATGACTGAGGTCCATAGCAACTATAAATATAGGTGCATCTAATAAAATATCCTCAAAGACATGAATCAAAATTGATATAATATTTAGGTAGAAAGCAATAAATCTACCATTTATGGTATGATATTTTAATATATGTTTCTAGGTTCTTTATAAGTCAAGAAGGCAAAAGTAGGATATAAAAGATCTAAACAACACAATTAGTAAGCTTAACCTAATAGACTCAAATATATTATAAAGTTATTGTCTATGTTCTCATCTATGTGCCAGGTGGTAGATTCACCAGTGCCTATTCACCAGTGCCTATTATATTAATTACATTACATTACATTAAAAAACATTAAAAATAATAAACTGGCTGGGCGCGGTGGCTCACAACTGTAATCCCAGCACTTTGGGAGGCAAGGCAGGTGAATCACCTGAAGTCAGGAGTTTGAGACCAGCCTGGCCAACATGGTGAAACCCTGTCTCTACTAAAAAAATACAAAATTACCAGGGTATGGTGGTATGCACCTTAGTCCCAGCTACTCAGGAGACTGAGGCAGGAGAATCGCTTGAACCTGAGAGGTGGAGGTTGCAGTGAGCTGAGATCGCACCACTGCATTTCAGCCTGGGCTATTAAGCAAGACTCTGTTTCAAAAAAAATTAAAATTAAAATTAAAATTAATGTAATAGGTGCTGGTGAATCTACCAGTTCACATAGATGAGAACATAGACAATAACTTTATAATATATTCAAGTCTATTAGGTCAAGCTTACTAATTGTGTTGTTTAGATCTTTTATATCCTACTTTTGCCTTCTTGACTTATAAAGAACCCAGAAACATATATTAAAATATCATACTATAAATGGTAGATTTATTGCTTTCTACCTAAATAGTATATCAATTTTGATTCATGTCTTTGAGGATATTTTATTAGATGCACCTATATTTATAGTTGCTATGTTTTCCTTTTCTTTTCTTTCTTTTTTTAGACAAAGTCTGGCTCTATCGCCCAGGCTGGAGTGCAGTGGTGCAATCTCGGCTCACTGCAACCTACACCTCCTGGACTCAAGCCATCCTCCCACCTCTGCCTTCCAAGTAGCTGGGATTACAGACACGCGCCACCATGCCCAGCTAATTTTTGTTTTTTGCAGAGACAGGTTTTAGCCATGTTGCCTAGACTGGTCTTGAAATCATAAGCTCAAGCGGTCCACCTGCCTCAGCCTCCCAAAGTGCTGGGATTACAGGTGTGAGCCCCTGTGCCCAGCCTTTGTTTTCCTTGACTAGGTGAATGTTTATCATTATATCAGTCTTTCTGTCCTACGATATCTTTTTCCTTAAAATTTGTTTTTGACATTAATAAATAAACACCATTTCTTAGAATTAGTTTTTGCATAATATGTCCTTTCTATGTTTTACACTTAATCTCTGAAATGACTTTTATGCTTTAGGTATGTGTCTTGTAAACAGTATAACCTGAATTTATGTTTTTGCATTCAATTTGTCAGTCTCTGTCTTCTGGTCACAAGTTTAGTCTATTTGCAGTTACTAAAATTAATGAGATGTGTGGACTTTATATTATAATATTTTTCACTTTAATCTTTCCCATGATTTTACTGACTTTTTTATCCTGTTGTCACATGTCTAGAACCCATTCTAACGTGTATCAGGCCTGGGTATGCTGCCTGGAAGGTGGATGTATTTTGCCTCCTACTTTGGGATGTGTTTTCAGTCTCTGTTAAGGTTTTGGTTGCTCATTTCTGGCATCCCCTTCACACAGGAAATACCCAGATTCAGCCATTTGCAGATTTTGAAACATTGTTCTGGTTCGCTGCATATGGCCTGTCTCTGGACTCAACTCAACATCCCATGTCCTCGCTCAGACTATATAACTCTAGACCCAGCCTGTTAATATGGACTGCTTGTATTTTTTCAGAGAAACCTCTAAAAGAAATTATCAATTTCTTCAAAACATTAACTTGATAGGTTCTTTTTAAATCAAGTAATCTGTTGAAAAAAAAATTATATGGGTGCTCTAAACTATATCCCCTGGATAATCTAACCTGTAAATAGTTTGAACAGTTATCTTTTACAGCCAGAATAACAATACTAGTTAATACCAGAGGACTAATCTATGGGTAGCTCGTTTCAAAATTTACTCTGAGAGCTTAAAAGAAAATATATTTTGTAGGGAAACAAAGCATATTTTTCCAAGATCCAGTCAGTAGTGAAGGCATCTTAATAGTATCCAGGATCCTCACATGTGAAGAAAAGTGAACTAGGTAACAAATGAGAAGACTTACATACGCTTAGTTCTTGCAGGAGGAAAGGAACTATCTGGGTATGGAAAAGGTTACTAGGCAAGATTGTGATTGAAGAGAAAGGATAATGATAAAGGGGCTTTGCAGAAGCTCTGGTTAGAAGAAATAACTAATAGTAATGAATATGTATCTCTCCAACCAATGAGAAGCATATGATGAGGCAGAGTCACTTGTCTCTGGCAGTCCAAGCTACTAAGAAGCACAAATAAAATATATAGTAGCAGGGGGAGATGGGAAGGGTGAGAGAATGTAGGATAAATTACCATTCAAACTGCCGGTAGAAATATAAAATTGTAAGGAATAAATTCCACAAAAAAATACAGTGTTTTAATTACAAAAATTTACCATGCAGCATAAAGACATAAATGATTTAAGAAACATGACATGTTCAGAGATGGGAGTGTAATTTTGGGCTTGTATTTTCAAACAAAATTCATATGACAATGAGAATTCAAACAGTTTAGATTATTAAAATTAAATTTAATGAAGTTGGTAGCTATATTCTGGTTATGTACAAGAATGTATCCTTTTCTTAGGAAATACACACTGAAGTACTTAAGGATAAAGAGTTCTGATGAGTGCAATTTCAGGAAAAAAAATATATAAGTACAAAATACTATTCTTATTGCAAGTTTTCTTTAAGTTTACTTTTTTATTTTTTTTTTTTGAGCAGAATAGTTGTCCAGGTGCAGTGGCTGACTTATTTATTTATTTATTATTTTTTTAATATATATGTTTTATTATACTTTAAGTTCTAGGGTACATGTACACAACGTGCAGGTTTGTTACATATGTATACATGTGCCATGTTGGTGTGCTGCACCCATTAACTCATCATTTACATTAAGTATATCTCCTAATGCTATCCCTCCCTCCTCCCCCCTCCCCACAACAGGCCCCCATGTGTGTGATGTTCCCCTTCCTGTGTCCAAGTGTTCTCATTGTTCTTTTTTACAAACTAAAATGAAAAAATCTACATGAGGCTATAAAAATATTACCTCTATAAAATAAAAACAAAATGGAATGTAAAAAGAGACTGGACACACCATAATGTGAAGATTCTCCTTTTTTGTGTACTCATATATCCAAAAAGGAAACTTTCCATTTTGTAGTTGGGAAGTAGAGCCAAGATGTAGGAGTAGGAGGGGAGTTGAGAACCAACAATTCAGTAAAAATGCTTTCAGTCAATTCCCATCTGTACTCAAAAAAAAAAAAAAATTTTTTTTTTTGAGACAAAGTCTTGCTTTTGTCCCCCAGGCTGGAGTGCAATGGCTTGATCTCAGCTCACTGCAACCTCCGCCTCTTGGGTTCAAGCGATTCTCCTTCCTCAGCCTCCCGAGTAGCTAGGATTACAGGCACCTGCCACCATGCTTGGCTAATTTTTGTATTTTTAGTAGAGACGGGGTTTCACCATGTGGCCAGGCTGGTCTCGAACTCCTGACCTCAGGTGATCTGCCCTCCTCGGCCTCCCAAAGTGCTGGGATTACAGGTGTGAGCCACTGCACCTGGCCTCAAAATTTAAATAATTAGGTAACAAACTATGACACAATTATATACAGTCCTTCAAAACAATGTTTTAGAAAGATATTTAATGACAAAATAGAGTTGTTTACCATATGTTAAATTTAAAAGGAGTTACAAATTAGCACATTCACTGTGATCTAAAACCTCTAAATCTGTTTATGTTTTTATTTATATCTACATTTATAGCTTTGAAGCCCTCCCAATATCAACTGTCACCCAAGGTTCTAAAATACAATAAAAGTGATCTTGTTTTCTTCTGTTCTTGGTTATAATTCTAAGATGGTCTGACAAGTCTATTGTGATTGACTTTAAAAATACAGATGTTAAATGAAATCTGTATGTGGAACTATTGGTCTCAATGATATATGCAACTCTGGAAGTTGGGTACTCAGCTTTATCTAATCTCTCCCTTTGCTCACCTCCACCAGGCTTGCAACGCCCTCTACAGTCCAGGCAACAGGTACATGGTTTTCAATCCCATTTGAACTGCTTCTGGGTCTCCCTATGTTGCCTAGGCTGGTTTCATACTCCTGAGCTCAAGCAATCCTCCCACCTTGGCCTCTCAAATTGCTCAAGCATCTTCTCTGAACCCAGTTGAATAAAACTGGAAATTAATAAGAAGAGAAATTTGGGAAACTATAAAAATACATGGAAATTAAACAATATGCTCCTGAATGACCAGTGGGTCAATGAAGAAATTAAGAGGGAAATTGAAACATTTATTGAAACAAATGACAATGAAAACACAACATACCAAAACCCATGGGATACAGCAAAAGCAGTAATAAGGAGGAAGTTTATAGCTATAAGTGCCTACATCAGAAAAGGAGAAACTTTAAATTAGCAATCTAATGATGCATCTTAAAAACTAGAAAAGCAAGAGGAAACCAAAGCAAAAATTAGTTGAAGAAAAGAAAAAGTAAAGATCAGAGTGGAAATAAATGAAATTGAAAAAAATACAAAAGATCTATGAAACAAAAATTTGCTTTTTTGAAAAGTTAAACAAAATTGACAAACCTTTAGCAAGACAAACTAAGAAAAAAAGAGAGAAGATCCAGATAAATAAAATCATAAATGGAAAAGGAGACATTACAACTGATACTGCAGAAATTCAAAGGATCATTAGTGGCTACTATGAGCAACTATATGCTATAAATTGGAAAACCTAGAAGAAATGGACAAAGTCCTAGACACATGCAACCTACCAAGATTAAAACAGGAAATAACTCAAAACCTAAAAAGATCAATAACAACAAGATCAAAGTCACAATAAACAGTCTACCAGTAAATAAATTCCAGGACCTGATGACTTCACTGCTGAATGCTACCAAACATTCAAAGAAGAACTAATACCAATCCTACTCAAATTATTCCAAAAAATAGAGAAGGAGGGAATACTTCTACAAGTATTTTATGAGGGAATACTTCTAAACTCATTCTATGAGCCCAGTATTACCTTGATACCAAAACCAGACAAAGACACATAAAAAAAACCTGTAGGCCAATATCTCTGATGAATATTGATGCAAAAATCCTCAACAAAATATTAGTAAACTGAATTAAACAATACATCAGAAAGATCACTCATAACAATCAAGTGGGATTTATCGCTGGGATGCAAGGATGGTTCAACATACACAAATTAACGTGATACATCACATCAACACAATGAAGATAAAAATAAAATGTTCATTTTAATTGATGCTGAAAAAAGCATTTGATAAAATTTAACATCATTTCATGTTAAAAATTCTCAAAAACTGGGGATATAAAGAACATACTTCAACATAATAAAAGCCATATATGACAGACCCACAGCTAGTATCATACTGAATGGGGAAAAACTGAAAGTCTTTTTTCTAAGATCTGGAACATGACAAGGATGCCACTGTCACCACTGTTATTCAACATAGTACTGGAAGTCCTAGCTAGAGCAATTAGACAAGAGAAAGATATAAATGGCATCCAAATTTAAAAGGAAGAAGTCAAATTATCCTTGTTTGCAGAGGATATGCTCCTATATTTATAAAAACTTAAAGACTCCACAAGAATACTATTAGAACTGATAAATTCAATAAAGTTCCAGGATAGAAAATCAGCACATAAAATCAGTAGAATTTCTATATGCCAATAGTGAACAATGTGAAAAAGAAATTTAAAAAGTAATTCTATTTAAAATAGCCACACACAAAATGAAATACCTAGGAATTAACTTGACCAATGAAGTGAAAAATCTCTATAATAAAAGAAATTGAGGAATAAGAAATCTCTATAATAAAAGAATTTTTTATAATAAATTCTGTATTCTATTATAATTCTATAATAAAGGAAATTGAGAATAAGAAATCTCTATAATACAAGAAATTTTTTTATAATAAAAAAAGGAAACATGTTCCATGTTCATGGCTTGGAAGAATCAATAGTGTTAAAATGTCCATACTACCCAAAGCAATCTACAGATTCAACACAATCACTATCAAACAACCAATGACATTTCTCACAGAAATGGAAAAAAATCTTAAAATTATATGGAACCACAAGACTCAGAATAGCTAAAGCCATCCTAAGCAAAAAGAATAAAACTAGAAGAATCACATTACTGACTTCAAATTATGCTACAGAGCTATGGTAACCAAAACAGCATGGTACTGGCATAAAAACAGACGTATAGACCAGTGGAATGGACTAGAGAACCCAGAAGCAAATCCACAAGCCTACAGTGCACTCATTTTTGACAAAAGTGCCAAAAACATACACTGGGGAAAAGACAGTCTCTGCAATAAGTGATGCTGGGAAAACTGGATATTCATATGCAGAAGAATAAAACTAGACTCGTTTCTCTCATCATATACAAAAATCAAATCAAAATGGATTAAGGACTTAAATCTAAGACCTCAAACCATGAAACTACTACAAGAAAACATTAGGGAAAATCTCCAGGACATTGGTCTAGGCAAAAATTTCCTGAGTGATACTCTACAAACACAAGCAACCAAAGCACCAATGGAGAAATGGGATTACATCAAGTTAAAAAGCTTCTGAACACAAAGGATACAATCAACAAAGTGAAGAGACAACCCACAGAATGGAAGAAAATATCTCCAAACTACCCATCTGATGAGGGATGAATAACCAGAATATATAAGGATTCAAACAACTCTATAGGAAAAAACTAATAATCCAATCAAAAGTTGGGCAAAAGATTTGAATAGATGTTTCTCAAAATAAGACATACAAATGACAAACAGGCATATGAAAAGGTGCTCAACATCATTGATCATCAGAGAAATGCAAATCAAAACTACAATGAGGTATCATCTCACTCCAGTTAAAAATGGCTGATATCGAAAAGACAGGCAATAGCAAATGCTGGGAAGGATGTGAAATAAAGAACACTTGGACACTATTGGTGGGAACGTAAATTAGTACAACTACTATGGAGAACAATTTGGAGGTTCTTCAAAAAACTAAAAATTGAGCTCTCATATGATCCAGCAATCCCACTGCTGGGTATACACTGAAAAGAAAAAAAAAGTCAGTATATCAAAGTATCCATCAACAGTTGAATGGATAAAGAAAATGTGGTACATATATATAATGGAGTACTATTCAGCCATAAAAAAGAATGAGATCCAGTCATTTGCAACAACAGGCATGGCAGTTCCATAAGTGAAATAAGCTAGGCACAGAAAGACAAATATCGCATGTTCTTAGTTATTTGTAGGATCTAACAATTAAAATGATTGGATTTATGAACATAGAGAGTAGAAGGATGATTACCAGAGGTTGGAAAGGTAGTGGGGGATCAGGGAGGGAGGGATATGGGGATGGTTAATGGGAAAAAATTGGAAAGAATGAACAAGATCTACTATTTGATAGCACAACAGGGTGACTATAGTAAATAGTAACTATACATTTAAAATAACTTCAAGAGTGTAACTGGATTGTTTGCAACTCAATGGATAAATGCTTGAGGGTATGGATGCCCATTCTTCATGATTTACTGATTTCACATTGCATCCTTTTTTTCAAAACATCTCATGTACCTGATACATATATACACTTACTATGTGTCCACAAATATTAGTAATAAACACAATTTAAACAAATTAGAGCCCACACATCCCATATACATACTTCCCATATTAAAGCCCAAACATCTCATATAAACACTTTATTATTTGAAATTCTTGGCCATGGAATATCGTATACTTTCATTTAATTTCTTCACCAACTCTATCCAAAAACAAAAAAAACCCTTCAATCCCCATATGCACAGATCTTTGTTAGTCACATCTGCTCATGGACTCAACAAACAGTAATTGAGTCCACTGACTGCATTTCGGAAATCCACACTCATGATCTTCCTCTGTATGTTAAATAAATCAGAGCCATCGTGAGAGCATGTCATCATGGGGAACACAAGTGCCTGAGTTAGATTGATCAAAAAGATAAAATTTGTTATCATAACAAAGGGCTAACTCACAGAAGCCAAAGAAGATATGTAAAAGGATTGATCTAAGGATAGTACACTGTGTGTTATACAAGAAATCCTCTGTATATTTCTTATCTCTAATTTTCTCTGCCTGTCATCTTCATTATTTTATATATCTCTGCTTTCAGATTCACATAGTACAAAATGGTCCCTGCCAAGATGTTCTCAATTCATCTCTCCTTTGCCCTAGGGCTTCTTTTCCTAGACCAGTCAGTTGCTTACTGTACACCACTAAAGTGTTGCCAGGGGATGAGTTCACATTACAGTACATGAACATAGTTACTCCTGATGTGAGCTTATGGAGGGGATGAGGGAGTGGTGCAGGTGATACACAAAGGATCTGCTGGTCTGCACATCAGACTCAATATTCTCTACTACAAGGAGACAGGATATAAGCCCAGTCCATCTGCTTCGTTCTTTGACAGTACATTTCATTCAAAATAAGTACAAGTGCAAAAATCTGTGGTAGTAAATCTACTGCACTTTTCTTATGTCTGACACTAATAACCCAAGAAAAACTATAATAAAATATTTCTGATTTTGAAATTAGCCTGCCACTGTTTGCATGGAAATTTACTACTGGTAAGCCCTTGTTTCTCTATCCCCTTACTCAGCTTTCTTCATTTGTATCTTCATAGCAAGAATCACCACCTAATACTGCATATCTGTATATTATGTGATTATTTTTTCTTTCCTGCTAGAATTAAAACTCATAAAGGTAGGGACATTTTTACCTTGCTGACTATTTTATCTGGAATAGTACATAGCACTTAGTAGGAGCTAAATAATTATTTGACAAATGAATGGATACATTAATTGATGAATTTTATGTCCAAATCTAGGCTGCTTTTGTTTACATAAACCTCTGTTTTCCACTAGTCACATTCTCTGCCTGCTACATGGAGAGAACCATTATTCAGGATTTCAGTTCTGCTCTAAACACTTGGATCCTTTCGCAATCAGGGATCTTCAATTTCTCCACTTGGTGTTTTGCTCAACAAATGAAAGTGCCTTTGAATATTCACATTTGGTCCTCCAAAACCACATCAGCTTTTAGAACAATGTTTCTAGACAATTTATTAGTAACCCTTCAAAGGTGTGCTCCCCAATTTTTATGAATGTGTAATTATATTTAAACTGAAATGACATAATGTTTCTGTGTCAAATATTGTAGAGAAAGTTGACCATCTTTGCATACGCTATTTGCCATTTGAGTTCTTCTGTGAATTGCCGGTTCACCTACTTTCCAACATTGCTATTAGGTTATTTAACTCTTTCTTATTGATTTGAGTAGTACTTTATTTCTTCCCTTGTTTAATATATGTATTTAAAGTATCTAAATATATTTCATGACTATGTTGTCCAACTTTTGTAATACATATCAACAAATATCTACCTGTTATATCCATTTTTAAGAAATACATAAAATGTAATAACTTGTACTTTTCTCACCCTTCTTTGCTTTTCTAAACAGTATTTATGTATTTCAACTTTTTAAAGTTTAAATATAATATACTTAAGTGTAGGTTGTTTTTGTTTTTTTAATCCTGCTTGGTATTCTCCGAGATTTGTAATCGGTGATTCGTTGTCTGTCATTAATTTTGGCAAGTTCTCACCTGGCTTCTACAACATCAGACTCTTGCGGCTTCCTCAGCACCCAGCTTTTGCAGTGTAGAGCAGCCAGCAACACCCAGCAGCTTCGTCAGGCATGCACACCCCCTTTAGCAGTTTTACAGCAGAGAGTGACCACCACCACCCCACTTCCATGAACCTTACAGGAACAGCTTTCCCAACACCCTAGAGGAAGGATTTCTGACAAGTCCCAGAGGGTGGATTACAGCAAACTACCGCTGGAGCAGCAGTTCAACAACTACCTCTCTGCCATTCAGTGAGCCATGGAAGTGCCTCCCTAACAAGGTCTGACCTCACCCTTGGAAAGAAAACTGGAGAAGGCTCCTTCTTGGGTGCTCTATCTTAACCTAGGTGATGGGTTAATATCGAGTGTCAACTTGATTGAATTGAAAGATGCAAAGTATTGTTCCTGGGTGTGTCTGTGAGGGTGTTGCCAAAGGAGATTAACATTTGAGTCAGTGGACTGGGAGAGGCAAGACCCACCCTCAATCTGGGTGGGCACCATCTAATCAGCTGCCAGCACCACTAGGATAAAAGCAGGCAGAGGACCGTAGAAGGACTAGACTAGCGGTCTTCCACCCTTCATTTTTCTCCCTTGCCAGGGGCTCTGAGACCTTCAACCACAGACTGAAGGCTGCACTGTCAGCTTCCCTACTTTTGAGGTTTTGGGACTCGGACTGGCTTCCTTGCTCCTCAGATTGCAGACGGTCTACTGTGGGACTTCACCTTGTGATCATGTGAGTCAACACGCTTTAATAAACTCCCCTTTATACATACATCTATCATATTAGTTCTATCCCTCTAGATAACCCTGACTAATACACTAGGGAAGTAGCCATTTCGTATTATATTATATTATGCACTATTATATCTGCCACTGCTATATTATTTAGAGTTCTCTTTACTTCTTTCTAGCCAATCTCTTATTACTCAGATCTCTTGTTAAGATTCGTATTTCTTTATATTGATCTTTCTCATTTTACATTACTGTGTGATTTCCTCTCTCTCCTGACTAGACCCATACTTATAAACCCATAAAATTTCATTCAGGCACGAATCTAGAATAAAAATTATTCTCAGACATGCAAAGATTAGAAAAATTTGCTTCCAGAATATCCTTTTTTGGATATTAACAGACGGTGTGTCGTAGCAAAATTAGGTAGTCAAAGCAAGTAAGAGGAAGATATCAGATACCTGAAACATTATCTTCTACCAAAGAAAACAATGAAGAGAATCCCAAGATGACATCTGCTCAGCAGTCCTGGAAATCATTTCTTTTAGATTGAAACTAGAGAACTAAGGGCACCAGGAAGTGGATAAACATGATAAGTATGATCCCATAAATTTTACAGTATTGTTGAGATATTCAAAACATCTGAGGATATGATTAAAAAGTAGACTACATATATGAGGGAAAAGAAATTGCAAATAGAATCTTCATAAAAATTAAAAGATGCCCAACAAAGGAAATATATTCTCAATAATGAGCACATACGTGTTTAAAAAATACCTGGTTACAAACAAACCATAAATACTATCGGGTTTGAAAATATTAAAGATAAATTATAAATGCCAGAAGTTGGGATATGAAATAAAGAAAAAAGTAGAGCAGGAAAGAATAGGGTTAGCAGTAGCTTCATCTACAAGGAGAAAACTCAAGAGATCTTGAATATAACTGACAGAATAATAGAGTACTGTGTTTAAAAATACAGGGATTGGCCGGGCGCGGTGGCTCACGCCTGTAATCCCAGCACTTTGGGAGGCCAAGGCGGGCGGATCACGAGGTCAGGAGATCGAGACCATCCTGGCTAACACGGTGAAACCCCATCTCTACTGAAAATACAAAAAAAAAAATTAGCCGGGCATGGTGGCGGGCGCCTGTAGTCCCAGCTACTCAGGAGGCTGAGGCAGGAGAATGGCGTGAACCCGGGAGGCGGAGCTTGCAGTGAGCCAGTCGCGCCACTGCACTCCAGCCTGGGGGACAGAGCGAGACTCTGTCTCAAAAATAAATAAATAAATAAATAAATAAATAAATAAATAAATAAATAAATAAATAAAAAATGCAGGGATTACCTACAGAGGAACTAAACATAGTAAGATAATAAAATCACAAGAAAGATGTCAGAGACCTAATTTTTGGTGGTTTAAATTATCTGGTTTCATAACAGGAAGTCAATGGATGTCTAAATTAATACCCCCACATACAAAAACATACGCATATTACTGTTAAAGTCATTGAACTGGGGATAATGACAGTGGAGTAAAGGAATGGCATGAAGGGCTCTTGTTTTCATTAAAATACATCTCTATTGTTTAATCTTCAAACTATATACTGATATCCCAATAAATTTAAAATAGTAATTGTAAAGTAAATATCATTCTTACTGAAATATCAAGAATGCTGCAGATGGTGGCGGAATGTTCAATGTGAAAAAGGATAGTGGCTTGCACTAGAATGACAGCAGTGAAGTTTGTTTTAAGCATGTAATTTTATAGTACCAATCTCTTACCTGTGAGAGCATGTAAAAGACTGAGCTCCTCAGTTCTCAAACAAAAGCAGACTTTAACTCCTGCTCCAGCCATGCTTCTTTGCTTCTCAAACATCCAAAACTGCATCTCAGATTGCATCATATTCTGAGCACATGGAAGGAAGAGTACGGGAAATAAGAGTGGCTGTGTTACCACCCTCAAGGAATCCTGACCCCTCAAATCCAGACCTGCCAAGGGGCAAGGAAAAAAGGGAAAGCGGCAGCTACCTTGAATTTCTAAAGTGCAATGTCCCCACCTACTGGTGAACATGACCCAGTTAACATCCCTACAGCTGTCCATGTCCTCCTAAAACAAGAACCTTGAACTTCTTCCAGTAGTATAGAATCCGTGTCCTTTAGCACAGTTCTACACCAAAAGATAAACAAAATATTAATCCAAAATTTTTACAATGCAATGAGGGTGTGGGAATGATAATTTTAAAACATGCCGCACAAGGTTAGTTTTAAAATAACGCCATCGTTAGCATTCCCATTCCCTACTATCTATCTACTCCTCACAGCTTCTGCTCAGATTGTCTTCTCTCCATTGTCTCTTCCATCTCCCTGTACAAACCTCCTCTCTTACACTGCCTTTCCTGCCAACACACTGCTTCCCCATGTGTTAAGTTGGCAGCCTTTTTTCCCTCTCATTGTTTTCTGGCTTCTGATATTTCAGATAAGAAATTTGATTCCAGTCTGGTTCTCGTCCTTTTATGTGTAAACTGTTTATTTCCTTCTTGGAAGCCAATAGATCATTTTTATTACCATTTTATTTTCTGATTGTGTAGTAAAAATTTTCATCCCTCCAGCTACAGAACTATTTGTATATTTTCATGATTCCACTTGATTCCTTTAAATTGCATGAATCTTATCTAGCCAGAGACTAAAGTCTTCCTTTCCTTCAGAAAAAAAAAATCTTCGATTTTTTATTGTATCCTATATTTTTTCTATTTTTCCGGCACACCTATTATACAGCAGTTGGAGATGGCTGTATAGATAGAACTTTCTCAACATATTTTCACAATTTTATGTGTTCCAAGGTAGTTAAAACAGGAATCTGATTTCTTTTGTACTTTCTTTCCCACCCTCCTATTTTTTTTAAGACTCAGAACCACTACTTGAACACTCTAATTGATAACTGCTTAGTTATTTCTCACCTGCCTTAAAGAGTGTTTCTTCATTATGCTCAAGAATGAGAGCAATTTAAAATGAAATCATTTTAACCTGTCTCCTCAGAGACAAGTTCTGTTGGCTTCTTTTTTTCCTATGTATTATGTGTTGGTAAAATTTTCCAGTTTCTTTGCATGTCTTGTAATTTTTGTTTAATATTGATATTTTACATAAATTCTGATTCCACAATCCCTAGGAGTAAGTGCTCTTGCTGTTTGTTGTTTGTGTTAGTGACTTGCTTGGGCTAGTTCTTCCAAGTCTGTTTCCCCCTAGTATGCAGCCTATGGTGTCTCTGCTAAGTTTGTTTAATAATTTTTGTTTTCATTATTAAGCCTGATTTCCTACAATCACCCCTGGTCATCATAGCTTAATGTCAGCCTATGATTGATGAAAGATTCTGCTTAAACAATTGAGTCAGTAAGGCTTCCACACTTTGCCATTGAACTGAGTGGGATGTGGGAAATGCTTTCAAAGTTCCGGGACTTTACAGGTATGTCCCAATTTTTACTTTCTGCCTTCACATGTCCTTATATTCAGCCAGGTCTCTCCTGAGCAGGCTTAACCAAGCTGATGCAGACAGCTTTCCACACCACTGGGGATAAATGAGATTTTAGCAAGGCTATTTTTGACTATCTCATTCTCTGGATCTCCCTGGTAAAATTCCTGACTGGCCTGCCATCATGACTTCAAGCTAGTTGAGATGTTAGCCTTCCATAATTATTTGCCCTGAGGTCTATGCTGTTTTCTACAAAATGCCAAGACGTTATTTTGAGGGTGTGTGTGTGTGTGTGTGTGTGTGTGTGCATGCATGTGCGTGAGCTCTTTTCCAAAAAATGTGTGTGAGCTCCCTCTGGCAGGTTAAGAAGAGCTGTCTAATCCCATGGCCTGTCCTCCCACACAGGTAGAAATTCTGCACCATAAGTTGAGGTGAAGGAAGTTGGTGAAAGCATACTCTGGCCAAAATAATACTGATTTTGCTGTTTTTATTAGGATTCAGTTTAGATTCTCTTAACTAAATGCTTCTCAATGTTCGTATCCTTTGGTCAATTTCCAGAGTCTTTAAATGATTGTTTTTGGCAACGTTGTCCAATGTTCTCACTGCTTTTTAGATTCGTTGAAATGTTTTGATGTCAATATATGTGGTATATTTTTATGTATTTTCTACGTGAATTTGAAAATAAGCTGTATATAGCATTTGGTACATACACACTTAGGATTATATGTCTTTTTGATGTATTGACTCTTTTTCATTATGAAAAATTTATCTCCAGTAATATTCCTTATTTGTAAAGTTTTCTTTGTCTGATATTAATGTAGCCACTCCAGCTTTCTTGCCCAGTGTATATTTTTTCATCCTTATATTTTTAACCTGTGTCTTCATACTTAAAATGCATTTCTTATGGACAGTGTATGGTCAAAAGTCTTGCTTATTTATCCAGTTTAGAAATATGCATTTAATGTAATTACTGAAGTACTGGATTTAAGTCTACCCCCTTGCTGCTTTTTGTTTTTGGTCCATCTGTTCTTTTTCTCTTATTCCTCTTTACTTGCCTTTCTTAGTATATTTTTCTCCCTCCTAATGGTAACTGAGTAGAAAGATGTCAGAACTTAGGTCTTTAAGATTTGTGGAACTTTAAAACAATTTTTATTTTATTTTATTTGAGGCAGAGTCTTGCTCTGTTGCCCAAACTGGAGTGCAGTGGCGCACTATTTGTAGAACTTGAGTGGAAAATCCTAAATAAGAATACCACAGAGGAGAGCCCAAAATTCTGCATTTGAAAGAAATTTGCATGCAGAATAGGGGCCCCTCTTTGAGTTTTCATGTTTTTTGGGGATTTTTCTCCTCAATAGCAACTAATTCTTTCGGCACCAAACTCCAACCTCCGTCTTCTCTTCCTGGTAAGACTGCATCTTTCTGCTTGAGCTTTGTTCTACCATCTACTGCTTTAGACTGAAAAGCACTCTCAGGGGAAACTCACAGTAAACGTTGAACTCACCTAGTTACTTTCCTTTTCTCAATATTTATCTCCTGATGTATTCTGCATGCTTCAAAAGATCTCCAATGATTGCAAATTTTTAAGTCATTTTTATAGATTTCATAATTTTTGTTTCTAGAAAGGCTAGACGTAGACATATGGTTTTTAATATAAGTAAGTAGCTATAGAAATAAATGTATAGATGTTTATGTGTATGTCCACAAATAGGATCTTAGACTTTTGACATTCCCATAGCAATGAGCACACTTAACACACAGATCTTGATCTAGCTTTTTAACCAGACTCTTCTAAAAGAACCCAGAGCTATGACAGATTCTAGAGCTTGAGAAAAAAAATAAAAGATGATCATAGAAAGTAAGGATATTTAAGAATGGTGGATACGGCCAGGCGCGGTGGCTCATGCCTGTAATCCCAGCACTTTGGGAGGCCGAGGCAGGCGGATCACGAGGTCAGGAGATCGACAACATCCTGGCTAACACGGTGAAACCCCGCCTCTACTAAAAAATACAAAAAAAAAAATTGCCGGGCGTGGTAGCGGGCGCCTGTAGTCCCAGCTACTTGGGAGGCTGAGGCAGGACAATGGGGTGAACCCTGAAGGCGGAGCTTGCCGTGAGCCGAGATCGCGCCACTGCACTCCAGCCTGGGCGACAGAAGCGAGATTCCGTCTCAAAAAAAAAAAAAAAAAAAAAAAAAAAAAGAATGATGGATATGTGTCAGGTGTCAGAGATAAGAATATGTTCAAAGAATGGTAGATACATGCTCTTTACACAGATAGGCAAAAAATAACCAGAAGAAAGAATGCATACCACAAATACCTAAATCACAATAAATTCAGTATGATCATATTAATAACAAAAAAAATCTTCATTAAAAATATGTTTTACCAGGAATAAAAATAAAACTTGAGTCATAATGATGGAAAAACCATAAGAAGAACATAACTTTTCTAAATATGTATGCATCTAATAATATGACTTAAAAATAAATGATACAAAAATTGACAGAAATGAAAATATAGATAAATTTGCAATCGTAATTAGAGATTTTTAAATGCTTCTCTCAATAATTGGTAAAAGAAATGAACAAAAAAATCAGGAAAATATATTAAACAGTGGAATAGCACTAATAATTAAATCAACCTAACTGACACTTATAAGACATTAGACTAGAATATGCAATGGCAAAATACATATTATTTCAGGTGTACATGAAATATCCATCAAGATGAACAACATACTGGATCATAAATTTAGTCTCAAGAAATTCAACAGTATGCAAACTGGGTAGGGTATGTTCTCTGACCAAAAAAGATAAAAATAAAAATACCTCAACTAAATTAGAAAGCAGCACCAAACTGATAACCTGGAAATCCCCTAAATATACAGAAATTAATCAACATACTACCAAATAAGCCATAGGTCTAAGAGGAAATTACAAAGAAAATTAGAGAATATTTTAAGTGAATGATCATGAAGTTCATTATATCAAAATGTATGAGATAAAGCTGAAAGAGTGCTTGAAGGGAAATTAGTTTCTTTAAATGTATACATCAGAACTGAAGAGAAGTTTAAAATCAATGGTGTGAGCTTCTACCTTAAGAAGGTAGAAAAAGGAAAGCAAACTAAATCTAAAGAAGATAGAAGGTAGAAAGAAGGAATTAAAAAGCAAAGATGTGGAACCAACCCAAATGCCCATCAGTGATAGACTGGATAAAGAAAATGTGGCACATATTCACCATGGAATACTATGCAGCCATAAAAAAGAATGAGTTCATGTCCTTTGCAGGGACATGGACGAAGCTGGAAACCATCATCCTCAGCAAACTAACACAGGAACAGAAAATCAAACACCGCATGTTCTCACTCATAAGTGGGAGTTGAACAATGAGAGTACATATCCAAGTCTCACATGTCTCAACAATGAGAACACACAAGGAGGGGAACATCACAAACCGGGGCCAGTTGGGGAGTGGAGGGAAAGAGAAGGGTGAGCATTGGACAAATACCTAATGCATGCAGGTCTTAAAACCCAGATGATGGATTGACAGGTGCAGCAAACCACCATAGCGCATGTATACCTATGTAACAAACCTGCATGTTGAGCACATGTATCCCAGAACTTAAAGTAAAATAAATAAAAAAAAGAAATGATTAAATGTGGCAAAGACAAATAAAAGAAAGAAGGAATTAATAAAAATGAAACCAGACAACAATGAAACAGAAAACCAGCAAACAGAAAAATTAACAAAGCTGGGCTGGGTGTGGTGGCTCACACCTGTAATCCCAGCACTTTGGGAGGATGAAGAGGGACGATCATTTGAAGCAATTCTCCTGCTTCAGCCTTCCCAAGTAGCTGGGATTATAGGCATGCGCCACCATGCCCGGCTAATTTTGTATTTTTAGTAGAGACGGGGTTTCTCCATGTTGGTCAGGCTGGTCTCGAACTCCCGACCTCAGGTGATCTGCCCACCTTGGCCTCCCAAAGTGCTGGGATTACAGGGATGAGCCACCATGCCGGGCCTAAAATGAAATTTTAATTGGCAAGAAGGCAGATGGTGAGAATTGTTGATCCAATAATAACATGAAGTCCATGAAAGCCTGTGGCTACAAAGAATGTTGAGCCATAGATTCCATCAGAGATAATAAAGCGGCCTCGAAATATTCTGAGACTTGTAGAAGAATGAAATAGACTCCTAAGAGGATCGTGGTAAGTACTGCTTGAATTATTTGTTTTTGGTTACCTTCTATTAGGCTGTGATGGGCTCAAGTAATTGAAACTCCTGATGCAAGTAATACAGACGTATTTAGGAGAGATACTTCTAAAGGGTTCAGGGGAAGAATACCTGTTGGGGGTCAATGTCCTCCTAATTCTGGGGTCGGTGCTAAACTGGAGTGATAGAATGCCCAGAAAAAAACCAGTGAAGAAGAATACTTCTGAGGTAATAAATAGGAGCATCCCGTATCGGAGGTCTTTTAGGACAATTGTTGTGTGGTGGCCTTGGAATATACTTTCTCGGACAATATCACGTCATCACTGATGTATAGTCAGTGTGTTGGTTAGTAGGCCTAAAGTTAAAAGAGTGGTAGAATTAAAGTGAAATCATATGGCCAGGCCAGATGTTATTAGGAGAGCCGAGAGAGCTCCTGTTAGTGGTCAAGGGCTAGGTACAGCTATATGGTAGGCAAGTGTTTGGTGGGTCATTATGTATTATCATGCAAATAAAGACTTACTAATAGTGTGAAGACATAAGCTTGAATAAGAGCAACAGCAAACTCGAGAATAGTTAGTAGAATTAGAATAATAAGAGATACTGAAGTTGCGGAGACACTAATAATTGATAATATTAGCACTGCACTGCGACTGTGGTCGGCGATTATCCCACTTCCAGGGCCAATCAGGCTAACAAATTATTTCAAACCTATTACAACTCCCTACAATGCTTCAAGCCCCAAGGCCCCGGCATTGGAGGGCCTATAACTAAACACACCCCCCTTTTACAATAAGCCTCACTTTGCTTTTCAGCTTCTGAAGGAAATTTCCCTGTAGGATCCTTCACACCTAACCAATGCAACTGCACTATCATTATTAAACACCCCTCTAACCATCAGACTAACCAAGCTGATTACCAAGTTATCACCTGAAGCAAATGGAACGTTTCTGCATCTGGCTTGTTTTACAGCCTATCCCTTAACCAATGCCTCTGAACTAACTTGTGCTGTCCCTGGTTCCTACCTTTTTCCATGGCTCAATATCAATGATGCAACATCCGATCACATTAAACGTGTAAAAAACAACTCTTGCTATATCTCTACTATAGTGGATGTCTCCCTGGCCTCCTCCTTGTCCATCTGGAGTAAGGAACTGCAGGAAAGAAACAACATCCAATCTTTAACACACTTATTCTCTTTCCATATCTCTGCCTGTATTTACGATGAAGGCTTGTTCTTTTTGTGTGGCACCAACACATATCTTTGTCTCCCCACCAACCGGACCGGAACCTGTTCTCTAGTTTATCTTTCTCCTTCCATTGGACTAGCTCCTCCTAATCAACCTTTGTCTATCCCATCCATCCAATATGTTAGGAAAAGGAGAGCCATCCACATCATTCCTTAATGGCTGCCTTGGGTATAACCTCTGGACTTAGAGAGGGAGCAGGTGGATTAGCCACATACTTTAAGGTTCTTTCAACAGAACTACAGGGATCTCTAGAAGATATAGCCTGAAGCCTTGTAAGAGTCCAAGACCAACTAGACTCCTTAGCTGGTGCAGTCCTCCAGAACAGACAGAGACTAGATCTTATAATGGTTGAAAGAGAGGGCATCTGCCTCTAACTGGGTGAGGAAAGTTGTTTCTATCTCAACCAGTCGGGCGTAGTAAGAGATGCTGCCGAAAAACTTAAAGAAAGGGCTGAAAAGCTAAGGGAATACCAACACAACCAAATAGATTCTTAGTTTGGGAACAAAATCATAGCATGAGTCACCCCATTCCTGGGCCCTCTCCTAATGATATGCCTAGGACTAACTTTCTTACCCTGCCTAATTAATCTTTTCCAAAGATTTTTAACCAACAGGATCATGGCCATTTCACAGACAACTACCCAAAAACATCTACAGACGGCATTACTCCTACAGTCAATCTGAGACCAGAAAACTCTCCACACCCCCCTCAGCAGGAATTAGCCAGAAAGAACACACCATCCTCATCCTTTTATAACTATAGGATCTGGATTGACAGAGCAGGAGCATCGCCATTTTGGACATGCACCACCATTTTAAAGTTCCCCTTGATCAAAAGCCACCTAAATCCAACCCAAAGGGCATCAGCCTAATGGCTAATGGCAGCATGACCTTAAACCACAAATGATACCTCTGCCCAGAAACATTCCAACCCTGAGATAAACCCCTCTCCAACCAGAGACATACCAGCCCCAAGATAACCTCCCCTCTGACCGGAGAGATGCCAACCCCAAGATAACCTCCCCTCCAACCAGAGACATTCCAACCCCACAATAAACTTCTTCTCCACACAGAAACATTCAAGCCTTTCGCCCCAAACCCTTAAATACTCTTAGTCTGTAAGAGAGAGGGCTCCTGACTGAAATCAGCCAGAAGCCCTCTCAGGTTTATTCTCCAAAATAAACCTGTCTTTGACTGTTGAGCCACTTTTTGTGTTTCTTTCCTCTTTCTTTAACTCTTTTTTTTTTTTTATGCATTTATGTTTTATATACACTTTATACATATAGCAGCCTGAAGGTAATTTTTTTTTTTTCAGGTTGTTTTTTTTTTTTGTTTTTTTTTTGTTTTTTTTTTTTTAATTATACTCTAAGTTTTAGGGTACATGTGCACATTGTGCAGGTTAGTTACATATGTATACATGTGCCATGCTGGTGCGCTGCACCCACTAATGTGTCATCTAGCATTAGGTATATCTCCCAATGCTATCCCTCCCCCCTCCCCCGACCCCACCACAGTCCCCAGAGTGTGATATTCCCCTTCCTGTGTCCATGTGATCTCATTGTTCAATTCCCACCTATGAGTGAGAATACGCGGTGTTTGGTTTTTTGTTCTTGCGATAGTTTACTGAGAATGATGGTTTCCAATTTCATCCATGTCCCTACAAAGGATATGAACTCATCACTTTTTATGGCTGCATAACACTGTGTGTATCACTATTTGGATTAACATAAATGAGAAAGGAGAGATAGAGACCGTGAACTAGGTAAATGGATGTGCATCATTTGGTGGTAGTAAAAACACAATCTAAATTTACTCCGTGCTCAAGCTCATAAATTATGATTATTGACAACATTACAATTTAGGCTGTTTTTATTTTGTGGAACTTTGTAGATTAACTAAGATTTCATTAATATAGTATTTTATATTTACATGCAATGTAATCCTTTAGTAACCACAAAGTAGGTTGTTGAGAGGACCCATGATGTAATACATATAAAACACTTAGACCTATTTTATGGCATACATAGGCCTCAAATAATGTTATCTAAGGGTATGACTTATATAATCTGTACTTGGGACTCCAGTTTCAATGCCCAAACTCTGGGAACCAAGTGTGGCTTACACTGAACATCATTTTTGCTTAAACTTGTTAGTCTTATACATCTTTACACCAATTCTAAGCATTAAGCTTTTTCTTTATTTTCTTTCTTTCTTTTCCTTCTTTATTTCTCTCTCTCTCTCTTTCTTTCTTTCTCTCTCTCTCTTTCTTTCTTTCTCTTTCTTTCTTCCTTCCTTCCTTCCTTCCTTCCTTCCTTCCTTCCTTCCTTCCTTCTCTCCTTAATTGTGGGAAAATATAAATAAACTAAAACTCATCATTTTCACCTTTTTAAGTGTACAGTTCAGTGGCATTAAATATATTCACACTATTGTACACAATAACCACCACAGATCTCCAGAACTTTTCCTCATCCCAAACTGGAACTCTGTAACCATAAACAACTCCTTATTCCTTCCTCCTCCCAGCCACTAGTGACCACCATTCTACTTTCTGTCTCTGTTTGATCACTCAAGGTGGTCTCATAAGGTAGAATCATACAATATCTGCCTTTTTTGTGACTGGCTTATTTCACTTCACATAATGTCTTTACATTTCATCTGAGTTATAGCATATTTTCAGAATTTCCTTCCTTTTTAAGACTGAATAATATTCCATTGTATGTTTATACCACATTTTGCTTTTCCAGGCATCCATTGATGGAGATTTGTTTGTTTGTTTGTTTCACCTTTTGGCTACCATTAACGTTTGTGCTATGAACATGGGTATACTAATGTATGTTCAAGTCTCTCCTTTCAGTTTTTTTGGGTATATGGCCAGAAGTGGAATCATGGCATCATATGGTAATTGTATGTTTAAAGTTTTTGAGTTATGACTCTACCTTTTTCCACAACAGCTGCATCATTTTACATTCCCGCCAGCAAGGCACAAGGGTTCCAATTTCTCCACATCCACAGCAACACTTATATTCTCTTTTTTCCTTTTGAATAATAGCCATCCTAACGTGTGTATGCACAACTACACATAAAAAAAGTGGTGAATCTCGTAAAAGCAATATTTATCAAAGGAAAGAAACAAATCCAATACATTATTTTATTTATATAAAATTTAAGACCATACACACATTTTTAAAAAGTAAATAATTAGCACAAAATCAGAGTAATGTTTTCCTCCAAGGGAAAGATGGTAGGTAGAAGGTGCACACACAGGGCTTCTGGGAAGCTGGATAAGCTTTTTAGTCTGTGTCATTAATTATTTATTAAACTCTATATACATGTTTATGCAACTCTGTGCTTAAGTTATGTGTCAGTCTAAAAGAAACGCTACTATTAAATCCTCAATTATGAAAATCTTACTCTTCAATCATGAGCTGAAGAATAGCAATACAAGTTGTTGATTGCTCTTCTGGATAGAAATCCAGGATAAGAAATACAAATTGAATTTACTCTGAGAAATTTATCTTTCAAGACATATGAGGTATTTAAATTTAAGAGAGGTGAAGATCCTTTTTACTAATATAAATTTAAGATCCAATTCCCTTCAAAGATGTGGACTTTAGGGAAAAAATTAATTGTTGTTAAGAATTATGGTGATTCTGCTCCATAGCAACTTCATTAAAGGACCTAGTCTAAGTTCAAGATTAAAAGGTTATATGAGGCATATGTGTATGAGCAGGATAGAGAAAAATAGCAAAAATATCTTCTTTTGAACCATGGGACTCTTTGTGAAGAAGTTTTATGGTGGCAAAGCCTCAACAAGAACATCACCAGTGATGTTTTGTGGCAAGTTATATATATCAAAGTTAGTAAAGATTGGAAATTGAATGTGGTAGGCCTCTTGTGTATGACACAAAGCAAGACAATGAGGAAGAAGTAGGTATTTCATGGAAAAACAAAATACCCTGAGAAGAAAATAAAGAGAGAGGGGAAGTGAATCATTGGTATAGTGAGTTACAGAAAGTGGCAAAATAGAGAATTAAAAATAATAAATAAGGCTTTTGTATCCTGCAGCTCAGAAGGATATGTTTGGTCCAGATTTCACCCCTGCAGATAAGCATTGAAAAAGGCATGAATGTGAAAGTGTGGTTTTGAGTAGCTTAATCAAAATTGTTTTCTCTTGAATTTTACATTGACTAAAACAAATCTGGATCTAAGCAAATTGTTTTATATTGTGTTGTGAAATTGTCAAAGATAAAAACTCGTACACTTGTATAGAGCCCTTATCATGAATGGAGCTTGCAGGACTGGAAGTTGCTCTGGGTGAATCAGCGAGTGAGTGGTGAGTGAATGAAGGTCTAGGCCTTTATTGTACACCATTAAGTATTTCGTAAACACTGTACACAGCCTACACTAAATTACAGAAAAAAAGTCTTTCTTCAATGATGAATTAACCTTAGTTTAGTGTACCCTTTTTACTTTATAAACTTTCTGAATTATTATAAACTTTTTGACTCATGTAATAACACTTAGCTTAAAACACAAACACACTTAGAGTTATACAAATGTATTTTCTTTCTCTATATCTTTATTGTTTAAACTTTTTTCTAAACCTTTTACTTTTTATACTTTTTTTTTTCTAAACAGTTAAGGTTCAAACACACACGTTAGCTCAGGCCTACACAGGGTCAGGATCATCAATATCATTGTCTTGCACTTTCCCATTTTGTCCCATTGGAAGGCCTTTAGGGGCAATAACACAAACACACATGGAGCTGTCACTTCCTATGATAACGATGTTTTCTTCAGGAATACCTCCTTAGGGATCTACCTGAGGCTGTTTTATGGTTAATTTTCTTTTTATAAGGAAGAGTACACTCTAAAATAACAATAAAATGCACTTAGCTGGTGCAGTCCTCCGAAACAAAGACTAGATCTTATAATGGTTGAAAAAAGAGGGCGTCTATATAGTGTATAGTATAGTATATACATATACCAGTACCGTAGTCATTTGTTGTCATTATTGAGTATTGTGTACTGTACATAATTGTATTGCTATACTTTTATGTGACTGGCAGCACAGGAGATTTGTTTGCGCCAGCATCACCACAAACTTGTGAGTAATGCATTATGCTACAATGTTACAATGGCTATTATATAGGGATAGGAAATTTTCAGCTCCATTATAATCTCGTGATGACCAACTTATATATGTTCCTTCCTTGACTGAACTGTCGTTATGTGGTGCATGATTGTATTACACTGTGAGCTCTGGGTCCCATTAAAATTCTAGGAGAAGGTTGAATTTTTTGTTTTAGCAAGAACTAATCTCATCAAGTTTAGAATGCAAGCTGTATCTCGCTTTCTGTGCGCCGTAGTTCTAACGTCATTATAGTTTTCAAAGACTTTGCCATGCTGTTCGTGCCTGCCCTGTGCCTGGGCCTCTCAGCCACTAGTCTGGCACTAGGACTGTGATATTTGTATCATAGTTCAGCTCCTAATGGCTTTGATATGCTGGTGTGAAACTGTCCCCCTCGTGCGGCTTGGGGAGCCCAAGACCCTGAGAGTTATGATGGTTCATGTATAGAATTAGGGATCCCTTTCTCTCACTCTCTCCTCTGAGATTTTTCCCACACTCTCCAGGTCCCATAGGTCCCTCTTACCGGTTCCTCTGGCCAGAAAGGTTGGTTTCTCTCAAAGTATTGTCATGTGATTCTGCACAACTGGGGCTTCCCTTGAGGCAAAGTGGGAAGAGAAAATTGAGCAAAAATATAAAGGGAAATACCCCATATTCCTTAGGCCACAGGGTTCCTTTTCCCTAGTTCTTTTGGGATGTTTCTTTCAGAGTTTTTGATGGTTCCACCACAGCAGCCTTAGTACAGCTTCCTGATTCTGACCACACTCAGGGAAGAACTAGAAGTGAAAAAAGAAGTAAAGTTCCAAAAAAGGAATATTGCTCCACACACTCTCTGGAGACCCCCTTTGCAATCTGTACAGAAAGAGGAGGTGTCTCTTGGAGTTTCTTCTCTCTGCTCTCACTGCACACTACATGTCTGGAGTTACCTTCAAGTCAAAGCCAGGAGACAAAAGAGGAAAAACCCTAGGAACTCACTCCCTTACTATTATTTCTCCAAGTTCTGACTTCCCTCCCTAATATTCATGCTATTTTGTACTTTTCAAGGTCCACAGATAGCTGCCTTTTATATTCTGCCTGATGTTTCCCATTATAATTAGTGTAAGATACAGACTATAGTGGGCTTATTCCAACTTGGCCGTCACAGAAAGATCCTCTTCAGCTTTGTTGCTGAAGGATGTTTTTCTGATTTTAGAATTCTAGGTTTGTGTTAGGTGTAGAAGTTTTCTTAGCGTATTTTAAGGTTTCATTCCATTTTCCTCCAGATTCCAAAGTTTCTATTGAAAGTCAGCCTTAACCTTTTTTGTTCTTTTTTTCCAAAGACAAGACACTTTCGTCTCTGGCTGATTTAAACATTTTCTCTTTATCTTTGGTTTTGAGCAATTTATTATTTTTTTTTACATATGGTTTTATTTCACTAGTCTATGATTGAGGTTGATAAGTTTCTTGTATCTGTGTTTTGACATCGTTAATCAGTTTTGGAAAATTTTCTGCCATTATCTTTTTGTTTTCTCTGCTGCACTCTTTATCCTTTATTTTTATGTACAATTGTAAGTATATTTGACCATTAGATAATGCCTACATGTCTCTGATGCTGATATCTTTCTTCTTCATTTTATCTTGTGCTATGCTTCAGAGTAGATGCTTTCTATTAAACTGTCTTCAAGTTAACTACTACTGCATTTGCCTGTGACCAGTCTGCTGTTAAATTCACCCATTAAGTTTTAATTTTAGATGATGTACTCTTATTTCTTTTATTTAGATTCCGTATCTAAAAGATTCCACATTCATATTCTTTTTTAGATTGTAAATCTTTTTCTTTACTATATATTCCTTGATATTTATGACTATATGGTTAAATAGAGTTAATTTAAAGCTCTTTTGTGCTAAGTGATTAAGTCTAGAAAGAGCTTTGTGTCTCCCAAAAAATTGTTGGTGAGGCTGTTGGCATTCAGAGTATCATGGGATCAAATATATAAAAAGCTCACAACGTTTTTTATTCAGCTGTATTGGTAAAACTGCCACCAGTCTGGACTGAAAGAGACTGAGGTTGTTTAAAATGTAAAAGGGCAATGGATCTGCAACTCTCTATGTAAAAGAAACAGGCTGAGAAAGTTGTTCAAAGTGCCGATCATCCTATGTGC
The DNA here is from genome assembly GCF_000001405.40 of Homo sapiens. Lineage (NCBI taxonomy): Eukaryota > Metazoa > Chordata > Mammalia > Primates > Hominidae > Homo > Homo sapiens. Next base: position 32,714,828 of record NC_000006.12, read on the forward strand.
TCTTTAAAGGTGGCCAAGGAGGGAAACAGAAAAGGAAGTACTTTTCAAAGGGAAGAGCACAGAATTCTGAGGACAGGTAGACTAATGAGAAACTCCCAAGGAAAGGAGTCAGGGGCTAACCAAGGAATATTGTCCACCCCTAGAGGGGATGTGCAAGGCAGCATTTGTTCAGTGGAATTTCAGAATTGCCAGGGATCAGTGACTGTTCAGTCCCCCATTCTTTCCGTTTTTGAATGGGCATGTTTACTATCATTATCCTGACCCAGTTTCAGCACTGTGTATTGAGTGCTGATGGAAAGACAACTTTGTTTCTATTGTTGTGGCTTGTATGTCTTAGAATTAACGAAAGAGGAGGCCGGGCGCAGTGGCTCAGGCCTGTAATTCCAGCACTTTGGGAGGCTGAGGCAGGTGGATCATGAGGTCAGGAGATGGAGACCATCCTGGCTAACACGGTGAAACCGTGTGTCTCTACTAAAAATACAAAAAATAAGCCAGGTATGGTGGCACGCGCCTGTAGTCCCAGCTATTCAGGAGGCTGAGGCAGGAGAATCACTTGAACCCAGAAGGCAGAGGTTGTGGTGAGCCGAGGTGGCGCCACTGCACTCAGTCGACAGAGTGAGACTCCATCTCAAAACAAACAAAAAAAAAAAAAAAGAAAGAAAAAGAAAGAAAGAAAGAAAGAAAAAGAAAGAAAGAGAAAGAAAGAGGAAAGAAACACACGAAAAGGTGGCTCACCAGTCACGGCACACTTATTTTAGAGAAAACAAACCTGAGAGGCGCCTTCTGGCCGAGTTAGGTCAGAGGCACGCTCTCTTATAGACTAAGTTTTTTAAGGATTCAGAGTGGGAGAGTTTATCCAAGGCTTGGACTGCTTCTGTGTCTCTTTGTTGTGCTTATCTAGGAGGGAGAGTTGTGTGTCTGTTCCCATACATCTTTTTTGCAGCTGCAGGCATATCCCCAGAGTCTGCTTTTAGCTTCCCTATCTTAGTGCACCTGAAGGGAAAGGAATGTGCTTATTAAGGCCCACTGTTTTAGGGCCCATTGTATGGGGGTGAAGTTTGGCAGTTACCCAGGGGACCTTCCCCCAACCTTTCTCTGTGCCCAAACTCTCTTATCTGTGTTTTACTGTCTGCTCTTTCTGGCTATTTGTAGTTAGAAGAGAAGTGATTTCCTTGAAATGCATGAGGCTAGAAAGGGAGCTGGAATTTAAAGTGGCGGTGTTTGTCCGAGATGACAGGGCTCCAGCTCTATCAGTATGTTTCTGGATTAAGGAGAACTGCATTCTGACCTGCATCCTGATTGTGAGATTTTGAACTTGATGGCTGATGCCATGATTGCATGAGACTTCTGGTGATCCCAGATTAGGGGTAAGCATATTTTTCATATTGGAAGAATATGAAAAATTGTAGCAATAAAAGTGGACTCTAATAGATTATGATGATGATCCTAATTCATCATCCCTCCCTATATCCACGCCCTTTGCAATCTAACTTTACTATGCTCTCCCATTATGGATGGGTGACTTGAATTGCCTCTCAACATTAGGCCTAACCATGTGTTCCTCTACAGCCAAGGAGTTATTAGCAAATGTCACACACTCTGGGCCTTGAAATTGGCGTATGTATTGGAGCTAACATTTTGCTTGCTTCTGCATTGCCATAAGGACATTTCTAGGCAAGTCCACCGGCCCTAAGAAGAGGATGAGAGGCATGTGAAGAAGAGTCCACCTTGGATACATAGGTGAGCTTGGCCAAGGTTAGCAGTGCCACCTAGCTGACCCAGACATATAAGCATATTGTTATCTGCCACTGGTGATTTGTGTTGTTTGTAATGCAGCATTGTTGTGACAACAGATGACTAATACACTAACTAATGTACCTTTTAAAATGTTGTCTATGATCTGTTCCTGCACCACTAAAATATACGTCCCATGAGGACAGGAATAATTTTTTCTGCCTTATTTCTGTTGTATCTTTAGTACCTCCAACACTTTCTGGCACAAAGCAGTTTTCTCAAATATATATATACACACATATGTATATATGTATATATATATTTAAACAGAGTCTCATTCTGCTGCCCAGGCTGGAGTGCAGTGGTGCAATCTCATTTCACTGCAACCTCTGCCTCCCAGGTTCAAGTGATTCTCCTGCCTCAGCCTCCCAAGTAGCTGGGATTACAAGCATGCACCACAACACCTGGCTAATTTTTGTATTTTTAGTAGAGACAGGGTTTCACCATGTTGGCCAGGCTGGTCTCGAACTCCTGACCTCAGGTGATCTGCCTGCCTCAGCCTCCCAAAGTGCTGGGATTACAGGTGTGAGCCACCACGCCCAGCCAAAAATATTTTTAGTGAATAATGAATTTCAAATTTTAAAAACCTTCTTATGAAAAGACCTCTTGGAGAGTTTAATGTACATACATATTCCAGAGTTTGGACAATTCAGTAGATTGGTACCTGGGGTATGCTGAAGAATGCTGAAGTCCAAGAGTCAACTTAGCTACATGTTTTTGAAACAGAAAAAATTCCCTTGTTCCCCTTGCAGGGAGTGCGATGTGGCTCTCTTCTCCAGTGCCCGCTGCTCAGACCTCCAGGGGAGCATACAGATGGTCAGGCTGTGAGGCTCTGATCCCACAGCAGTGTCTGGGGGTGAATGTTTACAGCTCCTGAAGCCCCAGTGGGTGTGTTCCTCTGCTGATGTGCTCTCTCTCAACGTCCAGCAGCTTCTGTCCCTGCCTTGCTAGGGTCTCAGGTTTTTATAGGCAGAGGATGGGGCATGGCAGGCCAGAGTGGTCTTGGGAAATGCAACATTTGGACAGGGAATGCCTGTTCTCACCTAGGTCCGTGGGGATGGAGCCCTAGCCAGGGACCATACCCTCCTCTACCCAGCACTTCTGCTCCCTGCTTCCCTATCATTTAAAGGGACCACACTCTTGCCTTCCTAGCACTCACGTACCATTTTCAAGCAGAGAAAAGAACAAGTAGCTACACTAGGATTTGCCTGACTTCCAGAAGGAAAGAGATTCATCTTTCCTTGGCAATCGACGTAGACCAAAAGTAAGGGAAAGGTCTGGGGTCTGCTTGTCTTAGTATCTCAAGGCAGCCTCCAAGAGAAACAGATCATAGAAGAAAGAGGCTGCTAGTATTCCAGAGTGCCTAGTGACTGAGAATTCCATGAGAATGGAGATGCAGTAGCCCTCACCGGGCTCTGAACTAGGGGAGTGTGGATTCTCAAAGAATTCATGAAAATGTTCACAATGGAGTCTTCTTATGCATCTGTTTTCCCTAGAGCATTCAATTCAAGCTCATGAAATATCAGGCAAGTAAAAACTGTCCTCTTCTGCTCTCCATGCCTCAACTCGCAGGGGTCTGAAACTATATCAGGTAGAAGAAATAGAAGCACAAGCTGTAGAAACAAAAGAAGCTAATTTTGCACCTTCACTGTTTGTGAGCTTCTCATCTGCAACACTCTTGAATAGGCAAGAGTGTGAGGCCTCCGTTTTGAATAAAATATAGAAATTTGACTATTGAATGGGACTAATTGAATACCTTTCTTTTTTTACTTAAACATTATCAGAGAGGTTATGAAGCCTTCCTGAATGCTCATTCAAGGTAAGGAATTGGCTAACCCCAAAGAACACATTGAAAAGAAAAAATGATGATAGGATTAAATTAAATATGTTTTATTACATTGCATCAGTTTAGATGTTCAATATATTCTTTTTTAATAAAGAAAAGTTTATTTGGCTAATGATTTTCAGGTTGTACAAGAAGCATGGCACCAGCATCTGCATCTGATGAGGACCTCAGGGTGCTTCCACTTGTGGCGGAAGAAGGGGAGCCAGCATGTGCAGATACCACACGGCGAGAGATGAAGGAAGAGAAAGAGGAGGAAGGTTCCAGGCTCTTTTTAACAATCAGACCTCACAGGAACTAATAGTGTGAGAAGATGTTTAACATATTCTAATAAGATATTCCTAATAAACTGCCATGAGATAACTGCTGTATTAGTCTGTTGTCACGCTTCTAATAAAGACATATCCAATACTGGGTAAATTATAAAGGAAAGAGGTTTAATGGACGCATAGTTCCACATGGCTGGGGAGGCCTCACAATCATGGTGGGAGGCAAAGGAGAAGCAAAAGTATATCTTACATGACAGCAGGCAAGAGAGAGCTTGTTCAGGGGAACTCCCATTTACAAAACCATCAGATCTTGTGAGACTATTACAAGAACAGCATGGGAAAGTCCCACTCCCCTGATTCAATTACTTCTGACTGGAACCCTCCCAAGTCACGTGGGAATTATGGGAACTGCAGTTCAAGATGAGATTTGGGTGCGGACACAGCCAAACCATATAAACTGCAGTTTATTTTTTAATTATGACTCATATCATAAAGAAAAAGGGTTGCTCCAATAATCTGTACCCCATTTCATATTCATAAGGAAAAGATTCTTTTATTGGCTAATTGTTCATGTTTAAATAAAAATCTTATGATTTTACAAGGTTTTGCCTTTTACACTTGATGCTGAAATCAAGAAGTCTTTTAAAAAATAATTTTCCTTTAAACTTTGAGTACAGCTTTTCACTAGGATTGCCAACATGATGAAACGAAGATTTCTCTTATTTAAAGAATATATTAAAGTGTTTATTATTAATTACTCTTTTAATGTAAAGATTTTTGTCTGTTATGGTAATTTGACTTGTTTTGGTTTGGTTTCCGTTTGATACTGAGGATGAAGGGAAATTAGAGCAGAATTGCTTATTTACATTATTTCAAACTTCCAACCATGAAAGGAAAAGGTTTGGGATCTTGTTTGTAAAGCCAAGTGTGTGTGTGTGTGTGTGTGTGTGTGTGTGTGTGTGTGTATGTGTGTGTGTGTGTGTGTTTGAAAGGGGCTTATTTACACTGGGTTTTACTTTGGTATGGAGGTAACTCTTATCCAAGTGTGGTTGGTTCGAAGGACAAGTAGGGATGATACGAGGCTGCTTGGCACTAAGGATTAGGTAGAGTTGGGGCTGAGTCATGGTTGTGTGGAAAGCTAGGATCATGGTTGGGGAAGGAAGGAGGCTAAATCTGCTGCACAATTTGAAACTAGGGCATGATAGTGTGGCAAAGAAGAGATAGAGCTTGAAATAGAAGTAGTTACTTATTTAGCATGTGTATTAATTACTATATGATTAGTTCAGTGTCATCTGACTAAAATGGAGATTAATGTACTAATGATTAATTTATATGGGTTTTGTTTATATTATTATATAATATAAGCTATGTAATAATCTAAGTTAGAGAGACAATGTTTTATGAGACAAATAAGGTTGCTGCTATCAAAGAAATCAAATAAATGAAGAAAGATTATCATATAATAATGAGTGCTCTCTGAGGAGAAAAACAAAAGTAATTGGGAGTGATTTGAGGGAACTTCTTTAGGTTGAGTGACTAGAAATGGTTATTCTAGAAATACTCTATTTGAAAAGAGACCTGAATGCTAAGAAAAAGCCAGCTATTCAAAATCCATAGCAAACCACTCCACACGGCAAGAACATAAGTGAAAATTGCTAAGGAAGGAACAAATCTGCATGTTAGAGAAACAGATAGGGAGTTAGTGTACTTAAGTTTATTGAGAGACAAAAAGAATGTTATATTGTGGAATAAGTAAAACCATAGAGAAAAACACATTGTAGAAGAGCTACTTGGATTGCCCTGTGATTTTCTGGAAACTTCCTGGCCACAGCAGACTGAAAGGGACATTGTGGTAATGCTGGCTTCTCTAGACTGAACCAAAGCCTATGTCTTGAAAGATTAAAAAGAGATAATGAGCTTATTACTCATTAAAGAAAGCAAGCCATAAAAATAGCTTAAAATATGGAATAAGCGACAGGCATGTCAATTATTTCTCCTTGGCACTGGATTAACAAAAATTTGTTGTTGGTGGTGGTGGTATATTAAGTAGAAAAGGTCTATTGGGCCTAAAAATTATTGACATGTACATTATCTATTCTGTAATGATGCCATCCCTCCTAGTTTCCATTGCAGAGGATTGGATCTGGAAATTGTGTTACTAAGAAAAATGCAGGAGAAGGTTTGAGTGTCCCTATTCCCATATGTAGTGGATTGTCACGAAACATACCTCTCAACCTCTTCCGGTGCATTTCTCCTGTACTGCAAAAGATGTGCAACTGAAAAGAACGTTTCCCGGATAGCATTTGATGTCATTTAGATTTAGCCAATCAGAGGCATTCTGGTAAAGTTTGGACATGCTGAGGGGCTTTTTTGACCTGAAAAGGCACCAGTGTAGGGGTGCCTTATTTTCTGTGCCAGAATTAGGAGAGATTTTCATGTCTGATAACTGACTTCATGGATATAAAGAGGCAGCATGCAGGGTGTCTGTTACTGGTGCAGATTTTAGCAGATGATTTTGGGGGCTTACTAAATGGAGGAGCTTCCCGAATACGGCTGTTCTGAGCAGCGTGAGTTCCTGATTGTAGAAGAGGAGGTGGTTTCCTTGGTTGCCCGATTCAGTTCCTTCTATTGTCCTCATGATTCTCTAGGCTATGTTAAGGTCTGTAATAAACTCCTTTCTGCTCAAAATAAACTAAGGTAAATTTTGTTCTCTGTAGCTATTCAATACTCCATGTCTACCACTTGAACAGACAGAATATAAAATCTTTTTGATGGTAACTCAACACCCTCTTCTGTAATAAATAAATAAATTGAGACTTGAACTCCTACTCTAGTTGGCACTATATGTAGGAATATGGATTCTGGGTGTCTGTTTTCAGTGATCATTATTACCTTGATCAGAGAGAGTCCTCAGCATCTTTGCCCTCAAGGCCAAGACATGAAGACCCTCCTCCCAATTGCCCCTGAAATTGATCTTCTTCTTGGGAATTTTTGTTCAGCACACTGAGTCCCAATGGGTAACTGATTGCCTCTTTATTTTTTCATGGAGAACCAGAACAGAATGGAAGACTTGAGCAACATCAAAGAGTTAGCTATATTTGAAATCCATATGAAACTTACATTTTGAGTAATGAATAGGATACCATAGAGAACCCATGTCTTCTTGACATGTTTTCTCTGGTTCATAGAAATTAGATAGTAATTATTTTCTCTTGTTTCTGCTTAAAAAGACCTAAGACAAAGCCTTAGAATAAGAACTTCAATATTGGCAGATCTGGTAGGCTCAAAAACAAAACAAGAACGGCAGCTATAACATCTACTAGCTGTTTATTGTATGTCCCTTCCAATGCAGTAGAGACAGGAAAAGAAGAAGCTATAAAGTTTGAAGAGAATGAAAAGCTATCATTTTTAGCAAATGTTGTAACTATGTACAAAGGAAATACACAAAATAATTTCAAAGGTAGACTATGCAATTGATAAGAGTGTGTAGCGAGATTGTTGATTTGAAGGTCTTGTGTGATAAAGCATTGTATTTCTGTAGAAAATACGATATTGAAGATTTTTTAAATACCATTTTAAATAACATCATTTCATATTCATAAAAGGGAAATGTGGAAAACACAAAAGTTAATACTGAATAATGATGATGGAATTCTGCCTTATGAAAATATTACCACCACTACCACTATATATGTGTTAATGGACAAAAATAGCCAAGAAAATTTTGCAAAGGAAAATCACGAACGAGGAAGAGGGCACCCTAGACATCAAAGTATATTATAAAATAATAATGTGTGATATTGGCACAGGAGTACCAAAACATTCCCAAGAAAGGAGGAAAGATTTCAGAAACAGGTGAATTCCTGAAGCAAAAGTCATCATGTAGTCAACCAGCAAATATTTATTAAGCACCTACTTAATATTTATTTATTAAGCAGTGTTCTAGGTACTTAGAATATTGCTGAACAAAATAGACAAGGTGTCTCTTTTGATTTTATACTCTAAATAAATAGATGAATAAATGATAATGATAGATAATTGTAGATCAATAGATGGACAGAAACCAGAAAAATAAGAGATATGTTTATATTATGATCAATTAAGTGAACAACAAAATGACCAGATACAATAGACAATTTCATTGAATTGATTTATTGGTTCAACTGGCATATTTCATTTCTTCAGTAAACAAGCTGATGCCCATGACATGCCAATAGCTCACAGCTGTTCTTTGGCCTTCCTGTATATTTCTGCTTCCATTAGTTGAGTTTAATGTTTACCAAAAGTTGCTGGCATTTGCTCACAAACCTGTTCATCTCTATTGACTGGTTATTGTAATTATATATTTAAAAAAGTAAATATTTCATTATGAATTAAGTATGAATTTTAAAAGGGAAATTTTAAGTTCTTAAATAAATGCTTTGGAAATAATAAAGATAAGTTGTTTAATAAAATTATTAAATTAGAAATTGGTAAAATAACTTTTAAATGGAGAAAATGGGGTGAAATCTAAAAGGTTTCTAAATTCAGAATTCTTTGTAATGTTTCACTCTAAATTCTCATAAACTTTTTAAAAAACTAAAATTTGATATGATAGAAAGTTTGTTATGGGTGTTGTTTAGGCATTTAAGATAACCTAAAACTCTAAACAACAGACACATTCACCAAGTGAAGCCTTGGTTCTATGTCAACATATTGCCAAACAAATATACATTTGTACATGTATTTACTTAAGTTAAAATAAAATGTTTACCATATTATATATTTAAAAATCATTCTAATTATTCTCAACTGCAACTGACTTTTAAAAATAATTGTTCAACTACCAGGTCTTACAATTAAATATATGGCTTTCACAAATGTGATAACTGATATGAAGAAAATTAATATTTAATAAAGAGTAACTGAGTGGCAACTCCAAATTTGGTCATCAGGAAAATCTTAGGTTATATTTAAGCTGAAACATAAATAACATAAAGAGCTAGAAATAAGATAATGTACGTATAACAATCAGGTAGAGAAATATTCCGGGCAGAAGAAACCACCCTAATGTAGACCAAACCTGAAATGTTAAAAAAAAACAGAAATGAGGTCAGTGGCAGAGATGGCTGGATTTCCACCAAAATTTGTTCACTCCTCCTCCTGCTTAGCAATATTGCTCAGAAATGGCAGTCCAAGTAAGGACTCCACTTTCACGCTTTTTCATCTAGATGGGGTCACATCACTAGTGCTCACCATGAAATGTGACTGAAAGTAAAGTGTGTTGCTGGCACACCAAGGAATTAAGTAATAAGTGTGCCTTCTCCACCCTCTCTCTTTTGCCTTTCATCATTGGAAGCAGAGGGCAGAAAGTCCAGTAAAAGAGCAGAATCACAACATGTGAAGGGCCTGGGTCCCTGAGTCACTATATGGAGAAAAATACCTAGACTATTAGCAATCTGGCAATGGACTGTTATGTGAATAAGAAGAGAATGTCTATTTAGCTAGTACCCTGAAATTTTTATCTTTATTCTGTATAGCAGCTGGTGTTACCCAAACTAATAAAATGAAACAGTTAAAAGGTAGACAGTGAACTCAGTATTATGGGCAAAGAGCAGATCACAGAAGATTTCATTAGCCAGGCAGAAGATTTGATTAGCCAGGTAAGAAATCTAGGTTTAATTCTAGATGCTATAAGAAAACATGTGAGGTGTTTAATCATGATATAGATGTGGTATAGATTAAGTTTTATAAACATTTCTAGCAGTTGTGTGGAAAATGAACTGTAGGAATCAAGAAGGAAGTAGGGTGATGAGGTGGGAGGCTATTTCAACAATTCAGGAGGAAAATGGCAGTATCTTAAAGTCAAGTGGCTACAAAGAAGATGAATAAAATGGACTAAGTTGAGAAGTATTTTATCATTCAATTGATAGAATTCACCAACTGGCTGAATGTGGAATTGAGAATGTGACAAATCAAGGATAATTCCTCCTTCCCCTGATGGCTTTCTGTTATTTCTGTTATTAAATAAAACCAGTGATGTAAACTAAAAAGTGTGGAAGACGCTAAAGGCAAGATACTCCCACACATTTGAAGTTGTAGATAGGTAGGATCTAGTATTTCATAATTGTCCAATCTGATTATTTAAACCTTAAATAGGGGCAGGACTCCAAGAGCTAAGCTGCTATTGACTCCTCACTAGAAAACCTTAATAACAGAGCCTCTTGGGGATCTATACCTGAAAAAGTTCATAACCAAAGAGACTCACATGGACATGACAAATCTCAAATGACATTGATATCTGCCCTAATTTTGCCAACCATATTTTCCTTGATGACTCCCTCCAAAGTAGTCAGTAGTAGCAGACACATGTTGGGGATGGTTTGTGAGGAGTGCCCTATTACATAACTCCAGCTGCTTTTGCATTTGTGTCCTAGTGACTCGTTCTTTCTCCATAAGAGATTACATCCCCATGAAAGAGCAGTGGGCAACAGATTTCACCTAGCCTTTCGAATACCTCATCACATTGGGCAGAAGTGATAGTTGATTGTGGTTTCATTGTGGTTATGTTATTATTTCCACCTGTATTAAAGGTAGATTCGTCTATTATTTCATCATAGTTTGTAGGACCAATGAGAGCCATGTTCAAAGCAGTTAAGGAGAAATTCATATCACCAGAGTTCCTGGAGTTGAAGGTTTTTATAATTTGGAATTTTCTCATTTTAGAATGGGACAAATGAAGCTTCAGTTGTATAAGAACTACACATATTCTACTTAAAGGGTGCATCTTCTGAATTTTTTAATGTGAAAAGGAACAGAGAAACAGAGAGAGAGAGAGAGAGAGACTTCATATATAAAAGCCTTGTATAATAGATTATGATAGTTATTATTTTTATTTCCACTATTATTATTACGTATCCAGCCTTGTTCTTTTTCCACCTTTGTTTAGGAAAAAGAAAATCTGTATTCCTGACACAGAAGTGGGTTCAAATCTAAGGCCTGGCTAATCAGAGTCCCACATCCCATGGCTGAAGTGATTGGTTGAGAAACTGGAATGCCACTCAAGCTAAGCTTTCTTCAAATTATCAAAATGGAGCTGACATGTTTGATCTGTTGCTATTCAGATGATGAGCTGAAAATATGAGATGTCCATCTTCATAGCCATGTAGGAAATGTTTGACTTCCATAGGAAAAAATAAGGGTAATAAATAGGAAAAAAGCTGAACTCAAAGAGACCTACACAGAGAACACAAGCAAGAGACCAAGAAATACATACACACAAAGAGAAACAGACTGAAAGATGCAGGGAAATAAACAACATAAACATAAAACATAGACAAAGAAAAAGACAATGGACGGAAGGAATGACAGGGAAAAAATGGCAGTGAGGCACACAGGCCAGTAGAGAGATGGCAGGGAGGAAAAGAGTTGGACAGAGAGACAACCCAAGAGACAGATAATAAATTATATATGCACACACACACACACACATATATATATACGCACACACATATATATATGTAAGAGAGAGTCACAGAGAGAAAAAGAAACAGCAATTCAGAGAAATGGATATAAGGGAAAATGCAAATCGAAGAAAGACAGAAAACTATCAAATATATTAATGGGGAGGAGGTCTTTCAGACAGAGATAGAAAAGAGATTTGAAGAGAAAGGAAGAGACAAACAGAGAGAAATATAGAGTAGAATGAAACAGAAGTGCACTGAGAGAAGGGAATGAGGGCAGAAGGGGGAGGGAAGGGTCAGAGAGAGAGAGGGAGGGAACTGAAAGAGAAGAGAGAAAAAGGTTTCATTTGTGTCCAGTATCTAAGCATTTTTCAGAAGCTAAATTCACCTAGAAACTTTCTGATTGCATGAACCCCAAAATTAATTTTTCCCCTTAAGATGGTACTAATAGAGTTTCCATTACAAGCAACCAAAATACTACTTTCTAATAAAACCTCCACTGGTAATTATACAATTGGGTAGGTTGGATGGAATCAACAATCATTGTCTTTTGCCCTGAAGAACACATTGTACTCACCAGAAGATATTTGTGGTGCCATTTGGTTAAGTTACGGTATTAGGTACCATGAGTGGTGCAAAACAATTCTACTTACACAAATAAGTGAAACTAATCAGACTATCGCAGAAGTCAGGAAAGACTGCTGCACACAATCCCAACTTCCAAGCCCCACTGATGATGGAAAATTAAATTTATTTCGTATCTCATTTCACTTTCTTATGTAGCATCTGACTTAGACCAAGTATGGCGACTCATGATTTTTGAGTGTCCTTGCCTGGACATTGTCTTCTTTGGGGGTCATAACTGAACTAAAGTTCTAGAATCTGATCCCTTTCTTAGCTCAATGTTTCCCACCAACACCACTACCCTACTCAATCAGAATTAGAAACACAAGTGACTCACAAATCTATTTAATTTTGAAAAACTAATTATTGAATTATAAGAAGTTTGACATTTAGTTCATGATCAGTCTTCAGAAACAGAAGAAGGTAGTAAAAGCTTATGAAAGTATTTATGGTCCAAACAGGGACAGCAGACAGCAGAGAGCAGAGCTCTCATTATCATGGTAGTAAGCAAACATTTAGGAAATTTCTTGCAGGCAGGAATTTAGGAAAGACAAGAACAAGCAACAACCTGGCAGCCACTTCTCAGTCACCGTGGGAGTCATGTCCTGATGGGTGACACAGCTGGCAGAAATGGCTTGCTCACAGGCCTGACAGAAGAGGGGCTGGGAATTACAGACAAAAGTAAAGTCAAGACAAGACAAGAAAGAGGTAACAGATTCCAGAAAGAAAAATGTTTGCAGCCAATGCGTGAGCCCTCTGGGAGACAGAAGAAACAATCACATGATACAACAACCCCTGGAGAAACACAGTCCCTCCCACCCTTGCGGCCTCTCTGCAGTTGTCAGGACACTAAGGCTAAGTTTATGTCAACACCTGCTCCTCGTTACCTTTCCTGGTAACTGAGTAGAGATGGCAACAGGAATGCCTCATTTTATTGTGCTATGTTTTGTTGTGCTTCTCAAATATTGTGGTTTTTTAAAAATTGAAGGGTTGCACCAAGCAAGTCTATCAGCACCATTTCACCAATAGCATGTCCTCACTTTGTGTCTTTGTGTCATATTTTGGTAATTCTTGTAATATTTCACGTTTTCATTACTATTACATGCCGATCTATGATCAGTAATGTTTGATGTTACTGTTGTAATTGTTTTGGGGCACCATGAGCTGAACCCATATAAGACAATGAACTTTATTGTTAGATGTTGTATATGTTTAGACTGCTCCACTGACCAGCCATCCTCCCTCTCTTTCTCCCTCTCCTCAGGCCTCCCTATTCCCTAAGAACACAAGAACATTAAAATTGGCCAATTAGTAACCCTACAATGGCATCTAAGTAAAGTCACTTGTCTCTCACTTTAAATCAAAAGCTAGACATCATTAAGCGTAGTGAAGAAGACATGTCAAAAGCCAAGATGGGCTAAAATCTAGGTCTCTTGCTTTCAACAATTAGTCAAGTTGTGAATGCAAAGGAAAAGGTCTTGAAGGAAAGAAATTAAAAGTGCTACTCAAGTGAACATACAAATGATAAGAAAGTAAAACAGTCTTATTGCTGATGTGGAAAAAGTTTGAGTGATCTGGATAGACCAAACTAGCCACAACATTCCCTTAAGCCAAAGTCTAATCCAGAGAAAGGCCCTCATTCTCTTTAGTTCTATGAAGGCCAAGAGATGTGAGGAAGCTGCAGAAAAAAAGTCTGAATCTAGCAGAGGTTGATTCATGAGGCTTAAGGAAAAAAGCCACCTTCATAATACCAAAGTACAAGATGATGTAGCAAGTGCTGATATAGAAGCTGTAGCAATTTATCCAGAAGATCTAGTTAAGATCACTGATGAAGGTGGCTACATTAAATCATAGATTTTCAATAGAGATGAAACAGCCTTCTATTGGAAGAAGGTGTCTTCTAGGATTTTCAGAGTTAGAGAGAAGTCAATGCTGGCTTCAAAACTTCAAAGATCAGGCTGACTCTCTTGCTAAGGACTAATGCAGCTGGTGGCTTTAGATTGAAGCTAGTGCTAATTTACCATTTCAAAAATACTAGGGCCCTTAAGAATTACACTAAATCTACTCTGCCTGTGCTCTATAAATGAAACAACGAAGCCAGATAAGAGCACAGCTGTTTAAAATATGGTTGGCTGAATATTTTAAGCCTATTGTTGGGACCCATTGCCCAGACAAAAATATTCCTCTCAAAATGCTACTGCTCATTGACAAGGTACCTAGTCATCCAAGAGCTCTGATGGAGATGTACAAGGAGATGAATGTTGTTTTCATGTCTGCTAATGCAACATCCATTCTGCAACTCATGGATCAAGGGGTAATTTTAACTTTCAAGTCTTATTATTTAATACATTATGTAAGGCTATTGCTGTCAGAGACAGTGATTCCTCTGATGGATCTGGGGAAAGCAAATTGAAAGCCTTCTGAAAAGCCTTCACCATTCTAGATGTCATTGGGAACATTCATGATTCATGGGAGAAGGTCGAAATATCAACATTAACAGGAGATTGGGAGAAGCTGATTCCAACCCTCATGAATGACTTTGAGATGTTTAAGACTTCAGTGGAGGAAGGAACTGTAGATGTCATGGAAATAGCAAGAGAACTCAAATTAGAAGTGGAATTGGAAGATGTAACTAAATTGCTGCAATCTTATGATAAAACTTGAATGGATGAGGAACTGTGGCTTATGGATGAGCAAAGAAAGTGGTTTCTTGAGATGGAATCTACCCCTGGTGAAGATGCTGTGAATGTTGTTGAAGTGGCAACAAAGGATTTAGAATATTACATAACTTAGTTGAGAAAGCAGTAGCAGGGTTTGAGAGGATTGACTACAATTTTGAAAGAAGGTCTGCTGTGGGTAAAATGCTATCAAACATCATCACATGCTACAAAAAAATATTTCATGAAAGGAAGAGTCAATCTATGCAGCAAACTTCATTGTTCTTTCATTTTAAGAAATTATCACAGCCACCTCAAACTGCAGCAGCAGCCATCAACATCAAGGAAAGAACCTTCTATCAGCAAAAAGATTATAACTCACTAAAGGCTCAGAGGATTGTTAGTATTTTTAGCCATAAAATATTTTAATTAAGGTATGCACTTTTTTAGACATAATGCCATTTCACACTTAATAGACAACTGTATATTGTAAACATGACTTTTACATGCACTGGGAAACCAAAAGATACGTTTAACTTTCTTGCAGTGCTCTCTGGAACCAAAATCGCAATATATCTGAAGTGCACTTTACTCTGTTAAAGTGAACACAAAACATCAGCTTGAAGGGGCCTGTGGAAGGCAGAAGAGGATGTTGAAATGCTTTGGTGATGCATAGGTCGTGGACTAACTGGAATGGTAACAACTGTAACTGCCTCTCATCTCACCTACCGCCAAGTTCAGCAGCACTCTCTGCAATTTGGGGATATGGGGGCATCATCCAAGCCTCACTGAATGACTGATACCACAGGTTGGATCTTATTCTGAGGAATAATCCCTGAAGTTTAGAGCAGAGACTTTTCAGAATGTTCCAGAATTTTTCCAGAATTTTTTTTCCAGAATATTCCAGAATTTTGTTTCATGCCACATTCATTCAGGAACAGCAAAATAACTGAAGCATGTTCAGGTGTCCAGAAAAACCCACTCAACTCTTTTTTCCACCTTATGTGTGTCATATTTCTGGGCAAGGAGAGCAGGGATCTTATCTGTGACCAGAGCCCTGTCTATTTAAGAATAACCCTCCACCACTCACTTCTGTAATGATGCAGACATGACCCAGGCCAGGGAGCTCTCAGTGTTCCTAATTTCTGTGATCTATTTCCATCCCCACCTTAGCTGCCTTTCCGTTATAGAGTCAGACAGGACGAGTTACAACAAAAAGCCTCGGTCGCAGCACCAGTCTCTCCATCTTCTTCAAAGGTGCCTTACCTTTCTTATTCCAAAAATGGCTGGGCCACAAGGCCCAAACCAAGAGAGATCAGCCCCAGCACAAGACCCCGAAGGCCACTCAGCATCTTCCTCTGGGCAGATTCAGACAGTGTCCCTGGGAAGTGAAAGCCTGTGTGTCAGAGCCTGTCCCCACACCCCACAGTGTCCTCATCTGGAAGCCTGGAGACCTATCCAGGATGTAAGAGACAGAGGTAGTCTGTCACCAAGCAAAGGAGATGACAGGCAGGCAAAGACCCCAAGGGGCAGCATGGATGGATGAGGAGGAGGGGAAAAAGGAGACGACAACTCCTCAAGGATATGTCCTTCTATAACCCCACAGACCATCTCCAAGACATCAGCCCTAAGGTCAAAACCTAGAACTATAACACCTCAGAAGGCGCACCGACAAGGCTGACCTATAGTCTGGGAGTCAGGTGATGCAAAGGGGCCACCATAATAACCTGGGAGAAAAGGAGTTCAGTTCTCAGCAAGTGCATTTTGACTTGAGACAATGGGATCTCAGTCTTCCATGACTACTAGTCCAGAAATTATATGGGGATACTGTTGTGTAGGAGAGAAGATATGAAAATGTATAACAAGCAGAGGTTAGTAGTGATCTCACCCCGACAAGACCCAGACCCCCCGCCACCCTTCCTTTTTTCCATTGAATCTATGATATAAATAAAGTGCTCCTTACGTCATTCTACCGTGATGGGGCTCTGGAGGCTGGGGTGCTCCAGATGGTAGGTGTAGACATCTCCATGCTCGGGTATTATTTCTAGCATTACAAGAATCTGGTAGGTCTAATCCCTATTCTGAATAGGTATGGATACAACTCCAGCAGTCTGCTCCTGTTTTTTCTGGAACCATCTGAGTTTCACTTGGCAAGGAAAGAAATTTGTCACCAAACAGACCAGCAAATTGTGATGGCTGACCTCTGTCTTAGCTGGGGAGATGGTCACTGCAGGCTCCACTAGGAGGAATGACAACAGGAAAAGAAACTTAGAGGGTAAGGCAGCAAAGAAATCCTCATCATGGGCTTACATCCTTCCTTTGATACTAAAGTGGAGAAGATAGCAGATATTAATTAGTCTTCTACTCCAATCCCAGATCTAGGTTTTAATTAGCTAACTTGTTAGCCTACTCTTTAGAAAAGAAATATTTTTATTCAGTGGTCACTTGTTTATTAAACCAGATCATTCATGTGAAAGCTCTTCGTAACATAGACTGATAATATTTCAAATATGCGTAAATACATATATGTGTAGGTATATGTACTTGCCTTCTTATGTCTGGTAAAAATAATAATTAAAAAAGGTCTGACAATGTGTAACTATGTGTGATTTTTTATAAAACAAAGATCTTCATGTTTAAATAAATCTTTAGCTCCATTATTCACAGGTTGTAGGGAAAACTGGCTAGCCATATGCAGAAAACTGAAACTGGACCCCTTCCTTACACCTTATACAAAAAATTTTTGACTTTTCTATTTCTCCTTTCATTTCTATCGGCTTTTGTCTCATGTATTTCGAAGCTCTGTTTTTAGGTGCATACACACTTAAGATTGTTTTGTGTCTTTGGAGAAATAACCCCTTATCATTAAATAATATCCCTCTTTATCCCTGGTAATATTCCTTGTTCTGACATCTACTTTGTCTAGATGACATAATTATCTCATTGTGGTTTTGATTTGCATTTCTCTAATGACCAGTGATGATGAGCTTTTTTTCATATGTTTGTTAGCCACATAAATGTCTTCCTTTTGAGAAGTGTCTGTTCATATATTTTCACCACTTTTTGATGGGGTTGTTTTTTTTCTTGTAAATTTGTTTAAATTCCTTGTAGATTCTGGATATTAACCCTTTGTCAAATGGATAGATTGCAAAATTTTTCTCCCATTCTGTAGGTTGCCTATTCACTCTGATGATAGTTTCTTTTGCTGTGCAGAAGATCTTTAGTCTAATTAGATCCCATTTGTCAATTTTGGCTTCTGTTGCCATTGTTTTTGATGTTGTAATCATGAAGTCTTTGCCCATGCCTATATCCTGACTGGTATTGCCTAGGTTTTCTTCTAGGGTTTTTATGGTTTTAGGTTTTATGTGTAAGTCTTTAATCCATCTTGAGTTAATTTTTGGATGAGGAGGAGGAGAAAAAGGGGCGGCAACTCCTCAGGAGTATGTCTTTCTATAACCCCACAGACTACCTCCAAGACATCAGCCCTAAGGTCAAAGCCCAGAACTTTAACACCTCAGAAGGCACACTGACAAGTCTGACCTGCAGCCTGGGAGTCAGGTGATGCAAAGGGGTCACCATAAAAACCTGGGAGAAAAGGAGGTCAGTTCTCAGTAAGTCCTTTTGACTTAAGAAAGTGGTCCAATTTCAGTTTCTGCATATGGCTAGCCAGTTTTCCCAACACCATTTATTAAATAGGGAATCCTTTCCCCATTGCTTGTTTTTGTCAGGTTTGTCAAAGATCAGATGGTTGTAGATGTGTGGCGTTATTTCTGGGGCCTCTGTTATGTTCCATTGGTCTATATATCTGTTTTGGTGCCAGTACCATGCTGTTTTGGTTATTGCAGCCTTGTAATATAGTTCAAATTCAGATAACGTGATGCCTCCAGATTTGTTATTTTTGCTTAGGATTGTCTTGGCTATACGGGCTCTTTTTTTGGTTCCATGTGAAATTTAAAGAAGTTTTTTCTAATTCTGTGAAGAAAGTCAGTGGTAGCTTGATGAGGATAGCATTGAATCTGTAAATTACTTTGGCCAGTATGGCCATTATCACAATACTGATTCTTCCTATCCATGAGCATGGAATATTTTTCCATTTGTTTGTGTCCTCTCTTATTTCCTTGAGCAGTGGTTTGTAGTTCCCCTTGAAGAGGTCCTTCACATCCCTTGTAAGTTGTATTCCTAGGTATTTTATTCTCTTTCTAGCAATTATGAATGGGAGTTCACTCATGATTTGGTTCTTTGTTTGTCTGTTATTGGTGTATAAGAATGCTTGTGCTTTTTGCACATTGATTTTGTATTCTGAGACTGCTGAAATTGCTTGTCAGCTTAAGGAGATTTTGGGCTGAGATGATGGGGTTTTTTAAATATACAATCTCTTGCCAGTCAGAATGGTGATCATTAAAAAGTCAGGAAACAACAGATGCTGGAGAGGATGTGGAGAAGTAGGAACGCTGTACACTGTTGGTGGGGGTGTAAATTAGTTCAACCATTGTGGAAGACAGTGTGGCGATTCTTCAAGGATATAGTACCAGAAATATCATTTGACCCAGCAATTCCATTTTTGGTTATATACCCAAAGGATTATAAATCATTCTACTATAAAGATACATGCATATGTATGTTTATTGCAGCACTGTTCACAATAGAAAAGACTTGGAACCAACGCAAATGCCCATCAATGATAGACTGGATTAAGAAAATGTGGCACATATACACCATGGAATATTATGCAGCCATAAAGGAGAATGAGTTCATGTCCTTTGCAGGGAAATGAATGAAGCTGGAAACGATCATTCTCAGCAAACTAACACAGGAACAGAAAACCAAACACCACATGTTCTCACTCGTAAGTGGGAGTTGAACAATGAGAACACATGGACACAGGGAGGAGAACATCAAGAAAAAAACACAGAATATTATAACACTGCAACTGTGGTGTGTAAACTACTCTTATTCTAAGTAGTAAGACTACGTGATGAACCAATAAAAAATAATAACTACAACAACTTTTCAAGACATAGTACAATAAGATATAAATAGAAACAACAAAAAGTTAAAAAGTGGGGAGATGAAGTTAAGGCAAGTTTTTATTAATTTTCTTTTGATTTTGTTTGCATGGTATACAGTTTCATTCATTTTACTTTTAATGTAAGTATGACTTTATATTTAAAATGGGTTTCTTGTAGATGGATTATAGTTCAATTGTGCCATTTTTACTGTCTGATCTTCTTTATCACTTAATTGGTGTGTCTAGGCCAATTATACCTATGAAATTATCAACATGGTTGGATTACTTTTGCTAGATATTTTTTGTTAATTCTATTAAACATTTGTTCATTTTCAAAATTGTTTTTCTGCCTTCTTTTGGATTAGTTTTTGCCCTAGGATTTTACATATATGTATAATATACTTTCAAATATACCTTAGCTCAGTATGCTCCAAATTTCTCTCTCTCTCATTCATTGTGCAATTGTTATCATATATTATACTTTTTTATATTCCATAAACACAAAATATATTGCTACTAATTTTGCTGTAGACCCTCTGTTACCTATAAGGTAACCTTGCAAAGACAATTCTGTTTGTTATTTAATATCATCCCCACCAATTCTTTGTCAGTAACAACTCCTATATCAATGAATTAGTTGCTTTAAACAACTCTCTTAAATAAACTACACAATAACAAAAAAATAGTACGGGGAAAATACTGCTGCCTAATAGTCTTCTGTGGGAAAACACGCAAAATTACTCCCATGTGCAGATCTGCTTTCACCATAGCCCCAGGTTGCTCTTCAGCTAAACAGAATAGGTTATTTGATAAAGACTTTGTGCAGAGACTATAGTATGTAATCAATAAATACTTGTTGAGTTGAACTGAAATTCTTAATTCATCTGAATCAGGTTGTAGAACTGACTACTGGGAAACAGATAATATTCCTCACGCCTAATAGCAATTGATTCTTTTCCTAGGAACTCTCCAATCCTAATGTACATATTGTGAACATTCTTTGAATAGATCTTTTCATTTATTTATTTTTAGAGACGGGGTCTTGCTACTGAGACAGCCAGGTGGGAAGGGGTCCCCAGATAAATTCCAGCCAGCCTGAGCACTGGGAGGAGTGCAAACTGGGATGGAGCCACAGAAGTTTGCACCATTTGCGGCAGGGAGGAGACTGACCCCTCTTCTTTGGGTGGAACGTGGAATTCAATCTGTGAGGTGGGAAGCCCACTGGCAGAAAAAAATGCATTCTCTCACTTTGCTAAGAGCCTCTGTTTCCCCTTTTCTTCCTTTTCACCCAATACTCAACCTTCAAGTTGTCCTACTCACCCTTCAAGTTGTCTGTGAACGTAATTTCTCGTGGCTGTGTGGCAAGGACGCTGTCATTAGCTGAACTAAGGAAAAGTCCTGTAACACTATGTTTCCCAGGCTGGCCTCAAACTCCTTGGCTCAAGTGATCTTCCTACCTCAGTCACCTGAATTGCTGGGAGTATAGGCACACACCTCCACAGTCAGCTGTACAGTTATTTTTACTTAGCATTAGTGATTTTAAAATGACAAATAATTTTAAATGGAAACTTTAAAAGCAAGTGTTTATATGAAATTATTCATATGTATTTACCAAAGGTCATCATGTATATGTAAAGCATTTTACCTAGAAATTTTAAGTTGTGATTTTGCCAGAACATTAAAAACAGAAATAATAACACAAGAATAATTCAAATGTTTTAATAACTGACAACTTTAGGGAAAAATGAATCCAGATATGTGTGATGTTTGGGGATTTTGAAAAATACCTCAAACAAAAGAAATATTTTATAAATTATTTACAATGATACAAGTTGAGTAAAAATTATTCTTGCTATAGTATTTCTCTAAAAGTATCCCATTGACTAAAGAAGATTGGCAAGGACAATCTTGCACCTGAGAGATGGTGGAGCTTGAAAGGCTTACAATGGGCACTAAAGAGAGAAGATGGGGGCAGGGGAATGCTTCCACTCTCATTTGTCCTCCTCTCCGCGCCTATGCACTTGAGATAGTCATGCATTCATTATTATCTTTGAGTCGTGGGAATATTGGTGTCCATGGGATTTATGCACCATAAGAAATGTAAAAGGAAGACCTTCACACGGTAGCCATATGATATCACATAGAAACCTGGATCTATACAAAGAAATAAACGCTGGAAATGAAACATTTTTTCACATTTAAAAAATGGTCTAAAATGAGGCTTCTCAACCTCAGAACTGTTGGCATTTTGTTTCAGGTGATTATTTTCTTGTAGGAGGCTGCCATGTGCATTGCAGGATGTGTAACAGCACCCCTGGCCTCTACCCAATACCTGCCAGTAGCACCCTCCCCAGTAATGACAACAAAAGTATCTCCAGACATTGTCAAACATCACTTGCAGGAATTTTCTATTGGCCTCATTTTAGAATGTCTGTCTTACAAAATCATACGAAGATACTAAATCGTTGTTGGAAGTCATTAAGTTTT
Source organism: Homo sapiens (assembly GCF_000001405.40). Classification (NCBI taxonomy): domain Eukaryota; kingdom Metazoa; phylum Chordata; class Mammalia; order Primates; family Hominidae; genus Homo; species Homo sapiens. The sequence continues at coordinate 32,736,952 of NC_000006.12, forward strand.
GGAATAGTTTGTTACATAGAAAAATCTGACAGATACAACAGTCTTCAAAGAAATTCTGTTTCCTAGAAATCTCTTAGTGTTTCTGTGGCTCACAGGCTCCTATATGCCTGGAGTGCCACAGGGAGAAGCTTAAATGAATGAAGAAAAAGTAATAGTCTGTCCCAGCCCAATGTGTGATGTTACTATCATTATCATTATTAATATTTGTCTTTATATAGCAGCTCCCACTTGGGAATAGTTGCTAGGTGCCAGAAACTGGCCTGTATTTAACTGCATAATTTGTACTTATCTATCGTTTCATCATATTAATTATCTTCTAATAGTTTTCATCCCACATTATAGAAAATAACCCTAAGGCTCAGGTATTCTGAGTGGCTTGCCCAGGGTGATGGAGCTGATAAAATCAAAAGCAGCATGGAATACGTTTATTTTATTACAAAATCTATAATATTTTTATTTTGCTATTCTAGACTCTGTTATTGTTGTGAAGCACCTTTAACTACTGCAAGATAGAAGTCTTGGCCTTCAGAGTAAAATTTCATCAATGCATAAAATTAGACCTAAAGTTAGGGTCTTAGAGAATGTTATAACTGCTCCTTAGAACTAACATAATTTCTGCCTAATTTCTTAGAGGGCCCTTAATAATATCAATTGTAATGGCATATCCCATTGATATTTTAGTTACGAAATTAATGGCATGTCAATTAGTGCTTTCTAAGAAAGTTATTAGACAAAGTAGTATTTTGAGCTCCAAATTTTATTCCCACTATTACTTTATGAAAAGGACTTTTTCTTTTTTCTTTTCTTTTTTTTTTTTTTTTTTTTTTTTTTGAGACGGAGTCTCGCCCTGTCGCCAGACTGGAGTGCGTGGAGTGTAGTGGTGCGATCTTGGCTCACTGCAACCTCCGCCTCCCGCGTTCAAGCGATTCTCCTGCCTCAGCCTCCCGAGTAGTAGCTGGGACTACAGGCGCGTGCCACTACACCCAGCTAATTTTTTTTTGTTTTTTGTTTTTTGTTTTGTAGAGATGGGGTTTCACCATGTTGGCCAGGATGGTCTCGATCTCTTGAACTTGTGATTTGCCTGCCTCAGCCTCCCAAAGTACTGAGGACCTTTTCTATTTCTACAAGACAAAAGTAAGAAATTGGTTTCTGTTAAAATGGTATACTGTTCTTCTGAGTCTAATTTACTGATTATTCTATCTTGCATTAAAATTATGACCTGAAAACAGAAGCAAATAGAACAAGGTTCGCTGTATTCTGGCTGGATGAAGCAGGAGGAGGAGAGGGACACAAAACCAGTTAAAGATAGAAAGAGCATCTATTATCTTTTAGTCAATGACCTGGCCTTGCTTGGACTTTCCCTCCATCCCACAGGATGTGAGATCTGAGACTGAACCCACGACTTCCCTTCTAAGATACAATTCTGATCCCACATTTAACACCCTAACTTCCTAATTAGAGTTGAGTTTTTTAAACTGTGATATTAATAGGGGAAATTCTGGAGTGCTATCAGGAAAGATTTAGTTCATTTGCCAAAATCTTAAGGAATTTCTGTCAGATACAAAGCAGGTAAGTCTGGATACAGGGGAAAAAAGATAGAAATGTATTATTTACTACACAGCAAAGAGGATGCTGCACGGTGAAGGGAGCAGAGCTCAACTGCAACCTCAAAAACCCTCTTAGTTCACAATGGCAGTGGCTAGAAAGAGTAAAAAGGCCACGTACAGTGTCATATATCTCTCCTAATCGCACTAGGGCACTTACTCTGAATCCACACAGAAGGAGACACCCCTCACCCCTCATGAGGAATCATGGCTTGCCCCTGTAGCATCCCATCTCTACTACTTACGAGCCATGTGACCCTGGGAAAAGTCCTTTACCTCTCTGAGTTTTAATGTCCTCCTTGAAAAATGTGGATGATACTAAAGTATGACAAGTATTTATAAAGAGTAATTCATTCCAAGTGCAGTATATGTACATTCCTCACAACTGCCTAATGAGGTACCATCAGTGCCTCCGGCCAAAGACCACGAAGAGCATACCCTTGAATGAACAAGTTGGCTTTATTGTTCATTGCAATGATGGAGAAAAGTCACCATGGGGAATCATGCAGCAGTTCAGTAAGAGATTGTTGGAACCAAAGAAGTAGAACTAGGAGAACACATATATTAAGAGAATGACTGAAAGGAATTAATTTGTGCAACTGTGGGGGTGGACTAGGCAAGTCTAAGACCCACTGGGAGGTGGTCATCAGGAAAGGCAGGTTGAAATTCTTAGCACTGGCTGACGTGCTGTCCACAGTGGAATTTCCGTTTCCTCAGAGAAGCCTCAGCTCTGCTCTTAAGACTTTTCAACTGCTTAGACTAAGCTCACCCAATTTATCTCAGATAAATTCTTACTTAAAGTTAACTGATTATGAACTTTAATGACATCTACAAAATATCTTCACAGCAACACCTAGATTATTAGTGTGTGAATAACTGGGGACCACAGTCCAGTCAACACATAAAATTGACCATTAATCAATTGTAAGATTTGTGCTTGTGTTAGGTAATTTTGAGGAGGAGTTAAGAAAGAGGGACTTCATTTTTAACTGGATTCTGACAGAAAGCAGGGAGTGGGGATGGCAATGCTATGATTGGGTAGCTTCATAAATACTACCTAGAGGGACGGAAGACTATCCTGAGGCTACGGCTGTGATTGGTAAAGAAGCAGCAATCACTCTTTCGAGAGATGTGCCTGGTTATTTTTGTAGTTTGGACAATATTCATGTTTTGTCTGGGTGCAGACGTGATGACTGAGTGGCCTTATTTTCTGTCTCAATCCATCGCACTCACAGAGTACCTGTCTGATTCTGATGTTCTATGAAATTGATTATCTTCAACAGGAGAATCAAAACCAGCTGTGCACACCAGGCTAGCTCCTAGCAACCCCAAGGCCTTGTTAATTGCATCCAGGCAGCCCCCAGGTATCAGGACACTTTTTATTTTACCTTTTTTTAGTCTCTGCCATTGGGAGGCAAGACAACATGCTGAGAATCTCAGAAGGCCATTCAACAAGGACAGAGTGATTCTAAATGAAACCTCCATTACTAACTTGTTGTTTCTATAACATACAGAAAATAGATTCATCTGAAAAAAGGTAAGTTTCCCTGTGATTACTACATTTTAGCTCATTCCCTAGTCCCTTGCAATATCTGAAATCTTAATGTGGTTGGATAACAAATATGAAAAGATCCAGTAGTTTAAGAAAAGTAAACCTATTTTCTAAGTTAAAGCAATTCTCCTTATTCTACTCTCAATATTTGACTTGACATTCTTAAATTAAAAAAAAAAAATTACTGGCCGGGCGCGGTGGCTCACATCTGTAATCTCAGGACTTTGGGAGGCTGAGGCAGGCAGATCACGAGGTCAGGAGATCGAGACCATCCTGGCTCACACGGTGAAACCCCATCTCTACTAAAAATACAAAAAATTAGCTGGGCGCGGTGGCGGGCGCCTGTAGTCCCAGCTACTCGGGAGGCTGGGGCAGGAGAATGGCGTGAACCCAGGAGGCAGAGCTTGCAGTGAGCCGAGATAGCACCACTGCAGTCCGGCCTGGGCCAAAGAGTGAGACTCCGTCTTAAAATAAATAAATAAATAAAATAAAATAAAATAAATTATTAGAGTAATTGAGCCAGCCAAAGCTTTTTTAATGTAATCAATGTCCCTAAATTTCCTTTAAATATATTCAAGCAGCTCCGAAACACAGAGCATAAAGATTACTAGAAGCAAAACAAAAAACTGTGTAAAAGATCGGTTACTGTAGGCAGCACCGCATGACAGTCTAACCCCTTTAATTGCCCTGGTCAAAAACACCTGGAGCTTTTGAGAACTTACCCAACTGGATTTATACAAGTAGAAAAGGCAAAGGTATTGCTTGGCTACCACCAGCAGAGATCCCTAGGAAGGTGGGGTCAAGTCAAAATTTGGGGAATACCATATACACTATGGAAGCAAAAAGAAAAATAGCTAACCCACATACAGAAGCCAGAGAAAGGGGAGGGAATGGGGACTGCCAGGGAGGAAAATCACTTCAGGGAAGAATTCCTGGAGAATGTAACCCAGAAAACCCTGAAGGATGCCATATTATTGATGACCTTACCTATCCAAGCGGCTGCTCAGAAATTCCCGCCCCTCTTGACACTAGCAGACATGCACACATGACAGAAGATTCAGATTTAGTATCTTCCCTTTATTTATAGAAAATTTCCTCAAGACCATGCTGTGTGGAGGATGTGTCAGAACCAGAGGATGTCCCTGTCTTCTTCCAGGGCTCTTAATATAAACTCTGCAACTGGCAAACAATATGTCACCATAGGGGATTTTTCTGATTGGCCAAAACCTGACCTGGCAGGGTTTGGTTTGGGTGTCTTCAGATTTGCTTGTCTCGAGGTCCTCACAATTGCTCTACAGCTCAGAGCAGCAACTGCTGAGGCTGCCTTGGGAAGAAGATGATCCTAAACAAAGCTCTGCTGCTGGGGGCCCTCGCCCTGACTGCCGTGATGAGCCCCTGTGGAGGTGAAGACATTGTGGGTGAGTACATGAGTGAGGAATGTTCTCTGGAGCTGAAAAACAGTAAATTAAAGGAAAAGAGAGAGTGTAATTTGCTAAGAAATAGTAGAAATTTCCCAAGGGTCTTTTCAATATTAAGAAATTTTAAAATTATGGCAGTTCCTCCTTTAGGAAACCAGAGCTCCAACCGACTCTCTTTGCTACCTGTGCTATTGGAGTTTACCAAGGACGTTGTTCTGTTTATATTATATCCAGAGACTATAGCCTGGAGGTCTGTGTGGCATTCCATCATGATTGCCTCAAAGACTAGGGATGTTTCCATGAATGGAGTATTTTTTTGTTATTAAAAATTTCTGAACTGTTACTCCCAAATTTCTCTGAACAACTTTTGAAGCTTTTCATATGCCTCCTATAGCATATGTTGGGGTAGATAGTTCCATGAAGTATGTACACTCTATAGATATAAAGAAAGAGGTTCTTTTCTTTCTCTCAGACTTACATTTCCACATGGGAATTGGCACAGGTGGGGAGTAGGTGAAAGAGCCCAGCAGGCTGAATGCCTTCAACAATCATTTTACCACGTGGTAAATGTGGTACTTACTCTCTGCTACCTCATATATGTCACCTCGCTTATGATCAAATAAAATGGGCATGTAGATATGCTTTATGAATAGTAAAAACATGAATGTCAACTTTTTTTAACTTATTCCTATTACAGGTATAACTTCGTATTTTTTCTTTAGCAAAGTAAGGAATATATTTTAAAACTGAGAACTTTATGATAAAATGCTTGGTAAATTAAATTATTTTATTCTCAAATTGTCAACCCAAATTACTAGTTCTTCACCTTATCTAATGAAGTCTTATAAAGAGAAAAATGGGCAGGCACAGATAATTATTTGGTCCCTTAGTCCCCTCTGCCTTTGTCGTCCATCTCTTCCCACCTCTCTTCATGCATCCCTTTCTCCCTCTTCCCTTTCAGGATCCATCTCTGACTCCCTGCTCCTTTACAGACATGGGCAGTGGGTTTGTAAAACAAAAGTTGGAAAGTCAAATAGTTAAAAGGGGAAGTGAACTGGAAGCTACTCTAAACTTTCACAACCTTATTAACCATGGCTGCTCCCATTCTGATTTTGTTTGGCAGTGGAAGTTTCACCTGCTTCTCCAGAGCACTTGGCTTTTTTGTTTCAAATTTCCTTTCTTCAACCTCACACCAGAGTGCCCCGGTCAGGCTCGACTTATCCATTAGGAACAGTGTGGGCAGTGAAGGGGACCCTCCAAACTGTAAAGCTACAAGAGAACGTTTTAACTCCTTTTAAAATTAGAAGAAAAATGAAGTTTTACAGTCTATGAAAATGTTTTAACTTTTTTTTTTTTTTTTGACGGAGTCTCGCTCTGTCGCCCAGGCTGGAGTGCAGTGGCACGATCTCGGCTCACTGCAAGCTCCGCCTCCCAGGTTCACGCCATTCTCCTGCCTCAGCCTCCCGAGTAGCTGGGACTACAGGCGCCCGCCACTGTGCACGGCTAATTTTTTGTATTTTTAGTAGAGACGGGGTTTCACCGTGTTAGCCAGGATGGTCTCGATCTCCTGACCTCATGATCCGCCCGTCTCAACCTCCCAAAGTGCTGGGATTACAGGCGTGATCCACCGCGCCCGGCCTTAACTTTTAATGTAGCCTGGATTGTATTTGTCTTTATACCAATACAATCAGAAGCTGTAATTTTCCGTATTTTTATGGAGGAAGGCGCCCACAAAAGCAACAGTGCTCGGGGCTCACAAGTCAGAATTCAGCCCTGGGCATCCCTGATCCTGGGCTTTGCGTGGTTCTGCTACCTGGGTGCCTGTCAGTCTTCCCCAAAATCTATGTAATTGTCAAAAATTGCAATTGTCATTCAATACACATGTTTGAGCACACAATGAGCTAACTTTTGGGAATTCAAAGATAAAAAATCATGCTGTCTGCCTTGCAGAGGGTGCACAAACCAGTGATGGAAACAGTATGGGGCACAGGAAAGCAGAAGGCCCTGCTGAGCAGGACACTGGCCCAGCAGAGGCTGAAACTATAAAAATGACTTGGTTCCAGCTGGGCCAGTAGAGTGATGTCCTCCAGCAACACTTAGCACCCAGGACAAGTACCAGATGAAAAGAAGGATTGCATGTATTCCACATATATTCATGTTTGAACAAGGAGTCAAAGTTTATTGTAAGGATAAGGAGTCTTTGTTGGTGGCCTGTTAAGTAACCAACCAGGGCAGTCATGCTGGGTAGGGAAGAAGGTGAGCTGGAGGAGGAAAAGACAAACTTGGAGAGCCAGACATTGAGATTCCATTGAGGCGTTGGAGGTCACAACGCGGTCAAAAACATGTTGAGAGGACTTAGCTGCAAAGTTGTTAACTAAGTAGAAACCTCAAGGATGAATTTTAGGATTTCTCCAGGAAATCCTAAAAGATAACTTCTTTCAGGGAGAAAAAACAGACCCTTGCAAAGACATGAAAGGAAATGTAGTTTGGTTTGATTGGCAGATAGTTGTGAAGAATGTCGGACTGTAAGGCTGTCGATATCCTCCTCACAGAATTCCCCAAAGTACATTGTATTTGCTCCCTTACCGACCTGATTCTCCCACTATTCAGTTCATTCCTTGATGCTGTTTTAAGCAACCCCTGCTCTGTCTGACACTTTTGGATGCTCAGTAAATGAGGAAGGAAGGAAGGAAAGATAAAATGGTAAAGGGCTCACACATGTCTTAACAAAAATGTCCAGTTCGGCTCATTTGGCTATACTTCATGGCTGCTGCTCTGCCCTGGCATCCTCGGATAAGCTCGCTGCCCATTAGAGGAAAAAGGGTTTAATTTACCTGAGTCCTCGAGTGAATGTAATTGTTGAATCAGAACACTATAGATATTTAGTAACCTCCTTCAGAGGAAAAAAAAAAGTGGGGGCAATGACAGAAATTAAAAAACCAGTTGAGCTTCCACTTTTCATTTCAGAAGAAATCAGGTGCTCTCCTCTAAGGACCACTACTATTAACAAAACAGAGACCTTAGAAGAATTGTTTATTTGTTATAAATGTATAATGTTGCTATTCTTGTAATAGTCTTTCTTGTACCCTATAATTGTTAGAAGAAATTATTTTAAGTTAATACGTTCCTACATGCTTTTCTTTGGTTTAAAAAAAAAAAAAAAGGAAACTCTGTGTAGAAAGTGTCCTGTTCTGATCTAGTCCTGACAGGAAACGAAGTATAATCAACTTGTTATTAACTGAGAGAGAAAACTTAGGAAGCAGAGGGAAATAAACTGAATCTCTGAGTAAGAAAACTAAATCCTATGATAACTCATTCATTCCTTCCTTTGTTTATTGCAATATTCATCATAAGCTTATGATGCGCCAGGCACTAAGTAGGCACTCAGGAAATAACAGACGTGTGACGTTCTGCCTTTGTGGAGCATATGTTATAGTGAGAAAGACAGAATCAGTTCTAACCTGATGACTACCAACGTTAGGCAAGGAGGAAGCAGGTGTTAGGAAGATTGTTCAGGGACTGTGCCAAAGATGAAGCCCATAATATTTGAAAGTGAGTTTCTTCAATCACTTTCTGTATTAAGGTTCTTTCTCCCTGTGTTCCACCCTCCTGCTTGTCACCTTCACTCGTCAGCTGACCATGTTGCCTCCTATGGTGTGAACTTCTACCAGTCTCACGGTCCCTCTGGCCAGTACACCCATGAATTTGATGGAGACGAGGAGTTCTATGTGGACCTGGAGACGAAAGAGACTGTCTGGCAGTTGCCTATGTTTAGCAAATTTATAAGTTTTGACCCGCAGAGTGCACTGAGAAATATGGCTGTGGGAAAACACACCTTGGAATTCATGATGAGACAGTCCAACTCTACCGCTGCCACCAATGGTACGTGTCCACCATTCCGCCTCTCTTTACTGAAACTAATCTTTCATACCAAGTTTTACTCCCTTCTTCTCAAGAGATTTCCAGATCTTCTCATGGTAATTGCTGAAATTTTATCATCTCCCATCTCTAAAATCACATATTCCCATGTAATACAAGGGTCTTTCCATTATGTATTAATTCCTACTTTATTAAACATGCCCACAGAGAGAAGGGCACAGGAATAAAGCAGAGGCAATGTGTCGTTGCTCCCAAGCAGAAGGTAAATAAGACCTCTTTGACTATCAGGTGGTGAAATGCTGGTAGGAGGGCTCTTCCAGGATGTAATGCAGAAGCTCATGGCAGAGCTATTCACACTTCACATCAGTGCTGTTTCCTCACCACAGAGGTTCCTGAGGTCACAGTGTTTTCCAAGTTTCCTGTGACGCTGGGTCAGCCCAACACCCTCATCTGTCTTGTGGACAACATCTTTCCTCCTGTGGTCAACATCACCTGGCTGAGCAATGGGCACTCAGTCACAGAAGGTGTTTCTGAGACCAGCTTCCTCTCCAAGAGTGATCATTCCTTCTTCAAGATCAGTTACCTCACCTTCCTCCCTTCTGCTGATGAGATTTATGACTGCAAGGTGGAGCACTGGGGCCTGGACGAGCCTCTTCTGAAACACTGGGGTAAGGATGAGTTCCACCACTTCATGGGTTTCTAATAATAGACTTCACTCTTCTCCCTAAGCCTGGGGCCTTGAGTCTTGCAGAGCCAGCCCTCCACCCCATCCCATCCCACACACATGCACATGAGCACACTGCACATTCTGACCTCAACAGCTCCACTTTCACAGAGCCTGAGATTCCAGCCCCTATGTCAGAGCTCACAGAGACTTTGGTCTGCGCCCTGGGGTTGTCTGTGGGCCTCATGGGCATTGTGGTGGGCACTGTCTTCATCATCCAAGGCCTGCGTTCAGTTGGTGCTTCCAGACACCAAGGGCTCTTATGAATCCCATCCTGAAAAGGAAGGTAAGATTGAGATTTGTTGGAGCTGAAACCTCAGTATGAGAGGGAGGAAAGTGGGAGGGGGTTGTGGACATGAATGTGGTTGAAAGTTGTAGGCGAATTGGGAAGTGGCATGATGATCACACAGGAGGCCCCTCAGACCCATCGATCTCATGTCTGTCCTGTTGCAGGTGCATCACCATCTACAGGAGAAGAAGAATGGACTTGCTAAATGACCTAGCACTATTCTCTGGCCTGATTTATCATATCCCTTTTCTCCTCCAAATGTTTCTTCTCTCACCTCTTCTCTGGGACTTAAGGTGCTATATTCCCTCAGAGCTCACAAATGCCTTTCAATTCTTTCCCTGACCTCCTTTCCTGAATTTTTTTATTTTCTCAAATGTTACCTACTAAGGGATGCCTGGGTAAGCCACTCAGCTACCTAATTCCTCAATGACCTTTATCTAAAATCTCCATGGAAGCAATAAATTCCCTTTTGATGCCTCTATTGAATTTTTCCCATCTTTCATCTCAGGGCTGACTGAGAGCATAACTTAGAATGGGCGACTCTTATGTTTTAGGCCAATTTCATATCATTCCCCAGATCATATTTCAAGTCCAGTAACACAGGAGCAACCAAGTACAGTGTATCCTGATAATTTGTTGATTTCTTAACTGGTGTTAATATTTCTTTCTTCCTTTTGTTCCTACCCTTGGCCACTGCCAGCCACCCCTCAATTCAGGTACCAACGAACCCTCTGCCCTTGGCTCAGAATGGTTATAGCAGAAATACAAAAAAAAAAAAAAAGTCTGTACTAATTTCAATATGGCTCTTAAAAGGAATGACAGAGAAATAGGATACAAGAATTTTGAATCTCAAAAGTTATCAAAAGTAAAAAATTTTGTTACCAAAAGTCAAACTGCATTCTCAAAACTTTAAATTTGTGAAGAATGACAACAGTAGAAGCTTTCCTCTCCCCTTCTCACCTTGAGGAGATAAAAATTCTCTAGGCAGGAAAAGAAATGGAAGCCAGTTAGAAAAACATTGAAATAAGGCCAGGCACGGTGGCTCACACCTATAATCCCAACACTTTGGGAGGCCAAAGTGGGCAGATCACTTGTGGTCAGGACTTCGAGACCAGCCTGGCCAACGTGGTTACACCCTGTCTCTACTAAAAATACAAAAATTAGCTGGGCATGGTGCTGGGCACCTGTAATCCCAGCTACTCAGGAGGCTGAAGCAGGAAAATCGCTTGAACCTGGGAGGTGGAGGTTGCAATAAGATTGTGCCACTGCACTCCAGCCTGGGCAACAGAATGAAACTCCATCTCAAAAATAAATAAATACATATAAATAAATTTTTTAAAAAAGAAAAATATTAAAATAAGGCAATAATATAAGGGGGTATCTGAAAAGGAACAAATGCTTGTTCCTTACTTAGGGTTAGTGACAATGGAAAACAGATAGAAGTAGAAGCTACAGACCCATTTAGGGGCCCCAGCCCCCTGCTCCTCCCCCTTCCTGGCTAAGGAAAGCATGAGCCTATGAGAGAGAAATCCTAGGAAGAACAAGACAGTTGAGACAATGTAGCAGCAGTAGTGGGTGCTGTGTCCTACACTGGATTCGTGGTCTCCTAATAGAAAATCTCTCAGAGGAAATGGGTCCACAGGGACCTGAGAGCTCTAAACAGCTATGAAATCTGCCAGGATATTTCTGTCCATGCTATCTGCATCAGTGAGTTTAAAATGTAATAGGAGAAAAAAAAGAGACAAAACATTAACATAATAATTGATACAGCATAGTTTTGTACAAAGAAACCTAAATCCAAATACTTGACTCAGTATTTTGAAGCTAGTATTTTAAACTTTACTGGGTAAAGTATCTGATTGACATTTCTGAACCTTATTTTTCTCATCCACAATGTGGGAGTGATAATATTTTCCTTGCAGAGTTATTGACAGAATTTGAATAATCTTGGTATATAGACAGTGCCTTACACGTAGTATATAAATATATAAGAAAACACTGCAGTTATGTTTATAATGGATTTATTAAAAAGAATGGATCATATTATATGAAAAGTACATTTGTTTTCCTTAGCCCTTTAGTGATTTAGGAGATTCAAGCGTAGACGTAAAAGTGAGTTTCTTTTCATATGTTAACTGGAGGATTTTTTTCTTTCTTGAGAGGCTGAGATTGGGTTGCTAAGAGAACTCTTAGGACAAGAAGTTGTAATATTTGACTTCGGTTTTTAACTCTCTAAGGGGTATATTCCCTCCTTATGTCCCATAAATTTTAAGTCAAGGTGAATTATATGCAACAGCAGTTTATCCATATTTACTTTGGGGAGGAGGTGGGGAGACTCCGGGAGAAAATAATTATAAATGCAGACTGGGAATTAGTAAGTGCAGGGAATCTGAACCAGTGGTGATCATGAAAACGTCCATCACAGAACACAGAGGATTTTTAGGGCAATGAAACTACTCTATTTGATACCACAATGGTGAATAAATATCATTATGCGCTTGCCCAAATCCATAGAATGTACAACACCAAGAATGAACCTTAATATAAACTATGGACTTTGGGTGATAATGATGTGTCAGTGTAAGTTCATAAGTTGTAGCAAATGTACCTCTGTCATGAAGGATGTTACTAGTGGGGGAGGCTATGCATGTGTGGGAACAGAGAGCATATGGGATACATCTATCTGTACTCTACAATTTTTCTGGGAACCTAAAACTTCTCTAAAATAAACTCTATTAAAAAAAAAGAAAAGAAAAGGTCAACAATAATGATCCCAAATATATAAAATTAAAACTGTAGTATAAAAATGGTCACATGAAAATGCATGAATGTGCTAAGAACTTTTCTGCAATAGGATTTAAAATAAATTTTATATAAATTTCAATGATTCATGAGCCAAGAACCCAGCATTCTGGAGGTGTGTGCATTTGTGTGTGTGTGTGTGTGTGTGTGTGTGTGTGTGTGTGTGTAAGGCTTACATTGAATGGCATTATAACCAGAGTCATACAGAAATACACAAATGCTCCCCTATTTAGAATCCTTCCCCAAGAAATACTGAGGAAAGCAAATATAATGGTAGTTGGATTTTACTGAAAGAATGTATTCAAAAAGTATTTATATAATGTTAAAATAGCATAGCTAAAATTAGTTTTATAAAATAGAGCAAATATATCTTTTTATCAGCTAAAAGTTCAAAGTGAAATCATCATTATTATATTATTATATTATTATTATAAACAGTTATAAATCAGGCTGCATGATTTTAAATTAAATGATTCTTAAAAATTGTTATCTGAATTATTTCAGATTACATACATAAAGTATGACTTCATTAATAGGTAATATCACATTGTTTAAATTTTACAAAATTTCCAGTCACAATGGTTCATGCCTGTAATCTCAGCACAAGGTGAGGGTCCCTTAAAGCCCAGGAGATGGAGACCAGTCTGTAGTCCCAGCTAGTAGGGAGGCTGAGGCAGGAGGATTGCTGCTTGAGCCCAGGAGTTCGAGGCTGCAGTGAGCTAGGACTGACTGCACCACTGCACTCGCTCCAGCCTGGGCAACACAGCGAGACCCCGTCTCTAAAAATAAATAAATAAATGAATAAATAAATAAAAATTACAAAACGTAAAAATCACGTAAAATATTTCAGGTTTGTACTTACCACATACAAACTAGAGATATGAAGAATTAAACATTACAAATAAAGCACTTCACACACAGTCTGGCCCATAGTAAGCAGTTTATAGAAGTTAACAAATTTGTGTTATTGTTATTTTCTGGAGTCCAAGACAAAATCCCATGATGAATGACACCACAAGGATGTAAGCAACAAAATTCAGAATATGAGAAGTTCTACTAGATTAAATAAAAAGATTTCTCCAGCAAACAATTTGCAAAAAAAGTTAAAAATAGAGAAAAGAAAAGCTATACACTTGAAAAAGACTGAAGAAATATAGTAACCAAACGCTGAGCTTTGTCTAGATTCATATTCAAACAAAACATCTGTTAAAAAATTTATATGAGGCAATCAGAAAAATTGACACTGAGTGTATTAAGGAATTATTTATCTCGTTTTAAATGTGTTAGTGGCATTGCTGTTATGTTTCTAAAAAGCCATTATATTTTAGATTTTCATAATAAAAATGTATAAATGAAATATGATACCTAAAAATATCTTCAAAATAATCCAGTATGTGCCTGTATGATAACTGGGTGGGTTTACAAAATTGCTCATGAATTGATTATTGTTAAAGCAAGGCTGTTGATACATGGAATTCTTCTCTGTACTATTGCACACAGTTGAAATTTTCTGTAATACAAAGGTTTTTTTTTTAAATGTATTCAGGAAAGTCCCATAAACATAGGCAGACAAGCATTCTGTTTGAAGTTATGTTAGTTTTTCAGTTTTTCTCATTTTTATCACATTTAGGAAACCCTGTCCAAGGCCTGCCCAAGACTGTAAGAACCTCTCAGGAATGCAACTATAAAGAATGTGTATGCAGGAACTAATAATAACAAAGGAAAGCAAAGTAATGCTTGCTTTATTATTGGCTGGACTAAGCCCCCAGACTTGTTTATATATTCACTAATTCATCAAAAATGCAAAAATGGTCATTGAGTACCAGTGCTACAATAAGTACTCATAGTTTGTTGAATGTTATTAAAATAATGTGAAAACAATTACATTCATTATCTTCATAGAACTTACACTCCAGTGGGAGGAAAATACATATATTACATAATTCCACAAACATAGTTACAAGGTCTGAAACATTTATAAAGAAAAAGAATGAGGTAAAATGAGAGAGTGTTGCACAGGGACCAGGTATGGTTTGGGGCAGTTTAGAAGTGGCTTGAAGAAATGTATCTTGAGATGAAATAAGGTGGTATACAGTAGGTAAAGGACAAGGTTGAAGAGGCCAGAGCAAATGTTTGAGAAACTCTTACAATATGAAAGAGAAGATGAGAATAAAATAACATGAAAATTATCACAGATTTAATAGAGAAAGTTCATGTAACAGCAAACAAGTTTAAAGTCATTCTAATTAGAATTCTTGATCTGTAAAAGTAATAATAGAATGCTAAAAACAATTGGAAAATTTAATAGAAAGATTGGAAAATTAAATCAAGAAAATCTCACAGTAATTTAAAAGGCAAAAAAAAAATGTAATATATGGTAGAAAAAATAAGATGGAGAACAGACCAAGGAAGTCAAACATCAAGTGACAAAGCTAGAGAGACCAACAGGGAAGATGAAGGGAGAAAATGATCAGAACAAATAATAAGGGAAAATGTTCCAGATATAAAGGATTTAATTCTTCCATGGAATAGTCTTGTCAGGTATTTAGCAAAATTAACAGACTCACTTCTAAATATCTCATTTTCAAAATTTCAGAACTTCAGGTGTTATAGAAAAGTCATAAAATATTCCAGTGGCGGAAACCAAAATGAAACAAACTGACAACAAAAAAAATACTTCTATTATTAAGATAATGAGAAAGTCCTTGAAGTTCTAAAGGAAAATTATTTTTTATTAATAAATGTAGATCTTTTCAAAGTCACAATCAGGCATGGAGAAAGAATAAAAATACCTGTGAATGTGAAAGAACATAAAATTTACCTACCACGCAGAGTTTTACTAGAAATTGACTAAGGATATGACCAATTGAGATTGTTAATCAGGATATAGGAAGGTAAGGAATCCAGGAAACTGGGTCTAACCCAGGATCTCACTGAAAACGGATCCTACTACAGCAGTTTCTTGGCAAGCAAAGAATACCTGACTACATAAGTGATATTTAGAAAGTGATAAACTTTTTTTTTTCAAATTTAGAATTAATCTGTGAGCAAAGCCCAAGGAATCTTATTGCTACAGCAGAATGTCAATATTTTCAGCTTTGACAATATTGGGGGGAAAAAAAAGATGTAGATACTTCATTATGGCAACTGGAAGTGTAAAGGAGAGGGGAAAGGGAGGGTGAAAATGCCAATAACTTCATCTTCCAAGAAGGAGGGGAAGAGGCATTGCCCATACTTACAGAAGTCACAAAGATCAATATATTTAAATTACAATCACAACTGGAAAAAGTATGTAAAATGACTCATGAATTAGAGCAAGGTTTTAGAAATTGGACTATTATTTCAGTTACAAAAAAAATGGACTGTTATTCTTCGGCCTAAGCTATTCAGAAGCTGCAAGAGCCCCTCAGAGTCGGCCCAAATTAGAGCAGGTTGTATACTCCTATACTGACCAATCATTATAGGCGAGTTCCTCCTGGGAAGTGGATCAAAATCCGATGAGGCAGCTTTCATCACCTAAGGCAATTCCGGGGCGTGACTGAAAGCTGAGGGCAGTCAGCCAGCAACATTCCCAGCAATGACAGAATAAATCGTTCAGTCTCAAAGGGAGGAGTTTAGGTACAGTGGAACAGCACTGACGGCAGAAACACTGTTCTAGTTCCTGGGAGTACATATACATTCATGTGGAAGAAAACAAACAGATAAAATTCAGCATCTATTTAAAAATTAAAAATAAAACTACCACATGATCCAGCAGTTCCACTTCTGGGTACATATGCAAAGAAAATGAAATCTGTATCAAAGAGATATCTGCACTCCCGTGTTTATTGCAGCACTATTCACAATGGCCAAGAGATGGAATCAACCTAACTATCCATCAGCAGATGAATGGATAAAAAAAATGTGGTGCATATACACAATGGAATACTATTCAGCCGTATAAAAGAAGGAAATCTTGTCATTTATAGCATGGACGAACCCATTGGACAGTATGCTAAGTGAAATAAGCCAGGCACAGAAAGACAAATACGACATGACCTAACTTATATGCAGAATCTTAAAAAGTCAAAGTCATGGAGGGGGTGGGGTGTGGGGAGAGGGAGAAAAAGGAATGAGATGTTGGTCAAAAGGTATAAGTTTCAGTTAGAGAGGAGGAATAAGTACTGAAGATCAATTGTGCAGCATGGTGACTAGTTAACAATATCATACAGTTGTCCCTTGGCATCCATGAGGGATTGGTTCTAGGACCCTTCCTGGATACCAAAATATAAGAATGCTCAAGTCTCTTATTAAAAATGGCTTAGTTTTTGTACATCACCTAAGTATGTTTTCCCATATACTTTAAATCATCTTTGGATTACTTATAATACTTAACGCAATGTAAATGCTATGTAAGTAGTTGTTATACTGTATTGTCTTTTAAGTTGTATTATTTTTATGTTGTATTGTTGTATTTTATCATTTTTTCCAAATATTTTCAATCCATGGTTGACTGAATCAGAGGAGGCAAAACACACAAATACAGGGCCAGCTGTATTGTATATTTGAAAATTGCTAAGACAGATTTTAAATATTCACACCACATAAAAAAATAAGTATGTGAAGTGATGGATATGTTAATTAGCTTGATTTAATCATTTCATAGTGTATACATATATCGAAATGTCAATTGTACCTTATAAGTACTCAATTATTTGTAAATTAAAAATAATTTAAATTTTTTGAAATGTAACATTCTTAACTTTTTCTTGTTCAAATAAAGTTTTCTGTTCTTTATTTTCAAAAACTTTTTTGTTTAAAAATATCATCTCAATCATCTCAATTTCTATTAACTCAATTGATTCACCCTATTAACTTATGAACTCTCCTCTGAAGTTAAACATTCCATGATTATTGAGAAGGGTAAAGTTAATGTGCAGTAAGATCTTAGCCCACAGTAAAAAACAAATCTCAGTGATGTCACTCAATAAAGAGACTTAATTCCACAGTTTCTCCAGTGACTCAGGTTATATGGAGTTTCCATCGTCTCATCGTGCATCTACTTGCAAGTTCCATTGGCTAGTATTAGTCAAATGATCCCAACCTAACAGCAGAAAAGACTGGGAGATGTAAAGAACCTTATGGCATATTGACGAGCACCATTGTCTCTGAAAGATATGCTGATATTTCCTAAGGTAAGGACAAATGCTCACAACTGGCAGGTTGTTCTCTAGAACACCCACATACTTTCCTCCAAGTTATATGCCGACTAAGACTCAATTCTTCTTGTTAGCAAACTTATTTATAAAAAATGTACTTGTTACTTTAATTATCAATTAAAGATTATACTACCCAATGAAATCTGGGTGCAAAAAATAATTGTTTCTATGAAACTGTCAGTGGAAGAAAGGGAAAAAGACTTTGATCCTCTCATAACCAGGATGTGTTCAGTGTGACAATGTTGAACTGAATGTTCTAGAATCTGTGTTGGACTGCATTAAATACGGTCATAGGCTGCATGCAGCCCGCGGGCTGAGGGTTGGAAAAGCTTGTCTGACTTAATGACAAACCCAGAGACTGACATGTAGACCATCTTCAGGGCTGAGCCCACATCAAAGGGGTCACAGTGTGTAGTAACATCCCTCATAATCGGGAAGAGGGTGTCATCAGGAATGAACAGGTTACGATGTCAATGACAAAGGGAGCTCAGACAAGGAATGAGATGGCTGTGAACAGGTACCCCCACTGAGGGACCCTAGAACCAGAGGAAGCTCTGCCGTTTGACCTGTGTCCTCCACAAGAAACAAACTTCCCCTACACCACTCTACTGTGAGGAGGCTCTGGAGGCTGAGGTGCTCCACATGGCTGGTGTAGACATCTGCACACTGGAAGTCATTTCCAGCATCAGAAGGATCTGGAAAACCCAGTCCTCCTTCCTAATAAGAGGGATGAGCACGCTGGCTGGCAGCATCCTGTGCACAGGATGGTGTGTTTGGGAGGTGTGCATGTTACCCAGGCTTGGACAATCAGAATCTTTCCCCAAATTATTAAAACTCTGGTAGACACTTCAGAAACATATACAACAAAGACAGACACACACACACGCACGTACACACACTCACACGAAGAGAGAGATGAGATAAGGTGTGAGGTGATAAGAGAGATGCAGAAAATAAAGAGATGCAAAAAGAAAAAGAGAAAGAAATGCAGATAAATAGTGACAAAGGATTACAAACATAGAGAAAGGCAACAATGCAGTGAAAGAGACACAAGAAGGGAACAAAGACAAAACTGGAGAGAGACACACAGAAAGAACTACACAGGGACAAAGAGACACACGGAGAGGAGAGGAGGATGCACAGATGAAACTATAACAGAAAGAGAAGAGAGATGAAGATCTCATTGAATATCTGGAACTAGTCACTTCTGAAACCAACATTCCTTGTAACATGAATCAAATATCTTTGGGTTGGGTGTCTATCATTTGGAACCAAAAATAGTACTTTCATTGCTGGTTATGCTTTCTTAAAAATAAAAATTAGTCTTGATTGATGTGACTTGCCAGCCAGAATATATTTGAAACATCAGTCACTATAGTTGTCCCCAAACAATTCCACCATGCTTACTTAGACAACACTCGCCAAACCAGAAGAGAGGCTGGGATGTCCTAAGGCCATTGCACTGAACATCAATATTAAAGAACCATGAATGATGTGATGACTGAATTGATTTTCTACCTCCTCTGCCTACCCTTACTTTGCACCCCAAGATGCTTTCAGTGTCTTTTCAAAGTACAACCCTCTTTCTAGCCACGGTTTGGCTGGGTCACCTCAAGGTATGTTCCTTCACTTGGCAGTGGTTTCCTACCTCTGCTTAGTTAAGGAAGTTCCGAATACAGATAACTCAGAATCAGGTTTAATTATGGGAAAAAGCACTAAAGTCAGGTAAATGATTTTGTTTGTCATGCTTCTCTTGACAGGTCTGTGGGGGGAGAATGGAAACAGAGATGCCCCTTGGGGCCTGAGTAGACACAGCTTGCAGTGCACAGGCAGAGGCTCTGGGTCAGTGCAGGAAGCAGAGTCACCACCAGTGCCTTGGGATGGGGATCACAGAAGGTGACCTGTGGCTGCATGAGCCACTGTAGGACTCTGACCTCAGTGGGACAGGGTGACACAGGCAGCTAGGAATTCTGGGCAGGGGCAGGTGGGCATTACAGAAGAGTGATGACCAATCCCAGACAAAAGTCCTCAGGAGTCAGTGCAGGAGTCCTGGAGAAGAGAGACGAGGCATGATCAGCACAGGGTACCCTGAGGGACACACCCTCTCCCCTAGTCCTCAGTTCCCTCTGTAGCATCAAACAGAGGATGCTGAGGTCCAGGGCATATCATCATCACGTTCCCCAATATCTGTGTAAAGGTAAAATCAGCTCATGAGGACACAGAACTTCAGCTTGATGCAGATATGTGGAGGTGGGGGAACAGCAGTTACCCTTCTGGGTAATATGAAGAGTTTGATTTTTTTAGTAAATTGGGTGACACTTCATCTCCACCACTAGCAGCCTCTTTTAGTCACTGAAAATGCCTACAGGCAGTAGCTAACAAAATGTGGCACAAAGTGGGCATCACCCTACTATCTCACATTCAAGATGTGGCTCTGTCCCCACATTTCACAAAAAGATGCCACCAAAGTTAAGGCCTGGTTCTAGGAAACAATCTCTGGAGATTCGTAGAAACTGGCAAACTTTTCCCCTAAGTCTTAACCCTCATAGCAGCAAACAGGCCATGAACAGAGACCACTGTGCCCTGGAACACTCCGCTCATGCTCTTCTTTTTTTTTTTTGAGACAGACTCTAGCTCTATCGCCCAGACTGGAGTGCAGTGGCGCCATCTTGGCTCACTGCAACCTCTGCCTCCTGGGTTCAAGTGATTCTCTTGCCTCAACCTCCCAAGTAGCCGGGATTACAGATGCACACCACCACGTCCAGCTAATTTTTGTATTTTTAGTAGAGATGCGGTTTCACCATGGCTCTTCCCTCTTATGCCTGTGCCCTCTCCCCTGACTGGATCATGGCTGAAATATTACCTGCTGGTGGAGGCCCTCGAGGTCCTACAAAAGGAAGTTATACAGAGAAAGGTCTTGTTAAACAAACAACCACTATCTTACCCCAAAGGAAAATGACACATGTAGTTTAATTGGGGTTATATCCTCTTCCCTCCCATGTTCTTTAAGTCCTTAAGCACCCTAAGTTAAAATCCCCCAAAACAAAGGAAATTGTCACTAGAAGACAAGGAGGCCGAGGCTCTGACCCTCATAATGGAGGAAGCTTTTAGAAAGGAGCCAGTGAGACGATGATGAACGGTAAGGACGCCCTGGAATAAGCTCTATCAGTCAGCTCTGGCAGCGCTACCATTCACCCAGTAAAATCAGATTCCAATGCCTCCTCCAATCTTGTCCTGTCTCCTCGCACTTCCTCTCAGGGTAAGGAGGAAAGAGCTACATCTAGAGACAGAACCTCTCTGAATAGAGGGTCTGGGTCACAGCTCATCTTCCCCATTTCCCCCTTGGGTTCCTCACCTTTCTGACCCCTGTGACGGATGATAAGGCCCAGCCCGAGGAAGATCAGCCCCAGCACGAAGCCTCCAATGCCACTCAGCATCTTGCTCTGGGCAGATTCAGACTGAGCCCCTAAGGAGCAGAACTGAGTGTGAGTGTTTGTCCCCACACCCCATAATGTCCTTGGTACAGGAGGTGGAGATGTCAGGGGACACTAGTTCTCCAGTCTGACCACCCTAGGGAAGAGAAAGACCAGCCAGTAGGTCTTTGGACACAATAGGTGGGTGAGGGAGAGGAAGAAGCACACCCCTGCCCCTCAGGACTTCATCCATAACCTTAAACCCTAAGGCCCCAGTCACCAGCCCTAAGTCAGTCTCTCATAGCTGTCAGAGCTGGTTCTGGGGCTTTAGTAGTGTTGATATGGTTTGATTCTGTGGCCCCACCCAAATTTCATGTTCAATTGTAATTAACAATGTTGGAGGTAGAGCCTGGTGGGAGGTGACTGGATCATTAGACCAGATTCTTGTCACCATCTCCCTTAGTACTGTCATTACAATAGTGAGTTCTCATGAGATCTGGTTATGTAAAACTGCGTAGCACCAACCCCCTCTCTCTCATGCTCCTGCCCCTGCCCTGTGAGACACCTCACTCCCTCTTTTCCTTCTGCCATGATTAGGAGCTTCCATATGTCTCCCCATAAGCAGAAGCCACTATGCTTCCCCTACAGCCTCAGAATCATAAGCCAATTAAACCTCTTCTCTTTATAAATTACCCATTCTCAGGTATTTCTTTATAGTGGAGTGAGAAGAGCCAATTAAACCTCTTTTCTTTATAAATTACTCAGTCTCAGAGATTTCTTTGTAGCAGTACAAGAATGGACTAACACAAATGTGGAAAGTGATCTCCCTGGTATCTGGAAAGACAAAGAGATCAGGATTCATCTGATGTGCTTGCCATGGGGCAACAGGTGCTCTAGTCTCCTGTGATTCCCAGCTCAGTAGTGATGTCAGGGACAAGAGATGGGATGGGAAGGATCAGCGGGAGCTCTGCCCTTTGTCTTGTGGGGCCCACAGTAAAAGGAAACCAGTTTCCCCTTACGCCACTCCACGGTGATGGGGCTCTGGAGGCTGGGGTGCTCCACTTGGCAGGTGTAGATGTCTCCACGCTGGGGAGTTATTTCCAGCATCACCAGAATCTGGAAGGTCCAGTCACCATTCCTAATGAGGGAGGTGGACACAACACCGGCTGTCTCCTCCTGGTCATTCCGAAACCACCGGACTTTGATCTGGGCTGGATAGAAATCTGTCACCGAGCAGACCAGCAGGTTGTGGTGGTTGAGGGCCTCTGTCCTGGATGGGGAGATGGTCACTGTGGGCTCCACTGAGGGCAGTAACAGACAGGGAAAGATATAGGAGTGAGATGTGAGACCACACAGCACGCCTGCTGTGAGGAAGGTCCCTCCTTGGAACCAGAATAGAAAGATACCTGGAGTCCAAGTCTTGGATTAAGGTTCCTTCAACAAATATAAATTTGACAATCACTGAGAATCCAAAAATAAACAACAAACCCTGGTTCCTGCCTTTATAGAACTTGCAATCTAGTAACAGAGACCAAAAAATTGAATGTTATTTCAAAAGTTTGTAATATTTGAAGGAAAAGTAGGCAGGCCTTGAAAAAAACTAACACTGATCAAACATCATGTTTGCCCATAACTCAATTCCTTTATCTTCTCAGAGCGCTGCTCATGGTCAAAAATGACACACCTTTCCCTGCATATTTTATACATCTTAACCTTTACCTCTCTGGCCATTTTACTGCATTTCCTTTATTTCTTTAGTGTAAAATTATAGTAAATATTTAATGTATGCTTTATTTACTTGGTAATATGTTCTCTCATTTTCCTGCTTTTTCTTAATTTCCTTTTAACCCTCAAGATAGTGTAATTACTAGCTGCCTACCCTACTCCATCCCCTTGCTATTGAGAATTACTTTCTTGTTCTGAAATCAGACATTATCATGTACGTTCTCCATAGGAAATATTCTGAGATCCATGCAGAGGTTGGCCTGGGTGAATGTGCCTGTAATGCAAACATATACATATAGCTGGGATTTGCTGAGGTCAGCAGGTAGCACCCCAATTAAATGGCACTCATGAGCCATTGTCTGGAAGGAATCTTGGTTTCTGCTTGGACTTGAACTTTTCTTTAGGCCCTCCTTCCTGGAGTCTGACTGAAATAACAGTCAGCTATGTGGGGACTTACAAGATTTGTTCATCTTAAAAAGACTGAAAGTAAAAATAGAGGGCACAAATTCATGAGAAAAAAATGATAGAATAACTTTTATAGAAATAGACTTGAAATGGCAAAAATATAAATAATTGACAGCATTAGGATGTGGGTCAGAAGAAGGCAAGGAAGTTTTGTGAACCTGCATAGATAACACTGGGGTCAGACTAGGGATTGATTAATCAGTGAATTTTCAATGCCTTGAAAGTATCATTTTGTCCCATTAACAGTGAAAACAGGCAGGAATAGACCCATTGCTGCTTCTTGTCAAAATTGGCTTTAACAAGGCTTTACTTCCCTTAGGCTGTGTAGACGAGTATTGAAGAACATAAAAGAATGCTGTGTATTTGGGGGAGGCTTCAGGTCCTGGTGCATAACTGTGGGTTGATTACTTAAAGTGTTTATCATGTACCAATATTACGATATATAAAGTGGCAATGCTAATCTCTAATGCACAGGTAACTGTGCTATTAAATGACATAACTTAGATGGTGTTTGCTAAGGCAATTGTCTAGAAATAAGTGCTCACTAAGTGGGTAAAATTGACGTTCAGAATGTTTATGCCTGAAGTGGATAGTGATGGGGGGAGGGAGAAAATCTACTCCAAAAGCAACCTGAAACTATTTTTATTCAATAATTTAGTGGCTTCAATCTATGTATTCCAAAGCTTCTGCTCTTTTCATTGTGCCATTTGTTCAGCTTTTCTAAGAAATTAAAACTGCCTTATAACACCATTCAAGCGTTGTTTTTATTTTCAGCAAACACCTTTTTCCCCAGACTGCATTCACAAACCTTACTAAGATCCAAGTCAATAAGAGTTTACAGCATTAAGCAAAATAATAGAAAATAATTGATAAAGTCCATCTTTAAGGCTCTATTTATCCTCTGCTTTCCCTTGAGCCTAAGTGGATGGGCAGCTGAGTACATTTATTCATTAATTTAACAGAAGATCATTGAGCTCATACCACATGCCGGTCCACGAGTCAGGTACTAGGCATGCAATGATTAAAACACTCTCACCTCAAAGAGCTCCGCCATGAATGAGAGCCGTTTAAGAAAACAGAATTACGATGAATAATAATTTGAAGCCAAAAGTTAAAATATCTTATTTCACAACTGTAATTGCTGGATGCCCTGCGCGCAGTTGTGGAGCAGCCCTAACTCCACCAGGCCAAGCCTGAAGCTTCCTGCGGCGCGAGCTGTGCAAGTGGGCCTTGCTGGGTGGGGCAGTGCTAGTGGGGCGGACGGGCAGGGGAAGAGGGCGGGCATTCGGGCAGAAAGAACTGCTTAGCGAAGGTAAGGCACGAGGAGGCAAACGCATAAGGCACAAGGCAAGAACATGCAGAGCAGAGGACAAGGCCGATGGACGGGGAGGCTGGGGACACACTGGGCAGCCTAACCCAACCCTGCAGGGAACTAAGGGATGCTTTTGTGCATCCCCCTGCTCTGCCCTAGATCCCCGCCCCTCCGATACTACCCCAGCCTCCAAATCCCCGCCACCTTCCTGTACCCTGGGATGGATCAGGGCTCGGTCCTTGAGGCCGCGCCGTCCTCGCCCCTCTGTGCGCAAGAGACTCGGGCCCCGGCCAAGGGTGAGCCCCGCGGAAGGACGACGACGCTCACCTTGCCGCTGCAAGGTCGTGCGCAGCTCCGCCTCGTAGTTGTGTCTGCACACCTTGTCCACCGCGGCCCGCTCCTGCTCCAAGAAGTCCTTATAGTTGTTCCAGTCCTCGATGCTCCGCCCCAGCTCGGTCACCGCCTGGAACTCCCCAACGTCGCTGTCGAAGCGCCCGTACTCCTCGCGGTTATAGATGTATCTGGCCACACCGCGCACGCGCTCTGTCCCGTTGGTGAAGTAGCACATGCCCTTAAACTGGACCAAGAAATCCTCTGCGGAGAATCACGGCGGGTCAGTCAGGCCCCAGCACGGCCCTAGCCCCAGCCCCCAGCCGGACCGCACCCTTCAGCCGCTGCCCTGACCCGGCCAGCAGCTGCGAAACCCGTCCACGCGAAATTGAGTTCTTGGCTGGGCCCGTGCCTCGTGCTCCGGACCTGGGATCCTCGAGGCATCTCTGCCCCAGCCCTGCCCGCCCTCTCTGAGGGCCTCGGGAATCTGCCTTCCTTTAGGGAGGTAAGAGGGAAAGCCCAGTCCCTGCCTGAGCCTGTGAACCAAGTGAAGAGGGCAGTCGGACCGATTCAACATTGACCTCTGCTCTTAGATCAGGGCGTTCTCGTATGAAATCCCATTTTCCATGGAGCTCTTGGGAATCTCGGAGACAGAGTTATCCACATAAATTTGAGAGTTCAAGGGAATAACGAGAAAGGTTCAGGAATTAAGCTTGTTCTCATCCTGATGTAAGTATTCTCTTGGTCCCTGGGCAAGAGACCAAGTAAACCCATGCCTGGATTTACTCTCTTTCTGCTATACCCGCCCAAGTGCCCTGTGAGGTTCACTCACTTCTGTGTTAGAAAGGACCTACACCTCCGGAGTCCTAGAAGGAAACATTTATTCATGGAAAGAGCCCAAGCTTTTGAATTCTATAGGGTCCAATTAAACTGAGTCAATCACCAGCTTGGGCAGGTTACTTAACAGAATATCCATATCACAAGTATAATTACATAAAAGGAAAATCATGATACCTACACATAGGATGTTAGGAGGAGTGAGAGAGGATTTATAGAAAGTACTGTCCTGTGTCTGAATGGAGTGGTTTCTCAATATGTATTATTTCCCTTCTTTACTTCCTCCTTCCTATCATACTAAATTCAGTCCACCATCAACTCAGGTCCCTGAATCCCACTCAAGTCACCTTTTGCCCATAAATCAGTGAAACCCAAAGTAAGACTCCCTGTCTGTGGTCATCCAGTCACCTTCCCTCAGTACTAAGAGTTTGCCTCCACAAACTCTCCACTCGAGTCAGTAGTATAGACTCCTTTACCTCCAATACAGAGACTACAGACACCATTGCTGCCTTACATTTTCCCAGTGCAGAAAAATCCTACTGTGTCTTTGGGGAAATGCATATCTTTGGGGAAATGCATAACCGTGGAGTGCCATGGTCATTTTGTCCTGTCACAGGTAGTGAATGCACACTTTGTCTCCTCTTTCCTCTCTCCTCCTTCAGGCTTAAACCTGTGGGATTGGGGTTGGATTATCCTCACCTCACCCATTATAAGGTGGAAATAAAAATGCAACATAGCTCTATTTCCCAAAAAGAATAAATGGTGATAAAAGACTGTGTTCTGAGATCATGGAGATCACCATCCCCCATACTCCAACCCAAGGAGAGCCTGTTCCCACAGTGGTGGCTCTCGAGAGCAGCTGCCCTGCACTTACTGGGAAAGTCTCTGGCCTCAGCCACTGGGGTGCTCAGCATCACCAGCATCACGGTCACAGCTGCTGCCCAAAAGCCTCCAGGGATCTGCAGAGCCATCTTCCAAGACGTAAGTGAGACCAAGGAAAAAGCAGTGGTAGTCAACACAGCTCAAACCTAATGGATCTTATGTACCTGCCGGAAAGAATAAAAACCTCTGGATGTTTCCATGTGTGGTAGGATTGGGGAGTCCCTAGGAAAGGAACCAATCAGCACTGGAGCTGAAGGACCTCATCTGCCTCTGGGCAGACGTTTTTCTGTGAAGATTCTCACTCCAATGCCTGGCACTGTTTCTTCTTCAAATTGCACTAGATGAACATTTGAGGTGAAGATTTCTGAATAGCTGAAGATTGAATGGCTTAGGGGTTTTAAGAAGCAAAAGACAAATGTGATTCAAGAGTAGACATCTTACAACCTATTGTTCTTACACTTGGGATTTTTAGTAGGGCAAATTAAGTGAGGATCATATTTCAGGGAACAGAAAATTGTCACAGAAATGTTCACTTCTATTAGACACTCTGAAGAGCCTTAAGTTTTGGTGAGAAGAGCAAAGTTCTTAGAAGGAAATGATGGTGAGTTGCAGTTCTACCACTAATGTGCTTTATGAGAGTCAACAAATTACTGAACTCCTTTTCACCCCCAGGCTTCTCTTTGCAAAATGTGGATCATGTTTTATGCATTTTACATCTAGATCTTCACATATAAAAATTTAACATTAATATGACTAGTTTAATATTACAAAAGCCTCCTCCACTGTTATGTGTAACTATCAGGCTAATAGGAGGAACAAGAAAAAAAAAAGTTGACACCCAGCCCTACTGGCAAGTGATTCTTTATTATGCAAGAAGGTATTGCATTCATGCTCTTCGAGTGAAAGTATTTGTTGACTTTTCTCTTGTAAGTTCTTCAGCTGCTTAAATCCTCCCTGAACCATGAAACAGGTGCATCTGATATGAGCAAAGGCACAATACACAAATTTTACAGTATTCAGACACAGTCACATTTAGTTTTGAAGATAGAGAGCAAAAGCTGTGAAGAAGAATTTCCTGGGGGCTGAATCGTATTAATGATGGAGCAAATGTTTAGAGTTACAGGTCATATTGGGCCAGCCCTAAACATCAAATCCAAAATGGCAGAGGTACCAATGTGTTTTTATAAATAAATTTCTTACTTATCAGGCTTACGTTGCCCATGGCTAGGGATAGTACTAATGGTTATAAAGCAATTAAAACAATGCCTGACAAACATTACTGGTAATCCTAACCAAGACAATAAATATCTCCACCTCTCTTCTTGTCTCCCTTCCTCCCACTCTTCCCTGTATATTAGTAAAGTAGAAGATAGAGAGCATCTAAAAGCAGAATATGTTTACCAGGTAAAAAGAAACAGGGAAGAGACGGTAGCAAGAGGTTTGCAATAGTGGCACATGAAAGCATTGAGCCACTCTAATATTCTGTATTATTCTGTGCATAGATTTAGATCACCTGAGACTGGGAACGTTGTTACTGGGCTTCTAGCAGCAGTGGTGTACTCAGGATCAGGGTAACCCCCAGTCTAAGGAGGGTCTCCACTGGTGCGATGGAAGCATAAAGGAGGAACATCAAACTCAGACCTAGAACGGAACTGGGGGCAAGAAAGAATAGGCAGAGAGGGACCTGAAGATGCCCTCAATGTCCTCTCAGTCCCCACCTCAGCGTCCCTCAGAATAGAGGCCTCTGGCCCACCCCTTCTTCCTGTTCAAAGGGAGAAGCTTCCCTCAGGTTTATTCTGGGGCTGTGAGGCAAAGTCTACGTCAAACCTAGGGACTCCCCAGTCTCATGGGCCTCTTCAAACAGACTTTTTTCTTTTCTTTTCCTTTTTTTTTATTTTCCTTTTTTCTTTTCTTTTCTTTTTTAGGGACAGGGTCTGGCTCTATCACCTAGGCTGGAGTACACTGGCATGATCATGGCACACTGCAGCCTCAACCTCTTAGGCTCAAGTGATCCTCCTGTCTGAGCCTCCCAAGTAGCTGGGAGTACAGGCACACACCGCCATTCTGTCTAATTTTTTAAAAATTTTTTATAGAAATAGGATTTTGCTATGTTGCCCAGGTTGGTTTCAATGTCCTGGCCTCAAGCAATCCTCCCACCTCGGCCTCCCAAAGCACTGGGATTATAGGTGTGAGCCACCACACCTGGCCACACAGACTTTTCAACTAGCAACGAAAGTGTCAGCTTAGAGCCATTTTCTGACTGGCTAAAACCTCATCTGAGGCCAGGTGCAGTGGCTCACCCCTGTAATTTTCTAGCGCTTCGGGAGGCCAAGGCAGGCAGATCACTTGAGGTCAGGAATTTGAGACCAGCCTGGCCAACATGGTGAAACCCGTCTCTACCAAAAATAAAAAAAATTAGCCAAGTGTGGTGGTGCATGCCTGTAATCTCAATTACTCAGTAGGCTGAGGCAGGCGAATCGCTTGAACCCAGGAGGCAGAGGTTGCAGTGAGCTGAGTTCGCACCACTGCACTCCATTGCACTCCAGCCTGGGGGACAAGAGCAAAACTCTGTCTCAAAACAAAACAAAACAAAAAAAAAACACCTAATCTAAAAGGCTTTGGTTTGGGGCTTCTGCCAGTTGTGTCCCCCTGATCCAGCCTTCTCTACAGTTCTTTGCAATGTTCCTATCCCTGCTCCATTACTCAGGGCAGCCACTATTGGCCTGGCCAGAGGAAGGCAACTCAGACAAGCATCCTGATTCTGAATGCCTCGCCCAAATCACCCACCCGGCCTCTGTGGGGACAGAGCGCTTAGGATGAGACCACACGCACCCCATGTGGGAAGATGGGATAAAGACACTGCTGTTATTATGGGTCAAGGTTACACTAGGGAGACTCTCCCCAGGGCACATTGTCTCTTCTTTCAGGGCAGAAAAAGGTTGTGGACTCCTTCTTTGTGGAATCAAGGGAGAAATCATCTTCCCTGGTCAGCATCTCTTAGAATCTGTGCCTGGTCAGTGCAGTTGAATGTAAACACAGGAGTCATCCTGTCACCAGAAGGGTTATCCAGGACTCTGTCCTGCAATTACTTCCAGAATCAAGAAACACTGTAGAGTCAGAAAGGTTCTGTGGCCTCCTTAATGCCAGTGGTAACATAATTAGAAATACGGCCCCAGAATATCATTTTCCTTTAATAAAAATTTATCAAGTAATTATCTCCAAATTTTTCAAAACCTTGTGAAGCTACTTACATATTTCTCTTATATCAACTTTTAGGTAACCGGTTACATGAATTTTTCATGACACATATAAGGTAGGCCTTTTCTCTTTAAACAGTTATCTCTTTAAAATGACAATTTAGAAAGTCTGAAGAGAGAGTCTGTAGCATTCAGAGGCTGTGCTCAAACAGTGCCTCCTTCAAGCAAGTAACCATGGGGAGACTCCATAGTGGAAGTCAGGTAAGGACTTGGAGGATACCGCAGGGTGAAGGACTAGGAGTATGGGAAAAGCTTTAGCAGGAAGATAGAAAATCAGATGATACAAGGCATTTGGGACACTTGGGGGAAATGGGGAAGGTGAGTGATCTCTGGCACAGGAGTCCAGAGCCCACCAGTCTCATGGCTTCTCATGCAGTATGGAAATGGCCCTTGAAAACAGAAGAAGACTGGGACGAAAACCCAGGCTGCCTGCTATGGACGTGTGTACAACGGAGCTTTGTTTCCTGATCTGTTTCTACAGGTTTCTTCTTCCAGTCAATCTCATCCATGCATCACCTCAGCTGGACCACTGACGATTTCATCACCCAGAGCTAACCTACACATGTCACTCTTTGCAACATATCTGTTCGTCTCTACTTCTGGTTCCCTAGTAATGCCTGGGATATTTCCAGAGACAACTCTTCCCCAGCTTCTAGATTTGTAGTCATCATGTGCCTTCATTCCCAGACAAACCTTAAATATCTCTCTATGAGATCTTTATAATGTCTTCTTCTACAAGTTCTTACCAGTAGAGAGAAGAACTAATATTCAGGTATGTAAAAAATATTTCAGTCCTATTTAAGCTCATGTCCAAGTACTCAAGAATTCAAGTGTCCAGCTCAGCTCAAGGTCATGGTTCATGCAAAAAAGCAACATTAGCAGTAATATTTTGGGGAGACTACTCATATCCTCAAATAGGAAAACTTAAGATATTCAATTTAAACCTCAATGACATATCAATCCATGCTTTTCAGGATGACTATTATCAAAAAGACAAAAAATAACAAGTGTTAACAAGGACGTGGAGATAAGGGAACATTTGCACACTGTTGGTGGGAATGTAAATTAGTATGGCCACTAGGGAAAACATTATGAAGGTTCTTCAAAAAGTTAAAATAGAACTGCCATATGATGTAGCAATCCCACTTCCAGGATACAGACAAAGGATTTTAAATCAGTAGGTTGAAAATATATCCACACTCCCATGTTCATTGCAGCATTATGCACAATAGTCAAGGTATGAAATCAACCTGTGTCATTCAGCAGATGAATGGGTAAAGATAATGTATGTATACACAATGGAATTCTATTCAGGCTTTAAAAAGAAAGAAATCCTGGTGTAAGCCGAAAAGTGACTGAGGCAGGTCTCAATCAATTAGAGGTTTATTTTGCCAAGGTTCAGGATGCACCTGGGAAAAACACGAATCACAGGAGCATCTGTGATCAATGCTTATTCCAAAGAGGGTTTTGAGAACTTCAATGTTTAAAAAGAAAGAGTAAGCAGGAAGGGAAAGAGAGAGGAAAAAAAAAAAAAAAGGAGGGAAGGTAGGCAATGACACAAGTGGTTACATTCTTGTGAGTCTGATTAGCCTCAGTAAATCTACATTTTACATGTGAAAAGAGGGAGTAGAGGAAAAAGTCACTTATGCAAAAACAATAACATTGTAGAATCTTCCCAAAAGATTCATTTTCTATTCTCACAGACCGACAATTCCACTCAAGTTAATTTCTGCAAAAGCATCCTAACTGGTCTTCCTGCCTCTACTTTATAATGTCAACATTGCTCATAAATCCAAGTTAATCTCTCTGAGTATGAGTTTCTTTAACTGCAAAATGAGAATATTATCTATTCCATAGAGTAATGCCAAGGATTAAATGAAGTGGCAAATATATAGCATCTAAAATAGTTTTGAACACATAGTAGATGCTCAATAATAATTTTTTTTAATTTTTAATATAATTTTAATTCAATAGCTTTTAGGTTACAAGTGGTTTTTTGTTATATGGATGAATTGTATAGTGGTGAAGCCTGGAATTTTAGTGAACCTGTTACCTGAGTAGTGTGCATTGTACTCAATATGTAGTTTTTTATCCTTCACCCTCCTTCCCATCCTCCCCAATTTCTTACTCTCCATTGTCCTTTATACCATTCTGTATGCCTTTGAGTACCCATAGCTTAGTACCCACTTAGCTCCTACTTACAAATCAAAACATATGGTATTTAGTTTTCCATGCCTCAATTAGAAGTTGTAAATTTTGATGGAGTCCAATTTATATATATTTTTTTCATTTCTTGCCTATGCCCTCGGTGTTATATCCAAGAAATCATTGCCTAATCAAATATCATGAAGATTTTCCCTATTTTTTTTCTAAGAGTTTTATGGTTTTAGTTTTCACATTTAGGTCTTTGATTCATTTTGAGTTCATTTTGTCTATAATGTAGGGTAAGAGTCCAGTTTCATTCTTTTGTATGTGGACTTCCAGTTTTCCCAGCACCATTGTTGAAAAGGCTGTCCTTTCCGCATTTAATGGCCCTGGCACTCCTGTTGAAAATCGTTTGACTATATATGTCAGGATAATTTCCTGGTTTTGATATTGCACTTTAGTTATGTAAGATGTTACAATTGGGGAAAACTGGATGAAGGCTATACAGAATCTTTTTGTTCTATCTTGGTAACTCCCTTTGAATCTACAATTATTTCAAAATATAATGTTAAAAAAGCAAAGCCAACCGAAATAATGTGTTTATCTTTTAACAAACTAATTCAATAAGATACCTAATAAAAATTACCCAATGTGAAATACAAAGAGAAAAGAAGAGCAGGGGAAAAACAAAACAGAGCATCCAAGAGCTGCAGTGCTGTATTGAATGGTTACATCACCTTTGTTTGTTTGTTTGTTTGTTTGTTTGTTTGTTTTGAGACAGGGTGTCACTCTGTTGCCCAGGCTGGAATGCAGTGGTGCGATCACAGCTCACTTCATCCCCCACCCTCGCCCCCAACTCAGGCAGTCCTCCCGTCTTAGCCTCTTGAGTAGCTGGGAATACCAGCACCATGCTTGCCCACTTAATTTTTCTCTCTTTGTAGACAAGGTCTCCTTATGTTGCCCAGGCTGCTCTTTAGGTTCAAGCATTCCTCCCACCTCAGCCTCCCAAAGTGCTGAGATTACAGATGTGAAACATTGTGCCAGGCTTATTTTTTTAATGTACTTTTACTCTCTTTCTCTCTTTGTGTTTCACTCTGGGTAATTTTTATTGATCTATTTCAAACTCACTGATTCTTCCCAGGGCTGTACCACATTTGCTGATGAGCTTGTCAAATGCATTCTTTATTTTTGTTAATTTATTTTTATTTTATTTCCATTTCATTCATCCTTAAAGCTTTCATATCTCTGCTGAAACTGTCTAATCTTGCATGTTGTCTACCTTTTCCATTAGAGATTTTAGTATATTAATCACAGTTTATGAAGCAGGTTTACTAATTACCAATACCAAGGGAGGAAAGGGAGGACTTCCACTGCATGGAGAATAGAAAAGATCATCACTATGCCAACCACCAGGAAAAGAGGTCCAGATACTTCTTCCCACTGCATTCTGAGCTACTGTTTATGTCCACCATGCACTGGCTACCTGTTTATCTGAGTCTGGTGAAACAGAACACACTCACACACAAATTATGTGAAGCAGTTTTATTACTTACAGATCAGTAGCAAGGGACAGAAGAAGCCTCAGCTCCATTGTGAGTCAGTCTCCTAAAGCTCAAGAAAGCTGCCCAGGAGAGATGAAGTCTTAACCGCACCAATTACTCTATTATAGCCTAAAGTGTAAGTCACAGCTCAAACTCTTGATCACTTCATTCATATTACATGTTCCAAAAAACAACCACAGGAAAACTTCTCCAACAGTAACTTTGCATGAACTCATGTGTTCTGTCAATCGAGAAAAATGGCAAGTCTCAATCATTTTAGGAGGTTTATTTGCCAAAGTTAAGAATAAGCACCCAGGAGACAGGTCTATACCTTTCTCCGAAGATAATTTTGAGGGCTCTAAATTTAAGGGGAAAGGGTAGGGATATTGAGAAGTACACAATTTTCATGTAAGAGGAGGGTAAGGAAAAATAGTCATTCATGCCTTTGTCTGGCTCAGTTAATCTGCATTTTTTTTACATAAGATGACATAGACAAAACGGGGGAAGGGGAACAATTAGATATGCGTTTGTGGCCGGGCGCGGTGGCTCATGCCTGTAATCCTAGCATTTGGGGATGCTGAGGCAGGCAGATCACTTGGGGTCAGGAGTTTGAAACAGGCCTGGCCAACATGGTGAAACCCTGTCTCTACTAAAAGTACAAAAAAAAAAAATTAGCCAGGCATGGTGGCAGATGCCTGTAATCTCAGCTACTTGGGAGGCTGAGGCAGGAGAATCACTTGAACCCGGGAGGTGGAGGTTGCAGTGAGCCAAGATCGCGCCACTGCACTCCAGCCAGCATGACAAAGCGAGACTCCGTCTCAAAAAAAAAAAAAGAAAAAAAAAAAAGATATGCATTTGTGTCTTCTGGGCAGGGGCGTGACTACACCTGTAAAGATAAGCTACCAATTTACATTGCCATGGTAAAATTTTAACAGAAACACCTTAGAGTAAAGATCTTGCAGCTCACAAGGACTTTCCTTGTGGACAAAATATGAGGGAGGCATGTAGCTTTTCATTTTGTAGCCATCTTATTTAGGAACCAAAAAGGGGGAGGCGGGTTTTCGCAACCCCGTTCCCAGATTAACTTTTCCCTTAGGCTTAATGAGTTGGAGTCCCAAGATTTAATTTCCTTTCATAGTTCTAAAACTATGACCAAGTGTTCATTTCTTCCTGATAGGCACTTAGCACACTGACCATGTGCCTTAAATTGTCCATATGATGCGAAGAGCTATAAATCCATGGAGTCGTAAGTTTGGGGATACCAACCACAATCCATCTGCAGCAGAAGTGGTTCCTTTGGAACCAAGCTTGAACAGGTCTAAAAACTAGGTTGTTCTTCTGGTTTAGTGACAGAGACTACTATCCCAGATGAAAATACAATAGTCTTTTAGTGCTTCTATGCATGGTCATGTCTGTCAGTAGACACTAAAACAATCATAATTCAAGAACAGAGTAAATAGTAACATAGACCCTTCTGGAATAGTTGTCTCTGTCACCAAAACAGAAAAACAAACTAGACTAAATTCAGAGGATGAGGGGAATCAAGAATGGCTTGTGAAGGAGGGAAACAAATATTAGTTACAGTCATAATGACAACTATAATAGTAGACACTGTAGCAAATTTCACTAACTTTCTTGCCTTAATCTTCTAGATCACAATTGATCACTCTTGTACCTCCCTTCTTGAGGAAAAATTAAAATGTGTTAATTTTCTCAGGAAAAAAAATGAAAGGCACCATATTGGACTATGGGAGCTTGGAATTCTGAATCACCACCTGGAGAAAAGTGACTCACAAATCTTCAATATCCTCCTTCTGCTACATTAGTGAGTTATAAACTTCTACTATATTTCAGCCACAATACACATTTTAGTCTATTTGTTGCAGCAGTTTGGCCTATTCTAATTAGTATAAAAAGAAGAAAAAATAATCATAGAAAAAAATTAAATGAAGAATATAACAATTTTAATAGTTTCTCCTGACTTAGACTCACCTGAAATGATCCTCATTCTTTGTTTTAGGATTAGCAGAGATGTAAGACAGAATTTCATGAAAATATTCAACCTGGTGGATGATGCCAAATTAGCAGTTAGCGTGTGTGCCTGGAATTCAAACCATACAAATCCTCCCTGCCCACCTCTCATCCTATCCTTTAGAGCAGAGCCTGTTTCTCATATATTGCCCCCAAGTCTATATCAATCAAATTAATTTTTATTATCCTGAAAACACCTATAGAAAGACTAACATGTTGAAAGTTATATTTAAATATGGGCACTCTGCTTCATACTCTTTTGCCAATATTACTTCAAAACTGTACAAACCTATATTCTTTGCATTTGTGAGAAATTATTATATTGTAGATAAGGCTAAAATATTTTGTGAATCAAAACATACTATAAAAAGTTGGAAAGAAAGACTTCATTTGGATGTAAATACATGAAAATAGCAGCCCAGACACTCAAGACAAGAGGAATAATAACTAAGTGACCACAAAGGAAATTTTTTATCACATGCCTGGCTGTTCCAGACAGGGAAGCTTGCTTTACCTGAAGGAAGTGGTCACTAGACCAGAATGTAACCAAATACAGGATTCTGCTTTAAAAAAAAAAAAAAAAAAGATTCACAAAAGTCACGTTCAAGTTAAACCATTAAATACTTTCTTCTCCAACTAATGAGAAGATGTGGGGCCTCATTAATTCTCTCTGGCAGATTAGGTCAATGAATCCATTCCAGAAAAAAAATTATTGAAAAGAGCAATAAATATACAAAATATCAAAGCAGTCATGTGTGCAATCCACAGAAAAGAATAGAAATTTACTTAAGGACAGAAAGAAGTTTAGTAAACAATGATACCACTTTCTTGGACAGGGCAATTTGTGTCACTTTTCCAGACAAAATACATGGATTTGGTGATGCTTTAATCTAAATAGTAATAAGACAGTTTTATTAACAAAATGTTTCTAACTTTCAAGAGCGGTATACAAAAACAACTATTGATAAAAATAAGGAGAGGTACTCTAATAGATGTTTACAAATGATTATAAAGCTAAACAATTAAAACATGTTCATAGTGCCCCAAAAAAAGGACAACTGTGGAATGATATTGGCTGCACATAAACAGAACCTAATTTATGCCACAATTAATGAAATTGAAAATTTTGTTTACAATAGCCCCCTCTTATCCATGGGAGATATGTTGCAAGGCACCCCAAAGGATGCCTGAAGGCATGTACCAAACTCTGTATATGCTATGTTTTTCTACACATACAAACATATGATATAGTTTAATTTACAAATTGTGCAGTCATAGGTTAACAACAATAACTAATAATAAAATAGAACAATTATAACAATATACTGTAATAAAAGTTATGTAAATGAGATCTCTCTCTCTCTTTCTCTGTCTCTTTCTCTCTCCCCTCTTCTCAAAATATCTTATTGTACTAAACACCTATATTTTCACACTGTGATTGATTGACCACCAGTAACTGAAACTGTGGAAAGTGAAACCATCGATAAGGGAGGACCACTGTATTACATTTCTAGGAAGTCGCAAACCCTTTGAGAAAATTTTGGGATGGGAGACAAACATATTTCTAAGAAGCCTTCAATGTTACAGGTTATATTCTTCACTTCTTCAAAGTACATAAGGGCCCACTCTACTCTTCTGGAGTCTATCCAAATTTGTAGGGTAATGGGCTGTAGCTAATGAGGAATGGAACTCAGTGGGATGTAAGGGGTCCGGAAACAAGTTTTTTGAAATATACTTGATTGTCATGACACCAATATGGAATGAAAGAGAAAGCAGCATAGTGATGAGGAAATTATGGTGAGATTTTTAGGACAAGAAGCTATTTTAAAAGAATTTTAAATCATTTTTCTTGGTGTTAGAAATACAATCCTAATTTGATATTTTTCAAGAGGTTGCAATATAATTTGAAGTATTTGAAATGGAGTATGGGGAAATTTGCTCTGGCCTCTCTAAAGAACATCAAACTGGGACTGCTTTCAAGGATAGAACAAGTTATCCTGCATTTATGTTGGATAAATTAAGAATGTAGTGCATAATAAAGCAAACTTTTAATCCAGTGGAATAGGAAAAATTACTAAAAATAGTGTTGGGTCAATTAGTGAGTTAGTGGGATAGTAAAAAGAGCCCATACATACACACATACAGAGATTATACTGAGGCAGATTAAAAGTTTAAATGAGAAGGAACTCAGAACTGAGGAGGAACCACCCAGAACATGCTTGCTAGTAACACATCTTCCCACCCCCTTATGAATAATCATGTAAGACTCCCATAAAGGGAGTTTCCCCAGTAACATTCAACACTGTCTCA
Organism: Homo sapiens; assembly: GCF_000001405.40. NCBI lineage: Eukaryota > Metazoa > Chordata > Mammalia > Primates > Hominidae > Homo > Homo sapiens. Next base: position 32,774,666 of record NC_000006.12, read on the forward strand.
CCCGCACAAGCAACCTGCCCTGAATTGTCTCTTGGGGTGTACTGTTGATTCTGCACCTAACTTTCAGAGTATCCTTTCTCCTTTGCAAGAAATTGCTCTATGTTGTATCTCCTTTGCTGTGTGTCTGTTGTTTAAATTCTTTTAAACTAAGAAGACAAGAACCGAAGTTTCATGAAAGCCATCAACAAAAATATAGAAAAAAAAAGTAAATATTTATTTTATTAAAAAGTGGTGAGATGAGTTTAAATAACAAAACAAAGAAAGAAACCGTACAGGAAAGTATTCTTAGACTATACTAAGAAAAAGTAAAGAATTAATATGTGAAAGGTATATCAATTTTAAGCATTCTGTTTATGTCAAAGGTGCTTATGGTGCAGTATGTAAAATTTAAATAAACAAAGCATATTGTATTAATTTTCTAGCCACTGTCATAACAAATTAGTAGAAACTTTGCAGCTTAAAACAACACCCATTTATTATCTCAGTTTTCTAGGTCAGAAGTCTAGGCAAAGCTCAACTGGGCTCTCTGCTTAGGATCTCACAAGACTGAAGTCACAAGCTGACCTTATAATTCTCATTTGAATATGGAGTCCTCTTCCAAGCTCACTGCCTGTTGACAGAATTTATTTCCACGTATGACTGAGGTCCATGTTTTCAAGCTGGCTATCAGCCAGGGATCAGTATCAGCTCCCAGTGACCACTCTCAGTTCCTTGCCACATGGCCCTCTACATCTTCAAAGTCAGTAATACAGAGTCTTTCTCATGTTTAATCTCCCTCTTCAAGAAAAGTTCAGTCCCTTTCAAGGGCTCACCTAATTAGTTCATGCTCACCTACAATAATTTCCTTTTCATAAGGCTAATTGCAGTCAAAACATAACCCAATCACAGTAGTGATCATACCATTAAATTTACTGGTTACTATTGGGAGCAAGCCCCCCAAAATCTGGCCATAAACTGGCCCCAAATTTATGGCCCAGTTTATGGCCATAAACTGGCCATAAATAAAATCTCTGCAGCACTGTAACATGTCCATAATGGCCTTAACGCCCAAGCTGGAAGGTTGTGGGTTTACGGGAATGAGGGCAAGGAACACCTGGCCTGCCCAAGGCAGAAAACCACTTAAAGGCATTCTTAAGCCACAAACAAAAGCATGAGCAATCTATGTCTTAAGAGCATGTTCCTGCTGCAATTAATTCAGCCCATCCCTTCGTTTCCCATAGGAATACTTTTAGTTAATTTAATATCTATAGAAACAATGCTAATGACTGGTTTGCTATTAATAAATATGTGAGTAAATCTCTGTTCAGGGCTCTCAGCTCTGAAGGCTGTGAGATCCCTGATTTCCCACTTCACACCTCTACATTTCTGTGTGTGTGTCTTTAATTCCTCTAGCGCTGCTGGGTTAGGGTCTCCCTGACGAAGCTGGTCTCGGTAGGTTCCACCCACATTTAAAGGAAAATAATTTTATAAGGTATGTACAACAGGGGGTGATAGATATTCCTGGGGGCCATCTTAGAATTCTGCTTTCCTTCTCACCTCTTCAGCCCTCTGGCCACCTGTAATTCATGTCCCTCTCAAATGTAAAATACATTAATCCCTTCTCAAGGGCCCCCCAAAGTCTCATTCCATTACAGCCTCAGATCAAGGCCAATATCCTGTCTAAATCTTGTTAGCTCAAAGTCCAAATTCGCAGTGCCTTCATACCAAATTACAGGACTTGAAGATGTGAGAATTAGGAACTTGACAGAATATCTAATTATAATTGCTAACAGTCATGAGATTAGTTTATTAATTAAAATCTCACCTGGGAACCAAGTGTATAAATGTCATTGAATCCCTGGGGATAGAGACAGGGAAGCACAGGGATCTGATGATATTTATAGTCACTTAACAAAAAAGACTAGGTGGTATTTTTTTCACCCACACCTAGCTTTGCTGGCATTGAGAAGACACACCTAAGAGAATAATTAATCATACCTACAGGACCCCTTCTTCACTGAGACAGAATAGCAATGAAGTCATTGTTATTGGTGTCATCTGCACTCTACTTATTTATACTTCATATACTTACATAGTATATACCAGAACACTTAAATTAATTTCATCTCCAATTACTGTATATTATTATTATTTTTTTTGAGACAGAGTCTTACTCCATTGCCCAGGCTGGAGTGCAGTGGCACAATCTTGGCTCACTCTGCAACTTCCATCTCCTGGGTTGAAGCGATTCTCCTGCCTCAGCCTCCTGAGTAGCTGGGATTACAGGCATGTACCACCACACCCGGCTAATTTTTGTATTTTTAGTAGAGACAGGGTTTCCCCATGTTGGCCAGGCTGGTCTCAAACTCCTGAACTCAGGTAATCCGCCTGCCTCGGCCTCCCAAAGTGCTGGGATTATTTTGTATTCTAGATGTCGATTTTGCTGTGTTAATTAATTTCCTGATGATTGCAATAGAATACCTGAAACTGGGTAATTTATAAAGAATCAAAATTTATTTCTGGAGGCTGGGAAGTCCAAGAGCATGGTGCCAGCATCTGGTGAGAGCCTCCTTGCTAGTGGGGACCCTCTGCAGAGTCCCATTGTGGTGCAAGGCATCACATAGCAAGCAGGCTGAGAGGGCTACCTCAAGTATCTCTTTCTCCTCTTATCAAACCCTTAGTGCCCCATCACCCCATCCTCATGACCTCATCTAATACTAATTACTTCTCACATCTCCCACCCCTAAAATATCATGGTCTGTTTTCTTACCCTTTTATACTGTTACAATAGGGATTAAGTTTCTACATAAGATTTAGAGGAGCAAACTTTCAAACCATAGCATTTCACCCCTGCAGCCTCAAAACTCATATTCTTCTCACATTCAAATACATTCATTTTATCTCCAGAGCCCCAAAGTCTTAACTTTCTCTAGTACCAACTCAAAAGTCCAAAAGTCCAAAGTCCTTATCTGTGAGCCTGAGATACTAAAGCCAATTATCTACCTCCAAGATACAATGCTGGGACAGGAGAAATGGGCCAGAAGAAAGAAGTAACAGGCCTCAAGGAAGTCTGAAACTCAACAGGGAAAGACATTAAATTTTAAAGCTGGAAATAATGTCTTTTGACTCCATGTTCCTCATCCTGAGCACACAGGGGCAGAAGTTGGGCCCCCAAGACCTCAGGCAACCCTGCCCTCATGGCTTTGCTGGTTGCAGCCCATATATGGCTGTTCTCATGGGTTGGAGTCAGGTGCCTTGGGTTTTCGAAGCTGGGACTGCATGCTGGTAGCTCTACAGTTTTGGAGTCTTGGTGGCAGTCCCACTGTCACAGCACCACTAGATATTTCCCTGGGGAGGACTCCCTGTAGCAGTTCCAACCCCACAGTTCCTCTCAGCATTGCCCTAGCAGAGGCTCTTGGTGGTTGAAGGGGTGGGTCGCCCCTCCACACCTGTGGGTGTTTCTCGTTAGGTGGAACGAGAGACTTGGAAAAGAAAAAGACACAGAGACAAAGTATAGAGAAAGAAATAAGGGGACCCAGGGGACCAGCGTTCAGCATATGGAGGATCCCGCCGGCTTCTGAGTTCCCTTCATATTTATTGATCATTCGTGGGTGTTTCTCAGAGAGGGGGATGTGTCAGGGTCACAAGACAATAGTGGGGAGAGGGTCAGCAGACAAACACGTGAACAAAGGTCTTTGCATCATAGACAAGGTAAAGAATCAAGTGCTGTGCTCTAGATATGCATACACATAAACATCTCAATGCTTTACAAAGCAGTATTGCTGCCTGCATGTCTCACCTCCAGTCTTAAGGCGGTTTTTCCCTATCTCAGTAGATGGAACGTACAATCGGGTTTTATACCGAGACATTCCATTGCCCAGGGATGGGCAGGAGACAGATGCCTTCCTCTTGTCTCAACTGCAAGAGGCATGTCTTCCTCTTATACTAATCCTCCTCAGCACAGACCCTTTACGGGTGTCGGGCTGGGGGACAGTCAGGTCTTTCCCTTCCCACGAGGCCATATTTCAGACTATCCCATGGGGAGAAACCTTGGACAATACCTGGCTTTCCTAGGCAGAGGTCCCTGCAGCCTTCCGCAGTGTTTGTGTCCCTGGGTACTTGAGATTAGGGAGTGGTGATGACTCTTAAGGAGCATGCTGCCTTCAAGCATCTGTTTAACAAAGCACATCTTGCACAACCCTTAATCCATTTAACCCTGAGTTCGACACAGCACATGTTTCAGAGAGCACGGTGTTGGGGGTAAGGTCATAGATTAACAGCATCTCAAGGCAGAAGAATTTTTCTTAGTGCAGAACAAAATGGAGTCTCCTATGTCTACTTCTTTCTACACAGACACAGTAACAATCTGATCCCTCTTGCTTTTCCCCACAGTGGTGGCCCTGCCCCTGTGGCAGTTTTCTCCTTGGGTTCCCAGGCAGTCTGATACATCCTTTGAAATCTAGGTGGAGATTTCTATGCCTTCCCACTAGTCTTGCATTCTGAAGACCTGCAGAAATAGCACCACATGCATGTGGACATTGCCAAGGCTTACTGCTTGTGCCTTCTGCAGCTACAATATGAGTCACATCTGGGGCCACTTGAGCTATGGCTGGAGCAACCAGGATGAGGGAAGCACTGCCCTGAGGTGGCATTGGGCAGCAAGCCCATGGAGGACACCCCAGGCCTGTCTCCTGAAACCATTCTTTCCTCCTAGAGCTCTGGGCCTGTGATGGCAGGGGTAGACTTGAAGATCTCTAAAGTGCATTCAGTGTTTGTCTCCCATTGTCTTGATGAATAGCTTCTGGCTTTATTCTATTCATACAATTCTCCTTATCAATCAGTCCCTCCTTAACAATCATTCCTTCAGACACACCCTTGGTTTCCTCTGTTGAAAATGCTCTTTCAGGGCCAGGCTGCAAAATTTCCTAATCTTTCCACTTAGCTTCCCTTTTAATTATAAATTCCACCTTTAAGTTATTTTTTACCTCTCACAGCTTTAATGTAAGCAGTTAAAAGTAGCCATGCAGCTGCCTGACTGCTTTGCTGCTTAGATATTTCTTCTGCCATATAGCCTAATAAAACCATCAGATATAGACACAATTCAGAGCCAAGTTTTTCACCCATTTATTACAAGGATGGCCTTTACTCCAGTTTCCAATTCCTTGTTCCTCAGACCTGAGACCTCAGCAGAACAGCCCTTACTGTCCATATTTCTATTGACATTCTGGTCCTGACCACTCAAATCATCACAAAGGAGTTCCAGACTTTTCCTAGTCTTCTTGACTTCTTCTAAGCCCTCACCAAAATCACCCTTTATCACCAGAATTGACATTTAAGGCAATACAGGCTTTTTCTCGCCTGCCTTTTTGAGTTCTTTTAACCTCTACCCATTACCCAGTTCCACAGCTGCTTCCACATTTTCAGATATTTGTTATTAGCAACAGCCCAACTTTTTAGTACCAATTTTCTGCCTTAGTCTGTTTCTTGTTGCTTGTAACAGAATGCCAAAAATTGGGTAATTTATGAAGAAACAAAATGTATCTCTTATGATTCTGGAGGATGAGAAGTCCCAGAGCATGGTGCCAGCATCTGGTGAGAGTCTTCTTATTGGTGGGCCCTCTGCTGAGTTCTGATGAGGTGCAGAGCATCATGTGACAAGAGGGCAAAGGGGTATGGCTCAAGGTCTCTGTTTCTCCTCTCAATGCCCCACCCTCAAGACCTCATCTAATCCTAATTACTTCCCAAAGGTGCCACCTCTCAAATACCATAGTTGGATTTACAGCCCTCTTAATACTATTACTATGGGGATTAAGTTTCAATATGAGTTTCAGAGAAAATAAACATTCAAACCATAGCATTGCCCATCTCTTTTACTCTCCTCCCTCCTCTTCTTTTCTGTACTCCACTGTCCCTGTCCAGAGGTTTTATTTAGCCACTCCACCTCAGCCCATCAGGCTTCCAATCAAAATCCCAGTTCTTCAGTGATCATTCAGATTTATTGTCCTGTTGTAATATCTGGAACAATAACAATCTTCTCAGGACAGTTGTTTTTTATTTGCTTCAGTTCCTTTTGAGAAAGTTATTCTGTGTCTTCTCACTTCCTTATATCTATAGCATACAAGTGTTTGAAAACATTCTCCTCAACCTCCTTTAAAATCATGGGGAGCCCAACCTCAGCTCCTAGCCAGAAGCAGAAAGTCAAAATTTGGCTGTCTTTCCTCCATAGAGCACTTTTGGTTTCTTTCCCACTTAGGAATTAAATTCCCAGCCAATAATGCCTACTTTCAGGCATAGAAGTCAAGACTTCAGCCCTACTCACCATATGCATATCTATCTTATTTGAAGTTCTCAGGAAGAACTTTTGTATCTACACTCATACTTTTTAATCCTTTTTAGTACATTGCTTCATATAGCTTTCTTGGTGGTGGTTGTACTTATTACAATATATACATATAACTTATCACAGTCTACTGGTATTGATGTTTTACCACTTTGAGTGAAGGATACAGTCCGTATCTCTAGTACCATTAGCATATTTTACCCTCTCTACTTTTTAAATGCAATTGTATTAAGTATTTCTTCCACATGCATTCCCATCCACAGTTTGGATATTTGTCCACTCCAAATCTCATGTTGAAATTTGATCCCCAATGTTGGAGGCAGGGCCTAATGGGAGATGTTTAGACCATGGGGGCAGATCCCTCATGAATGGCTTTGTGCTAATGTCATGATCCTAATGCTTGTTTTATTCCTCAATGTCATCATTGATTCAACCATAGCTTTTATTTTTAATTTGCTTTTTGTTTGTTTGTTTTCTTTTTTTTTTTTTTTTTTTTTTTGAGACGGAGTTTCGCTCTGTCGCCCAGGCTGGAGCGCAGTGGCGCGATCTCGGCTCACTGCAAGCTCCGCCTCCCGGGTTCACGCCATTCTCCTGCCTCAGCCTCCCGAGTAGCTGGGACTACAGGCGGGCACCACCATGCCCGGCTAATTTTTTGTATTTTTAGTAGAGACGGGGTTTCACTGTGTCAGCCAGGATAGTCTCGATCTCCTGACCTCGTGATCCGCCCGTCTCGGCCTCCCAAAGTGCTGGGATTACAGGCGTGAGCCACCGTGCCCGGCCTGTTTTCTTTTCTTAACTATTATTTTAAGTTCGGGGTACATGTGCAGTTTTGTTACATAGGTAACCTGTGTCATGGAGGTTTGTTGTACAGATTATTTTGTCAAACAGTTATTAAGCCTAGTACTTATTAGTTATTTTTCCTGATCCTCTCCCTCTTCCCACTCTCCACCCTCTGATAGGCCCCAGTGTGTGTTGTTTTCCTTTATGAATTCATGTGTTCTCATAATTTAGCTCCTATTTATAAGTGAGGACATACAGTATTCGGTTTTCTGTTCCCCCATTAGTTTGCTAGGGATAATGACTTTCAGCTTCATCCATGTCTCTGCAAAGGACATGATTTTGTTTCTTTATGGCTGCATAGTATTCCATGGTGTATATGTACCACATTTTATTTATCTAGTCTATCATTGATGGGCATTTAGGTTGATTCCATGTCTTTGCTATTGTGAATATGCTGCAATGAACATATACATGCATGTGCCTTTATAACAGAAAGATTTATATTCCTTTGGGTATATACCCAGTAATAAGATTGCTGGGCTGAATGGTATTTCTGTCTTTAGGTCTTTGAAGAATCTCCACACTGTCTTCCCCAATGATGAACAAAACCTCTGAGAAATATGGGGTTATGTAAAGAGACCAAATCTATGACTGATTGGTGTCCCTGAAAGAGATGGAGAGAATGGAACCAACTTGGAAAACATAGTTCAGGATATCATCCATGAGAACTTCCCCAATCTAGCTAGAGAGGCCAACATTCAAATTCAGGAAATGTAGAGAACCCCAATAAGATACTTCACAAGACTTTTATCCCCAAGACACACAATTATCAGCTTCCCCAAGGTCAAAATGAAAGAAAAAATGTTAAAAAATAAAAAATAAAAACAACTAGAGAGAAAGATCAGGTCACCTACAAAGGGAAGTCCATCAGACTAACAGCAGACCTCTCAGCTAAAACCCTACAAGCAGAAGAGATTGGAGGCCAATATTCAATATTCATAAAGAAAAGAAATTCCAACTCAGAGTTTCATAATTGGCCAAATGAAGCCTCATATTGAAGGAGAAATAAGATCCTTTTCAGACAGGCAAATGCTGAGCAAATTCATTACCACCAAACCTACCTTACAAGAGCTTCTGAAGGAAGCACTAAATATGAAAAGGAAAGACTGTTACCAGCCACTACAAAAACACACTGAAGTACACAGACCAGTGACACTATAAAGCAACCACATAAACAAGTCTGCAAATTAACCAGCTAACATCATGATGACAGGAGCAAATCCACACATATCAATACTAACCTTAAATGTAAATGAGCTAAATACCCCAATTAAAAGACACAGAGTGACAAGCTGGATAAAGAACCAAGATGTATTGGTATGCTGTCTTCAAGAGACTCATCTCACATGCAATGACACACAGGCTCAAAATAAAGAGATGAAGAAAAATCTACAATGCCTTTTTTCCTTAAAATTTGTTTTTTACATTAATAAATTGATATCATTTTTCAAAATTAGTATTTGCATGATATATCCTTTCTGTCTTTTACACTCAATCTCTGAAATGACTTTTATGCTTTAGACATATGTCTTGTAAACAGTATAATCTGAATTTGTATTTTTGCATTCAATTTGTCAATCTCTGTCTTTTGATCACAAGTCAAGTCTATTTGCATTTTACTGAAATAAATAACATATATGGACCTTTATATTATCTCACATTTTTCATTTCGGTCTTTTCCATGATTTCAATGACTTTTTTCCTGTTAGCCCATTTCTATAACCCATTCTAGCATGTGTATCAGGCTGGGATGGCAGGTGGATTCATTCTAACCTCTACCTTGAGATGTGTTTTCAGACTCTGTTAAGGTTTACGTTGCTCATTTCTGGCATCCTTCACATAAGAATTACTGATCCAGGCCCAGCCATTTGTAGATTTTGAGACATTGTTCTGGCTGTCTGCATATGGCCTGTCTCTGGACTTAACATCCCATGTCCTCACTCAGACTACATAACTTTAGACCCACCCTATTACTATGGACTCCCTGTCTATTTGTATTTTTTCAGCAAAACGTCTAAAAGTAATTATCAATATTCTTGAAACATTAACTTGATAGATTCTTGTAAAATCACATAATCTATTGAAAATTATATGGGTGCTCTAAACTATACCCCCTGGATAATCTTACCTGTACACAGTTTGAATAGATGTCCTTTACAGCTAGAATAATGATACTAGTTAAAATCAGAGGACTAATCCATGGGTAGATCATTTCAAAATTTACTCTGAGGCTTAAAAGGAAATATATTTTGTAAAGCAAGAAAGTATATTTTCCAAGATCCAATTAGCAATGAAGGCATCCTAATAGTATCTGGGATCCTCACATGTGAAAAAAATAAACTAGATTACAAAAGAGAGGACTTACATACACTTAGTTCTTGCAGGAGGAAAGGAACTATCTAGACGTTGTTATTTTGTTCAAAATAAGTATAAGTACAAAAATCTGTGGTAGTAAATCTAGTGCACTATTCTTACATGTGACACTAATAACCCAAGGAAAAATAATAAAATATTTCTGCTTCTTTTGAAATGAGCCTGTCATGGCCTGCATGGAAGTTCACTACTGATAAGCACTTTGTTTCTTTATTCCCTTACTCAGCTTTCCTCTTTTGTAGCTTCATAGCAAGAATCACAACCTAACACTGCATTTTATGTCTGTTTATTATGTGACTTTTTTTAGTTCCTGCTAGAATTAAAGCTCATAAAGGTAGGGACACATTTGCCTTTTTGACTAAGTTATCTGGAATAGCATGTAGCACTTAGTAGGAGCTAAATAATTATTTGACAAATAAATGGATACATTCATTGATGAATTTGATGTCCACATAAAGGCTATCTTTATTTAAATAAACCCGTTATTTCCATGAGTCACTTGCTCCTCCTGCTACATGTAGAGAACTATCATTCAGGATTTCAGTTGAGTTCTAAACAGTTGGATACTTCCACAATCAGGGATCTTCAATTCCTCCACTTGGCGTTTTATTCAACAGAAGTGCCTTTGGACATTCACACTTGATCTTCCAAAACCACATCAGCTTCTAGAACAATGCTTCTAGACAGTTTCTTAGTAACCCCTCAAAGACGTGATTTCACATTTTTATCAATGTATAATTTTATTTAAACTGAAATGACATAATATTACTGTGTCAAATATTATAGAGAAAGTTGGCCATCTTTGCATATGCTGTTTTCCATTTGAGTTTCTTCTGTGAATTACTGTTCATCTACTTTCCAATATTTCAACTAGGTTATTTAATCCATTGATTTGAGCAGTACTTTATTTCTTCCTTTGTGTAATATATGTATTGAAAAATATCCAAATATACTTCATAACTATGTTGCCCAAATTTTGTAATGCATACTAACAAATATCTACCTGTTATATTCATTTTTAAGAAATATACTAAAATGTAATAACTTGTACTTTTCCCATCCCACTTTGCTTTTCTAAGCAGTATTTATGTATTTCAACTTTTTTTACAGTTTAAATACAATATACTTAGGTGTAGGTTTTCTTTGTTTTTTTTTTAAATACAGGGATTACCTACAGAGGAACTAAACATAGTAATATAATAAAATTGCAAGAAGGATGCCAGAGACATAAAATTGTTGGTGGTCTAAATTATCTGCTTTCAGATAATTAGATAACTGATGTCTAAATTAATACCCCACATACACAAAGATACACATATTACCATTAAAAGTCATTGACCTGGGGATAATGCTAGTGGAGGAAAGGAATGGCATGAAGGGCTCTTGTTTTCATTAAAATACATCTTTATTGTTTAATCCTCAAACTATATACAGGTATCCTGATAAATTTAAAATACTGATTGCAAAATAAAATTTAATTCTTACTGAAATATCAAGAATGCTGCAGATGGTGGCAGGATGCTCAATGTGAAAAAGGATAGTGGCTTGCATTAGAATGACAGCAGCGAAGTTTGTTTTAAGCATGTAATTTTATAGTACCAATCTCTTATCTGTGAAAGCGTGTAAAAGACTGAGCTCTTCAGTTCTCAAACAAAAGCAGACTTTAACTCCTGCTCCAGTCATGCTTCTTTGCTTCTCAAACACCCATAACCACATCTCAGATTGCATCATATTTTGAACACATGGAAGGAAGAGTAAGGGAAAAAAGAGTGGCTGGGTTACCACCCTCAAGAAATGCTGATCCCTCAAATCTAGACCTGCCAAGGGGCCAGGAGAGAAGGGAAAGCAGCAGCTCCCTTGAATTTTTAAAGTGCAATGTCCCCACCTACTGGTGAAGATGACCCAGTTAACATCCCTACAGCTGTCAATGTCTTCCTAGGACATTGACTTCTTCTAGTAGAATCAGTGTGCTTCAGCTCAGTTTTACACCAGAAGATAAACAAAATATAAATCCAAGATTTTTGCAGTGCAGTGGAGGTCTCTGAGGGTGTTGCAATGAGAATTTTAAACACAAAGCTAGTTTTAAAATAACACCATAATTAGCAGTCCCTTTCCCCAGCATCTATCTACTCCTCACAGCTTCTGCTCAGATTGTCTTCTCTCCATTGTCTCTTCCATCGCCCTGTACAAATCTCCTCTCTTACACTGCATTTCCTGCCCACACCCTGCTTCCCCATGCGTTAAGTTAGCAGCCTTTTTTCCCTCTTGTTGTTTTCTGCCTTCTGATATTTCAGATAAGAAATCTGTTTCTGGGCCGGGTGCGGTGGCTCATGCCTGTAATCCCAGCACTTTGGGAGGCCAAGGCGGGTGGATCACCTGAGGTCAGGAGTTCGAGACCAGACTGGCCAACATCGTGAAACCCCGTCTCTACTAAAAATACAAAAATTATTCATTGGTCATCTACTTGGTGTCCAGCACTAGGTTATTCCTAAGTATCACTGAACTTTGTGATAACGCTGAAGATATGTTTGGAAGTTTCAGGAACCAGAAGAAGAACACGATTCAGGATGTTTCTTCTTGTGACATTTATTTAAATTCTCTGGTTCTTATATTTGAGGTTTGACTGTAGCTGGGGAGGGTAGGAGAGGGATGGGAAAAAGAAAATGGAAAGATATTCCCTGGAAAAGAAGATAATTGTCTAAGAATTGTTCATTTTTTCCTTGTCTTGGCACTATGAGACACTGGGATATAATATAAAAGGTAACAGATTTTGAGAAAAATGCATTTGTCCCGTAGTTGGAGAATTCGTTAAGTTTGTGACCCTCAACAAATCACATATTCTCTGTTAGCCTCAGTCATTTTAACTTTAAAGTTTAGATAGCTTCCATTTGGTGGGATTAATATTAAGATGAAATGAAATTTTATATATGAGACCTACTAATTGCGTATTCTGACAGAGAGCTACAACACCAAAGCTAAGCCCTGTTATGTGCTTCCACAGGGGACAAAATAGAGGCTGTGAAAAGTAGATAGTTGAGTAAAGCTCATTGAATTATTTAATCAGCTACTTCCATT